>NC_000002.12:236277496-236580527 GCF_000001405.40 Homo sapiens | reverse complement strand
CATGGCCAGCTGATGTCCGAGAAGTTCCCTGGCTCTGAGTAGTCGAAGAGATGCAGATCCATCGTTCTGAGGCGGGCAATCAAATGACCTATGAGAAAACCAAGCAAACAAAAAAGATGGAAGAGGAAAGTCACTTCATTAGGAAAAACTCAAGTTTCAGGCAAAAATGCTTTTCCAAGGCCCTGATAGGCTCAGCTGTTTGGGTTTAGCTCTGTAATGTCTTTGCAAAGAAGGGAGAAAAAAAATTCATAATAAAACTCTCCAAAACAAAATAAATCATACTCTGAATCTAAATCCATGTGGTGCTCCAAGACAGAAACTGTGTTTGCTTTCTCCATCTTTTCATGGCTGTGTTCTCAAGACACCGCCAGCATGGCTGTGCCCAGTGTGTGAAATCAACACAGTACAGGGGCCAAAGAAACGTCAGGCAGCTGAGCCCCGGCCACCGCGATGCTGATGGCCTGCTCACTCTCAGCAGGGGACAGTGGAGCCATTTTATCTAGGTCCCCAAAGAATGGCAGGGTTGTCCTCTCCTGGCACTGCTGTATTACAAGTGTCCTGCTTTGGTGTCTTAATGAAAGCATTTCAAATCCTCCTCCAAATTTGCATTTATAATGTGACTCAGCACTTTTTACTTGTCTGCTAAATTCACATATAAACCTGGGTCTCAGGCGGCCCCAGTGTGCAGTCATAAAGCCTCTGGAAACACAGTGAGCCTACGCAGGGTGCCCCACAGCTTAACTGCGCCCCAAACCTGAAGACTCTGGGTTGGCCGTGTGGTTTTCAACGAAGGGCAACCAACCAGCTGTCTCAAGCTTTGGGTCAGCACCTGTTTTTCCATTCCTTTATTTGTTCAACTGCTTCAACAGCAAGGTGTGCCAAGACTCAAAACACAAAAATCACCACCTGCTGCATTTCAGGAGGGCTGACCATTTTCCCAACTGTTTTCCCTGCTGACCTGAGGTGAGACCAACACTCCATCACCATTTCACTCCCAGCCAGAATTCAGCCACGGGGTACCATTGTTATCTGGCACTGATTTCTTCAGATAGACTGACAGGGGCTGTCTTCTACTGTCAGTCCGCCCATGGGAAGGCCCTGAAATCCCTCCAGGCCACAGTCCTGGGTCAGCAATTAGCCCTGCCTGAACCCCACTGTAAAATGAAAACCTCAGCCCAAGGATGCACTGTTGACAGTGACATAGTCAGGTGGTTGCCCTTCCCCCTCACCTGTCCCAGGTAATGACTGGCCTAGAGTCAAGACATTATTTACCGAGTTCATTTAAAGTGGATTCCAGGTTACATATGAGAATTTCCTGGAGGATCAAGGACAAGGGTCAGGGGATCAGGGTCCGGGTGGCTACGCTAGCGGTATGCAAAGCCACAGCTGGGAAGCCGCCCACTCCGAGATCAGACATTCCTGGGTTGGGATTCTGGCTCCTCTATTCATTAGCATTTACCTTGAGAGTTAATCTGTCTGCATCTACCTCCCCAGGACAGCAGCACCTATCTCACAGATACCCTAAGAAGAAAGAAGAAAGGGCCTAATTGAGAGCTTGGCCCTAGCCGATGCTCAATAAAACGTCACCCCCTTCTCCCTCCCTGGCCAGGAAGAAAGAACCCTGGGGATTCTCCCACCTAAGGGAGCGGTTTTTCCCTTCAGCAAAAAGCAGAACCTTGTTTAATTCTATTCCCCTGGAAACCTGGCTCTCACTGGCTGAGTAGTAAATGCCCCCGGGGGAGCTCGCACAGAGACTGGGTTGTTTGATGGGCTTCTCCTTTGGGACAACTTGAACAGAATCCCTGAAAAGTGAGAAATTTCGCGGCCTCGGCTCCACAGCCTCCACATTCACAGCAGAGGACCTGGCGTGAACCCCACTTAGCGGAGACTGTTGCGGGCTTCTGGGCACTTCCCTCTGCGGGATGTAAATGACTGTGGGGTCCCCTCCTCGTGACCTAACCTGACTCAGTGTCCTCCACGGCTGACAGAAAGGGCTGGGCCTCCCAAGACAGCCGCATCCCCTCCACACTCTGAAAGCCTTCCATGGAGGGAACCACGCTGGTCCTGCAGCGGGAGGCCTGGCCGTCCTCAGAGTCACCCACTAGGAGGAATCAAGCCCTGTGACCACGGACTTATGACAAGCCCTGATGCCCAAGCATGGGAGGCTGCCCATGGAGGTGAGCCAGGTCAAGGTCAGGACAGAAACTCAAAGCAGGAGGCTTGGCACACTTGTCCTAAGACGCAGCTCTAGAACTCCAAAAGGACGTAGGCCCAGCAGGGAGCTGAGGACACCCTGTCCTGCCAGACTGCCTCCAGGGTGGACGGGCAACCCCAGGCCGTGCCTTGAAGCTACTATCGCCATCTTTCCTTGGCCACCAAATGACCCAGAGCTGACGTTCCACTCTCCACCCCGTGATGCCAGGAGACAAGGATTTCACCTTTGCTCTCCCCACATGGCTCTACTGCAACAATCCTTGTTCCTTTCTCCCATTTCCTTAAAACGAAACACATTTGCATCATGGCTTGGTTTCCAAAACACTTTCCCCCATGATCTCATCTGACCCCAGAGTCCCGGGGAGCAGAGGAGCTTGAATGGAGGACCGCCCCACAGCTGGGCAGCAGCAGGGACAGCAGCTGGGTCCAGAGGGAGCTCGGCTGGCGCCTGGCTTGGGCTCCCTGCTCTGTCCCCACTGGCACAGCCACACAGCAGAAGCTGCCATAAATCCTGGGGTTTGGGCCATTCACAGGGGCTAGAAAGAAATGACCCTCAGTCTTTGTTCGCCCGAACTTGGATCCCGAATCCGCCCCACCTCTCTCCCCCACCATGGTGACATTCCTCTGGCTCAGGTCTTACTTGCCCTCCAGTGTAGAGACATGTCAGATGCCGGCTGGCCAGGCGCCTGGCCACTGCTCAGCATGGACAGGCCCCAGCAGGAGGCAGGGTCACTCAGTGAGAAGACGCCTGGTTCCCACATCTCGAGTGTGTCCTTCCTTCCAGTTCCTCCACTCTTAGCACAAAATAGACACTCACCCGCTTTGAGCTACCAGCAGCCTTCAGTATTCTCAGAGCCCAGAGTGGGACTGAGAGGTGGAAAAGGGCTCAGGGACCCCCATCCAGCCCTTGGCTTTCTACCTTTGCCTCTTTGGGTGACGAAAATTTGATTTAGGGACCATTGGTCCTCTGAGTCAAAAACAGTATTTCTGAGATAGGCACTTCCCCGCTCAGCCGTCCTCGCCTCTGTCCTTGCTTCTCCCCTCCCGGGTGGCACAGTGGGAAACTTCCAACAAGGGCATGGCTGTTGCTGCCCAAGGGCTGAATGAGAGAGCGGAGGCTGGAGCTCCTCACTGCCCCACCGATCACCGGCCACCTATCATCACTCACCGATCACCGATCCTCAATCATTAACCACCAGTCAGCCCAAGGAACAGCAGCCCACACTGGGGCTGGCCAGGAAACAAAGCCAGAGGCCCACACCCTGACCACCTGCTTTCCTCTCGGGGCCTGGACGGGCCTCTCCCTTCCCACCACCAAAGGTTCCAGGGGTCAGATAGGAAGGAAAGTACAGTGAAAAGGGAGATTAAGCAGACAGTGCAGTCATCAAGTCCTCTGCAAATTCAAATGGGAGCTAAAGAAAACAAAAAACAGAAAAACAAAAATGTCATACTATAGCTTACCCTTTTGTCATTTCGGTATTTTTCATGCATTAGGTTTCAGAAACAAGAGCTGTCTCCAGCAAACAGATTATTATTTGACAAAGACAATCCCCTTATTCAAAATAGGGAACTGCCGTGTAACATGGAAGGTGGCCTGCGACAAAGGCTCTGGCCGCCCCAGCCTGCGTGCAGGACGTTTAGGGTGGGCAGGGCCCACTTTCATTGACCACCATTCACTGATGGTTGTGCGTCCACTATTGGAGCAAAGAATCTTCCTAAATTACCTGCTTAGATCTTAATAAGTGACACTCTCAGAATCCCTGATAGGAACAAAAGCTTCATAGAGCAAACTATGAAATGTGTACCCAGGGCCCCTGGTTCTCAAAAGCCTGGTGACAAAGCTCCCTGCAAAATCTGAAAGTGGAGAGAGGGAGGGAGGCCTCTAATGAACCCCCAGCGGGCCCTGCACAGAAATCACAGGTCCCCTCAAGCAAAAGCAGGGGATTACCTCATCCCATACAGAAAGAGCTGACTGCATTCCGCACAGATCTGGATGGGCCAGCCCTCGGGTCCTTGTATACATTCTTAATGCCTCTCAGCCTGTGCGGGGTCTGTTTACGCTGGGAAGTTGGGAAGGCCGATAGCCACAGGGCCTGAAGGAGACATCCACTTAGACCAGTCACCCTCTGCTGGAATCAACCAGCAATTCCATTCCCGCTTGAGGCCAGGGTCTAAGAAACATGTCTGGGTGTGAATCAAACCTGCCCACTGCCTGCGTCTCTAGGGCCTCAGTGCCCATGCCAGGGCAGGCAGGGGAATGAGACCCACTTCTGACACTTAGGTTCTAAGGTTTCTGCATAAAAGATTCCAGGGGGAAGGAAGGGGAGGGGGTGCAGAACAAAAGACGTTTCTTTCCAGTTCTATGATGATACAAATTCATACGTTTCTCTCCTCAAAATATTCATGTGTCTCCAAATGTACACAAGATGTTTTTTAAAGCAGTATTTATTTACGAGCAAACACTGGAGACAACGTAAATGTCTTTCAACAAAGGCACGACTCAGTAAAGCCTGGTGTCTCCGCCATCTGGAATATAATACAGCTGTGAGAGGGAGGCCTCCCTTCATGCACAGGGAGAGTTACGACATGCTGTTCAGTGAAAGACAATACGCAGACACACGCACACACAGCACAACCCCAGAAACGCACACACAGCACAACCCCAGACACGCACACACAGCACAACCCCAGACACACACACACACAGAGCACAACCCCAGACACACGCACACACAGCACAACCCCAGACACACACACACACACAGCACAACCCCAGACACACGCACACACAGCACAACCCCAGACACACACACACACAGCACAACCCCAGACACACGCACACACAGCACAACCCCAGACACACGCACACACAGCACAACCCCAGACACACACACACACACAGCACAACCCCAGACACACGCACACACAGCACAACCCCAGCTATGCAGAAAGAAACACAAAAATTACATTTGTGTATTTTTATATGTAAATACATGTGCACGAAGGCATAGAAAAAGACCTGCAGTAAGTATAAAACTTGGGGCTGGGAAGGTAGGAGGAGGGAACAAAAGGAGACTTGTAGTTTTTACTCTATAAACTTCTGTGTTATTTGAAATTTGACATCAAGAATTATGTAAATTTTCATAGAGGGAGGAATGGTCCACAGAACAATCGAGGTTCATGTTGCATTTTCCTGGACCACAGAGACCCAAGGGAGAACAAAAAGCAGTGAACGTCAGCTTTCATTCCCTTTTTCCCAGCGCTTGCTCTGTTTTATCTCATTCATTCCTTCGTACAGGGGTCACCTTTTTAGCGGCCCTGTCGCACGTTGCAGTGACAGGGAGAGAACTTTCCCGTGGCCGGCGGTGGGCAAGCACCTGTCCAGCCCTCCATCCCTGCCAGCCTATGGCCTGCAAAGGGACTCCTCTGTCACTCACAGCCCAGATGGTACTGGGGCTCCTCTTGTCAATTGCAGGACTTTCTCGGAGATGCACCTCTCGTTTCTGGGATGTTTTATTCATCAACCAAGTATCCTTGACAACGACCGTGCTGCAGCAAGCAGCCTGGGGTATTTAGCCACATCCAAATGGTCTCCCTGAGCTCACTCTGCAAGCTGAGGGTGAAGCCGGAATTACAGGTACTCAGGTTTAGAGCCTTCATGGGTGGTGGCTGAGTATGCAATCAGCATGTCCTCACGCTGGTTAGTTCCTTCCAGAGAATGCCACGTGTTCAGGCACCTGGCCAGTGTCCCTCCAAACTCCCTTCCACATGTTTGCAGTCTCCAACCACAGACTCTTCCCAACTGATGCCCTCTGCCCTTCTGATTCTCCCACCTTCTCCTGGCCCCACACTGCACATCTCTATTCTGGAATGGCTTTTGTACCATCACGTTGTTCAGGTTTCTTGCCCCTCCACCTCATTCCTACCAGGCCCCGCACCCCCCACCAAGTCTTCTGTAACTTTGTGTAGCTACAGCTATACAGCTATACAGCTACAGCTGCACATAGTAGGTACTCAATGAGCCAGCAGTTAATCGTGCCCCACCAAGACCAGCGACTGTGGCCAGCAGCGGAGACGGGCGTCCAGGAGAGACTTTTCTGAAATCGTCACCGAGCTGGTGTTGACGGACTGAGCCTCTTGTTCCAGGAGGCACTGCTCTGGGGCACGTGAGGACAACAAATCAGAAACATCTCCCCCCAACCCCCGAGACCCCGCCGGCTAATTGGGAAGGCACGCAGGCCCATCACCCCCCAGGCATGAGCAAGGTGGTGCATGCCCCTTCAGCAGGAAAATGAGGGGTTTCTACTCTGGTGGCTTATGGGGGACTTCAAGGAGGTAGGGGTGATCAAGGATGTTCCAGGAAGGCACAGCCATGGGTAGAGTCACCCAGCCTGGCTGAGGCAAGGACTCTCCACGAAGAGCAAATGGAGGTAAGAGTTGGGCCTTAAAGGGTGGGCAAGGAATATGACCAGGGCTTGTCCATGCAGGAGCCAGGACAGTCTAGAGCAAGGCCATGGCTTTGGAGCAGAGGAGGCTTTGAGAATGGAAGTGATACGAACCCCACAGGCAGCTTTGCAGTGGGGTGGTCTGGTAGCTGGGTGCAGACCAGGCTGCTACACACACATCACTCCTCTACAGTGGTATAGATAAGATAACTCAGGCCAGGCCTGGGGCCCCGGGACCAGCTCCGAAAAGGGGGACCCTCTGGCCATCTGGGCCCTGCAGGACTTCTGCCTCCTTCACTGGCTTTCTGCAGTGTGAGACCTGTGTCCTACAAGGGAATTTCATGAAGAAACTTGGTATTGTCCCAGACAAGAGCTGGGACAGTGGCCCTCACTGTTTGCACACCTGGAAACTGAGGCCAGGCCGGGTGAAGAGACTGGGTTATGGTGCGCTTGTGGCTAAGAACAGAGTTCTCTTCCCCTTTCCAACATCTCCAGGGACTCTCCAGCGGGAATCATGCTACAAAAGCAAACGCTCTGGTCTCCTTGAGCAGATAACACCTCTTCCACCAGGCCAGCCCCGCTTACGCTGAGCCTGCAAGTTAGATCAGGAGAATCCACACTACCTCTGAAGAACCATTAGGCAACTGCGCATCATTGAGTGGGGTGTGTGTGTGTGTGCATGTGTGTGTGTCTGTGTGTCTGTGTGTTTTTAACCAATGCTACATCGAATCTATGGGGAAACCAACCAAGTAACCTAGGGGAGCTTTGGCCCAGGCAGACTCTCTGTGACTATCTGCTAGGGCTGATAGCAGAATGGGTAGCTGTCTGTCCCCTCTGCTGCCAGCAAATGGAAAACAGTCTTGACTACACATTCACTAGTGACCGTGAGTGATCTTATTTTATGCAAGTACATAACTGCTTTGAATTACTTGAGAACGCAAAAAATAATAACTACAGAAAACTCTATATCCTGATTCAGATACAGTCCACCTCTTCCCAGGGTCCTTAGACATACTTCACATGAACACGTGGGACACCCTCGTCCACTTTAAGGATTTGGGGGATCAAATAAATCCCACGTCCAGAAACCTGATCTGGTCTATTGTGCTCAGCTGCCCGACAGGGAAGCAAAGCTATACCCACAAGAGCAGGTCCAGAGATTCCCACGTCACAAAGGCTGCCGTCTGGGCCGGCCCAGTGTAACCAGAGCCCTGATTCCCACCCAGCTTAGGACTAGGACGAGGCAGTGGGAGGTCAGCCAGGCTAGGAGAGCCTCCTCACCCCCGCCCTAAGCCAGACACAATGGGGTTCCCAGGAGGACACTGTGCAAACTTAGGCTCTGCATATACAACTGAGGGAGGATGGCCACATATCTGTTATAGCAGGAAAAGCAAAAGATGCTTACTATCTGGCTGACCCAGACTTCAAAACGCAAAGTCCCCCACACTGCCCTGGGCTCGTTATCTGTCCCTTTGCCAACAGTGGTTCAAGGCCACCTGAGATAGTCTCGGCCCCCATCCACTTTTTCAGTGCCTGGAACAAAACACAGTCTGCTTCCAAAACTACCTGTGGCTCTTTAAAATTGTCACCATAAAATTATGCAATTCCCTGATCACTTTAATATTGAAGCAATAGTGTTTTGTTTTGTTTTTTTCAATTCCAAATTAGTCGATAAAAGCATCAAACATTCCCTGAAGGAAACCATCAAATATTCAAAATCAGGGCCACCGCCTGCACGCCTCCCTGTCCTGATCTGTCTATTTCTGGCTTGCTTTCTTTTATTTCAACAGAAAATACGTGTCCTGGAGCTTTGTCTTTTCCTTCCTGAACTTTAGTAACACTTGACATGACACGATCTTTAGTTTCTTCCTGAATTATGCCTACACACGTGCAATCCAATTGAAGGCGTTTTAATACTATTCTTGCTTCTAATAATAAAACTAAGTTATTTGATTGCCTGGTTTAAAGGTACAAATGCCTTCTGGCCCCAGATTCCCCTCATGTTCTACAAAATCACAAAAAAAAAATCTAAAGTTTTGCAATCTTTGAGGTCTTTTTCTTTCCCCTCGGTTACTCTTAAGGTTTATAAAGTGACTGCCCTTCAGCCTCAGGTTTGAGTGACTTCAACCAATTTCCCTCACGTCGACTTGAAAACAGGAGCTCTCGCCCTAAAATGATCACACAAAAAGCCACTGTTCCTGATTAAGCAGGGTTTTTTGTTTTGGGTTTTTTTTTTTTTTTTTTTTTTTTCATTCAGAAAGCCTATACTTGGCCTGTTCTGGGCCTGATTAGAAATCATAATACCTTCTCAACGCTTCAACGACTTGCTGTTAATACGGGGAAAACACACCCCCAAAGCCCTGCGTGTGTCGCACAGGCATGCTGCCTTGGCGATGCTTTATGGAACTTTTTTAAAACTACGTCTGCAATGTCTGCCCCTTAAAAGAGAAAAGCTGATGGGCAGCAAACTGCAGCCATTTCTCCATCTTCCTTCGCTTTCCCACCCCCATCCTGGGCAGCTTTCCCCTCCCCCCAATCTCCTGGAGGTTGTGGCATTAAGCTCTGCAGTTGTGTGCACATTCAAGTGTTTATGGCAGAGACTGGGGAAAAAAGAGCAAATTGTTTCCAAGCTAGAGCTCCCATGTGCAACTTTGCTTTAGAAAAGACTTTCCATCTGGGGAAAGCTCATATTCTGATGAAAGAAGGGCAAGCAGTTTATCCATTTAAAATCTATGGAAAGTTAAAGCACAGAAACCAGCAGCCTCCACTTTCTTTGCTAGGCGTGCCTAGCTGATGTCCACATTTTTCCTGGAATAAATAAAGGGACACTAAAAGCAGCATCTGCCTTTAAAAAAGAAAAGAACAAAGTTACCATGTTGAGACTTTGCAGACTGAAGTTTCAGGGGATGTCACTGCACCAAATACATTCAAAGGGCTGTAAACCATTTAAGGAGGCTCTCTCCCACTTTTGAAACACTAAGTAATCCTGTTGTGAGCAAAAGGAAAGAAAGAAAGAAAGAAAGAGGAAGAGAGAAAGAGAGACAGCCAGTCTGACTTTTACAACTTCTCATTCTCCCTGGAAGTTACAAGTCTTGGCTAACCACCCATCCCTGACCTCACTCCAAAGTTCTCTCAGTCACTCCTTGAATCTTTGCACATGCCAACAAAATTGAACAAAATCCACATTTTACCTGAAGAGTATATTTAAATTGCAAAATAGTAGATTTGTGTGTGTGCTTCCCCCAACCCCAATTGAAGTTGGACTTAACACCTTCTAAGAGAACAATACTCAAATTAGATTAGCAAGCGTGCCATCAAGAGAAGAGAAGACCGGGCTGTGTTTAACATTCACGTTTATAGCTTCCGGACTTACAGACTCTGGTAAATCCCCCAAAGTACTGAATTCAAATACATCTTGGACTCACAAAGATTCTCAGCAGTTTTCTGCTCCATTTAAGGATGCCTCTTAATAAAGTGTTCATCATTCTGGAATTACGTATTTACTGCCAATTTTATCTGTTTCCAAACTGATATACTAGAAGCAAAACAGGTAAACAGTGGGTGCCAAGCTAATCCCCATGCCAAATTGGTCAGGCAGAATGGATAGTCTGTGTTCTTGCAAAGTTCCCCTGCTTACTGGAGCTTAAATAGCCACACAGCAAATAAACACCAGATTCCTAAATACACATGGAAATTTCCTTCTGCAAGTGACTTAAGAAAACTGCCCTTTGCTTTCTGAAGAGAAAGGTGAAGCCCTCCGAATTAGCAAAAGCACTTTGCAATGCAGCTGCGTGCAGCCTGGGTTTTCAGAAACCAGACCCGCAGACTCAAAAGCACCCATCTGAGCGATTTTAAAGAAGGCCTTTGAAAAGACCACTTGGCTTAAGAGCAGAAGCCGTGCCTTCTTTCCGAGCAGAGCTGCTGCCCGAGCACCGTTTCCTTACCTCCGGGCTGGCTGGGCTGGCTGGGCTGGCTGGGCTCGCTCGCCTTCCTGGCTGTGCTGTGCGCTGGCTCCCTTAGTGCTGAGCACTTTGCAACAACTGTGAGCTCTGCTGGCTGCAGACTTGCATTATATACACTGCAGAAAGGAGCCTCTAGCCTCTAGATGGCAGCTTTGTAACCCACATCTCTCTCTCCCCCGTGCCACCCCCATCCCACAGGCAGACACACACACACACACACCCCCCTCTTGTAAACCTCACTAGTCTGTTGTTTCCTGCACAAGTGTACTCTTGGGAAACCCCAGCCTTCTTTCATTTGCAAAATCTGGTGAAGCCACAAAGTCCAAACCCCACGGGGGGAAAACGTCAGCCAAAGACAAACTGCAAAGAAACCCTAGTGCTTGGCAAAATCATCAAATATTTATCTGGTCTCAGGTATATCTTGAATAATCCCATTAACACCAAGAGCTCCTGTGAATGCCTCTTCGCTCTAGGGAGGACTTTGTTCCCAAGACAAATTACTCTGAACTTCTGAACTTCGATGTTGATTTACTAAGCCTGGGTTTTCCTTGTTAATTCCTCCAAAACAGAAGTAACAGTTTTGGTATGACCAATGAATCGATGCCACACCGTATATCCCCAAAGTGGAGAAAAGAGTCTTTATAATAGATTATACTTGAATACTTTTATTTGTAAAGGACTTTAAGTACAAAATCCTTGAGACTCTAATCAAGATAGTATTCTACAGTGTCTGCCCAGTGCCAGACACGCATTAGGAAGATAATAAATGCCTTTTGATAATGTCTTTTTCTGAGATGAGTCTGGCAAACACTTTACTACAATTATTGCAATCTACATTCTTATTTGGATGCGTATTGCTAAAGTTCCCCCCACGGAGGAATTCAACCTAAAAATGTGATCCAGGTGATACTCATCTCCAATGCCCCATTTACAAAAATCGTCCATAAGATAGGGACCCAAAGGCCACCCGCCAGCCCATCCCATGTGCAATGCTCTGGCTTTCGTATTGCTTTCTGATCTCCTGGAGTTCTTAAAGAGCGGCTCAAGTGGAGTGTATGAAGGCACCAGCTGTATTCACGCCTTCTCCAGAGCTAAAACTTTTCGAGATTCTTTTTATACTTCTACTAAAAATAACAGCAGACGCTCGGTCCCAGCGCTGAATCTGGGGGACTGGGAGGTCAAAGTCTCACGTGGCTAGAAAGTCTCCGTGTGGAGAAAGCCCTTAACGAAAGAAATATTTTGTTTAGCTAAAAGCTTCACATTTTTCTCCTGAACTGGCTGCCCAGCGGGAGGCGAGGTGCACACCTGCTCTCCGGGGGCCTCCGGAGGGGTCGCCCTGGGGCCGGCCTTTCCCAGCCCGAGCGCAGCGTCCCGCCACCGCCTCTGCAGGGCGGCGCAATCACTCTTCGTGTCACATCGGCACCAAGGACATCTCCAGGCTCCCCAGAGACGCTGGAAAGGAAAACTGCCAGCGGCTGCGTCTACCCACACCCAAGATCTAGGCGAGACCTCGACTCTCCACAGCATACGTGTCCTGACTTTTTCTGTCCTGTTTCTTTCTTGTGGGGGACCCTGTGTCTGAGCCCGCTGGAAATGTACGGGGATCCCCTCTGGACTGCAGCTCGGTTTCCGCTTTCTGTGGCTGTAGCCGTGACTCCGGGGCCTGTCCTTCAGAGAACGCGCTCCGCATTGCAGAGCCTGCGCGCCCGGTGGAAACACAGAGTGGGTGTCAATCCGTTCTGAGCTAAGTGTACTGTCGCTGGAAGAAAGGCCACATGGGCCGGGGACCCCGGACAGGATGCTAACGTAGAGGAAGGAAAAGGCAACGCAGTTTTTTTAAAAAGTAGAACCCGCTTCGTGCGTCCGGGGCCAGAATCCACGAGGCCGCCTTGCAGCAGCCTGCGCCCTGCCCCGCCAGCCCCGGCCCCGCGCCCACCCACGGCCTGCACCCAGCCCCGCACCCACACACGGCCTCGCGCCCTCCCACAGCCCCGCGCCCTGCCCCGCACCCACCCACGGCCCGCACCCACGCCCTTCCCCGCGCCCAGACTTGTTCCGCACTCACGCACGGCCGGGCACCCGGCCCAGGCGCCTGCGAGAATTCTGGCCCCGGGGTCACCGCCCTCGCCCTTCGACGTCCCCCACCCGTCCCCTAGTTCCGCCGGGCGGGGCTGCTGGAGGCTTCCAGACGGGGAGGGGCGGACCAAGCGCCAGCGGGGAATGGGGCGGGGTGGGTCGGGAACTCTGGCCAGGCTCCCACCCTGGGAGGAGGAGCTGGGTGCTTGGGGCCTGAACTTGGCTGTCTCCTTGGGCCTCCCACCCTGTCCCAGAAAACAGGCCTGGGGGAAAACGAGAGGGTAAGCAAGCAGGGCTTTTTGAGAAAACGAGATTCCATTGCCCTAGGACCTAAAAGTCTCTTTTCAAAGTTTTGAAGAGTGTCTCTGCTTTTGGAAGATTGTGCTTTCAGTGTAAGGGCAGAACTCCACCTCCATCCTCTAGGGGTCCCGGCTGGGTCCGAGAATTAAATTGACATAAGATAGATGAATAGGAGGAAAGCATAGTGCAAGTTTCACGCGGCATGGGAGCCCTCATACAGAAATGCAGACCCGGCCGGGCGCGGTGGCTCAGGCCTGTAATCCCAGCACTTTGGGAGGCCGAGGCGGGCGGATCGCGAGGTCGGGAGTTCGAGACCAGCCAGGCCAACATGGTGAAACCCCATCTCTACTAAAAAATACAAAAAATTAGCCCAGCGCGGTGGCGCGCGTCTGTAATCCCAGCTACTCGGGAGGCAGGAGAATCGCTTGAACCCGGGAGGCGGAGGTTGTAGTGAGCCGGGATTGCACCATTGCAATCCAGCCTGGGTGACAGAGTGAGACTCTGTCAAAAGAAAAAGAAGGGAAGGGGGAAGGAAGGAAGGAAGGTAGGAAGGAAGGAAAGAAGGAAGGAAGGAAGGAAGGCAGGCAGGCAGGCAGGCAAATCCTCCTTGGGGAAAGAAAGAAAGAGGGAGAGACAGAGAGAGAAAGGAAGAAAAGACAGAGAGAGAAAGAAAGAAAAGAAAGAAAGAAAGAGGAAAGAGATGACGACCCGAACAAAGAAAGCAAGAAAGAAAGCAACAGAGAAAGGCAGGCCCTAGCAAAGAAAAGGAAGGAAGGAAGGAAGGAAGGAAGGAAGGAAGGAAGGAAGGAAGGGAAGGAAAGGAAGGAAAGAGGGACAGACCCGAGCAAGCAGTTCGCGTCCACTACTTAAATACTGGATTAAACAGAGAAGAATAAACTTTGAAAATGTGACTAAAAAGATTAGAGTGACGCTCTGCAGTATTCTTTAGCTGGCAGCTTCTAGTCCTAAGGATAAGGATGCTGTCTTCCTTCTGCTATGGGGAGAGTGATCTTGCACCTGCTGTTTTTCAAGTGCCTTTCACTGAAACAGTTACCATGCCAGAATGCATATTTTAACCTTTTCAGTAAGGTCCAATATAATGGTTCTTTTGGGTGGGAATGTGTTTGGTGGCACCTAATAGAAAACTCAGAGAAGGCACGAACAGGACGCTGTCCCTACCGCTGTCCCAGCTGACCCAGAACTAAAAGTTCCTGGATGTTTTGCTACCCCTGAGTGCTTATTGGAAAGGGGTCAGGAAGGGGTTTCAGCTAAGCTCCTCCCTCCTTCCCTGTCTGTAATCTGCACCTGGGGTTGCACGCCCCACAGGGCAGGTGGTCAGCTCTGTCTGCTCTGGGATCTGATTCGCCTGTAGATGTGGCACCACCAGGCTTCTTCCAGAAACCGCACCTGACTTAAAAGCGTGAGGATCCTGGCGGGCCAGAGCGGCGGCCGGTAGGGTCTGTGATCTGGGAGCCCCGTTAGAGTGGAGACAGTGCAGTTATGGTGACTGTGATATGAGCCCAGAGAGGCTCAGCTGCGCCGCTGGCCTGAGGACGAGGCGTTCCTCATTCTTGGAGTTGTGACCCTGGGAAGAAGCTTCATTATCTGGTAGCTGGGCATGGCAGGAGTCATTTCACCTGGGACTGGACGCTCCCCCAGAATAACCGCAACACCAAGCCCCTTCTGCAGGGCAACGGCTTAAAAGCAAAGACAGCCCCTCAACTCAAGGGAATTGGGTTCCTCTGTCCAGACAACCTGGCTTGGAACCCTGATATATACACACTGTAGGGGTGGGAAAAGTCTACCTCCCTCCTCTTAGGGTCCCAGCTGAGTCCAAGAATTTAATCCACATAAGATAGATTAACAGGAGAAAAACTTAATACAAACTTCACGCAGCACAGGAGCCCTCATAAAGAAATGAAGACCCCAAAGAAGTAGCTAAAGTCAGTTAATTATGTAGTGGATTGGACAGAGAAGAGTTAGTTGTGAAGAAGCCACTAAATTATATGGAGAGGCTTAAAAGATAAGAGTTATTTTTAACAAGATCTGTACAGAACTCTCCCAGTTTCGACTTTGACTATATAAAAATGTTGCATCATCTAGGGAGGGCATCTTTCACATAGGAATTTCACCCTCTGCTTTTAAGAAACAGCAGGAAGGTCAAAGTCATCTTGTTGCACCTGCTGTTTTTAAAGTGTTGAACTTAGTCAATACGCTGGAATCGCATATTTTAACCTCTTCAACACCATGTCTCCTCAGATAACAGCCTCTTTGAATGTTAGGTTCCTATCTTTATAATTATAATAGAGCCTTCTATTCTAGCTGGGTGCTTGTCAGGATTAAACGAGAGGATGCACATGAGTGGTTTCTTGCAGGTATCTAGAATGGCTATTTCTCTTCCGCTTCTCTCCTCTGTCCCCAGCCAAATTCCAGTGATAGCATACAGTTTTAAAGGAATGCAACAGATATACGTTCCAAGGCTTGACAACATTTTTGAACTCTCTGATGAAGTTTAGAAAGGTTTTATAGTCATAGGTAAATCTGAGTGTTCATGTTTTCCCATCTTTCTGTTAAGTATGTTGCCTATCTTCTTTCATTTTATCTTCACAGCAGCCATAAAGGTGGCACTGTCTTTGTCCCACTTTTGTAATTGAGGAAACTGAGGCCCAGAGAGACCAGGTGACCTGCCTAAGGGTGGCTGTGACTGAATGGCCATGGCGTTCCAATCCAAGCGTGCCCGATTTCATGGCACATGCTTTTACCTAGTACCACAGAAAAAATATATTCTTAAAAGAAAAACAATTGTAGAAACCTATAGCAGAGGGTGTTAAGTCCTAAGACTGCAGACTTTTTTAAGTCTTAAAAGTAGACCCTAAGGTAAGAGTTCAGGGACAACTGATTTATTAAGGAAGTGCTTTCAAAAAAAAAAAAAAAAAAACTAGGAAGGAAAAGAGAAAAGGGCAACCAAGGGTATGATTTCTGGCTAAATCTCAGCCTCAGTGTGATCCCCATGGCTCTCTGAGCCTGAATGACACCCTGAGTTTGCCCCTGTTGCCAGATAGAAGGTCTTCACTGAGTGATCCAGGTTCTTAGCACATTGAACAAAAATTGAGCAAAATGCACAAACAAAGCAACAAAAGAACGAAGCAACAAAAGCACAAATGTATTGAGTGAAACTACACTCCACAGAGTGGGAGCAGGATCCATCAGGTGGCTCAAGAGCCCCAGTTGCAATGTTCTTTAGGGTTTTTATTAAACTAGAAGAATTTGGTAACACCCCTAGGTACCCTTTAGAGGCCTCCAATAGAGTCCTCCAACTGGGTTACACCTCATGCCAATGAAGGATTGGCCTGTGACCAATCAGGCTGAAGTGAAGCTTGGCCTCTGACCAATCAGAGGCATTTCCCGAGAGGGGGTTTTTGCAGAGGGAGGGGCCTCTGGCCCCTGTCGCAGGGGCATGGAAAGGTGGAGTTTTCCTTTCGGTCCAATTCCAAGAAGTCAGAGGCCGGTGGGCCTTAGGCTCCCTGTCTCCAGACCCTATTCTCCTGCCTCACCCCAGCTGCTGTCACAGGGGCTGGAGTTTCATACCCCTACATCCTCCAACTACTGGATTAGGGCTGCTGGGTGGTAGGAGGGAGGGTGCAGCCCCTCAGATACTTCCTGATCACAGCCTGTGGGGGCACAGCGGCTGCAGTAACCCACCTACAGACAGTCTCTCAAGGGTCAGTTCCAGTCGCAAGTCTGGGCAGTAAACCCACGTTAACGGTGGAGGGGAGGCACATCAGAACCTAAGGGGGTCCCGGAATCTGGGAACAGCAACACCAGTATCCACCGCACTGTCTATGGCATCTCTCATGTCAATTTTGACCAAAGTGGAGGAGTGCTCTCTAATTAATCCTCAGACCACTCTGCTTCTACCTCAGGGCCTTTGCACCTCTCATTTCCTGGAATTCTCTTTCTGGCCTGTTATGTGGCCACCTCCTTATTATTTTGATGCAGGCTTAAATATAATTGCTTTAGAAAACCTTCTTTCGACATTCTAACCAAAGAATCTTCCCATCCTAGTTACTCTCTTCTTATCCTATTTTTTCGTGGCACTTACTACTATCCAAAGGTATCAGTGCACTATCTATCTTCTCCCCAACTGGAGTATAAATCCCTAGAGGGCAAGAACATTGCTATTCTATTCAATGCTGCATCCCTGCTTCCACACACTGTGCTTGGCGCGTGCCGGATGCCCATAAATATTGACTAAATGAATAAAGTCAGGTGAATGACACTTGTGAATCAGGTTTTTGTCCTCTCCCTATTTTGCCCACCTGCTTCATCATGGAAATATGGGAGTAGGGCAGGGGGACAGTATCCAGGGTAAATGTTTTAGGAAAACTTAACACATATACTTTGAAAATTGGAAGTACTTCACACCTAGGAATATGCAGATACACATATGAAACCAATACACTTATGAAAAGGCTGGGCAACTTCCTTAGTTATTGGGGAAATACAAACTGTAGTCACAATGCCATCCAACTGCACACCAACCAGAAGGGCTTACATGAAAATTACTGAATGTGAACAAGGATGTGGAACCACCAGAATTCTCATGCACCAGTGCTTCTCCAGCGCTACATGGTGACAGACCAGCCTTTCTTTCCTTTTAAATTTCCGTTGCAGACCAAAACACATGGTCCCCATTGCACGTGAAGCTCCTCCCACACCCGCCTCATAATGCAAGTGTGACAGTATCCAAACTGGTCAATGCACTGCTGGACGAGAAGAGCCTATGTATTTGTATGTCAAAGCAACATCAAATTTCTATAAAAGTTTCTAAATGCTGACGCTTAATTTCTGAACTTATCTCGTTGCAGTCTAATAACAAATAGCTCATAGTCCACACTCTGAGGGACACTGCTGTCCCTGGAGGTAGGAATGTGAATTGGCATGTCCACTTTGGCAGTATTCACTAAAGTTGAACATACTCTTACCTTGTGACCCAGAAACTTCACTGCAAGGTACATGCCCAACTTCAAGTTGTATACATTGCACCAGAAGAAATACTCAAAAATGTTTACAGCAGGACTATTTATGAGAGACCCAAACTGAAAATAACTGAACATTACTAGAAAACATTATAGACCAATATCCTTCATAAAGAGAGACATAAAACCCTTTTAAAAATAAAAAAGCAAAGCAAATCCAACATATGTACGATATACTGTGACTAAGTGGGATTTATACCTGAAATGCAAAATAGGTTTAACATTTGAAAATAGTATAACTTGCTAAATTAATAAAATAAAGCATTTGACAAAATTCAAAATCAATTCATGATAACAACTTCACGTGCACTAAAAATAGAATGATTTTGATTTGACTTACTTCCCCAATTTGATATTCGACATGTATGAATTTGACGTAGGCCTCATATGAATACTTAGAGCCAACATCATACTCAGTGGTTGAACACTTCACTTCTAAAATGGAGAACAAAGCAAGGATATTCATTTTCACCATTTCCCTTCAACAGTGTACTAGAATCTCTAGCTAATGCACAAGGAAGAAGAAAAGAAATAAAAGCCATATGGATTGGAAAGAAAGATGTAAAACAACTTTTATTATCAGTTGACAGGATTATTTATGCAGCAAATCCTGATGAGTGTACAAAACAACTTCAAAAACTAATAAGCCAATTTAGAAAATCCGAACAATACAAACTCAGTATACAAAAGTCAGTCATGCGGCCAGGTGCAGTGGCTCACGCCTGTAATCCCAGCACTTTGGGAGGCCAAGGTGAGTGGATCACCAGAGATCAGGGGTTTGAGACCAGCCTGGCCAACATGGTGAAACCCCATCTCTACTAAAAATACAAAAATTAGCCAGGCATGGTGGCACACACCTGTAATCCCAGCTACTCAGGAGGCTGAGGCAGGAGAATCGCTTGAACCCAGGAGGCGGAGGTCGTGCCACTGCACTCCAGCCCGGGCAACAGAATGAGACTCCGTCTCAAAAAAAAAAAAAGTCAATTGTGTTTGTATATATCACCTTGAAACACATAAAATTCATAGGAATAGATTTAACAAACGACAGTCATGACCTCTAAACTGAAAACAACAAAAATAGTACCGAGGGAAATTAAAGAAAAATAAAATAAATGGAGAAGGATCTTGTTCATGGATTGGGAGACTCACTTGTGTTGTTATTTTCTTTCCATACTCTTCTTTTTTTAGATTTTATTTTAATGTGGTAAGAACACTTAAAAGGAGATCTACCCTCTCAACAAATTTTTAAGTGTACAATATATTATTGTTGACTAGATATAATGTTATACATTTATACATCAAAACTTTATGCTTACTGATTAGTAATTCCCATCCCCCAAACTCTCGCCTCTAGTAACCATCATTCCACTCTTTGATTCTATGAGATTCACTATTTTAGCTACCTCATATACATGGAATCATGGAGTATTTGTCTTTCTGTGACAGGCTTCTCTCACTTAGCAAAATGTCAAGTTTCATTCATGTTGTCACGTATATCAGAATTTCCTTCTTTATTAAGACGGAGTAATATTTTGTTGTATGTATATACCACATTTCCTTTATCCATTCACCTGACAAAGGACATTTAGGCTGTTTCCTTACCTTGGATACTGTGAATAGTGCTTTAATGAACTGAGAAGTGTTTGTATCTCCTCAGGACCCCAGTTTCAAGTCTTTTGGATAAATACCCAGATCTGAAGCTGTAAAACTCCTAGAAGGAAACAAAGGGGAGAAGCTTCATGACATTGATTTTGGCAATGACATCAGAAGCACGGGCAGCGAAAGACAAAATAAACAACTGAGATTATATCAAACTAAAAACCTGCACAGCAAAGGAAACAATCAATGGAGTAAAAAGGCAACCTATGGAATGGGGGGAAATATGTGCAAACCATTTATCTGGTAAAGGGTTAATCTCTAAAATATATAAGAAACTCCTACAACTCGACAGGGAAAAAAAGAACAATAGTCTAATTTAAAAACGGGCTAAGGACTTGAATAGACATTTCTCCAAAGAAGACATGCCTATGTCAAATCAGCATATGAAAAAAGATCATCGAACTCAAGACTAATGGCTGAATGTCACTAGTCATCAGGAAAATGTAAATCAAAATCACAATGAAATATCACCTCACACCTATCAGGATGGCCTTTACAAAAAAAAAAAAAAAAAAAGGCAACAAGTGCTGGTGAGGACGTGGAGAAATTGGGACCCTTACACACTGTTGGCAGGGGTGCAAAATGGTGCAGCCACTATGGGACACTATATGGGGCTCCTCAAAAAAAATTAAAAATAGAACTACCATATAATCCAGCAATCCCACTTCTGGATATGTATTCAAAAGATTTGAAATAAATGTTGTTAATGTCAGTGCTCTCCCAAATTGCTCCATAGATTCAATGTAGTCCTAATCAAAATCCCAGAAATTTCTTTTTGTCATAATTGGCAAGTTGATTTTAAATTTTATTGAAATGCAAAGAACCTAAAAATAGCTAACACTCTCTTGAAATGGAAAGTGTTGAAAGACTCACAGTTTGCAATTTCATGACTTATTATAAAGCTATATTAATGGACCTAGTGTGGTATTTTCAATAGGACAAACGGAGCAAGGAAACAAAATAGAGAGTCCAAAAATAGACTCACACACTATGGTCAATTGTTGTTTGACAAAAACACCATGTGACGGTTGAAGGACAGTCATATTAATCTGTGGTGCCGGAAATCAAATAGTCATCTCTAGAGGTGGGGACAGACTGGAAGGGAATTTTCTGGGGGTGCTGGAAATGTTTTGTGTTCCCACTGGAGGAGTGGTTATGTGGGTATACACATTTATCAAAGGACATCAACTGTACAGTTAAGATCTGTGCTTTTCATTAAATTTTACCCCAATAAAAAAAGCAAGTTGCAGAATGTTCAGATAAAGTGATACTATTTAGGTACAGTTCTAAGCACTCAAAGCAAAGCACATATTGTTTGTAGAGCTATACAAAAAACCACAGATGGAAGAAAGGCTATGTACCAACTTGAGGACAGAGGTTACCCTGGGGCAGGCAGAGAGAGGGAAATGAGATGGAGGGAAATACATAGGAATATTTTCAACGTCTCTACAATATTTTTATTTTTTAGGCAAAAATATTCACAATTGTTAGACCTTATTGGTGAGTACATAGGCATACTTTATATTACTTGCTGTTACCTATATTTGAAATTTTTCATTCTCAGCTTTCGCTTTCTTAAGAAAAGAAAAAACCCCGAATAGAAAGTTCTGAGTGAAGCATTACTTTCTCTACTTTCACTTCATTGTAAAGTTTGACACAGAAAAGAATTTTTCTGATCTCTGAGTAAGGCCAGGAAACTTTTGCCATGAGAGTATATCAAAGCACAGAGGGCCTAATGGGCTACTAAACACATAGGGTCAAACCCAGGTCACATTTTTATGAAAAGTTGGTAACATTCTGAAGTATTGTGATTTCACACTCCTCAAACATCAATATATAGATTTTAGCTTCAAAACATAAAAATGATTCAGCTTAAAAATATCTAAGTCCTGCAGGGAATTAAAGAATAAATATCTCAATATATCTACTACAATTATTTGGGTTGATCATGGTTTTAAGATTTAAATTTTATATATGCTAATAGTTATATTTTTTTCGTTTCCACTTACATTTGAAAACACTCTAAAGAGCTTAAAACAACGTGAGACAAAATTAATTAATAAGAGAGACCCTTCCTTCCTTTTTATTTTGAAATAACCATAAACTTAGAGAAAAATTTCAAGGTAAAGAACAAAGAATCTTTATTCCCTGAACCATTTGAGAGAAGGTTGCTGAACTCATATCCTGTCACCCTCAAAATACTTGTGTGTATTTCCCACAAATAGGGATATTCTCCCGCTTTATCCCAATGTAACCACAAAATCCGGAAGTTAGCATCAACACTTTCCTTCCTTCAAGTTCCCAGACCCCACTCGAGTTTTGCCAGCAGAGGTAGGAGGTCAGCAGGATTCGTCTCCCAGACCAGATTGAGAACAGGCCAAAACTAGAAAAAGACACAAAAAGCGCCTCTGGTTGTTCTCGCTGCCCATCACCCTTAGCCATTCCTGCCAGCACCATGACAGTTTACCAATGCCATGGCAACAGCCGGAAGTTACCACCCATTTCCTAGCTATTTCTGAATGACCCGCCCCTTCATTAGCATGTCATTAACAGTGGATGGAAATATGACTAGCAGCGGCCCATAGGCTACTACTCTCCACGCACTGCCTATAGGGTTGCCCTGCTCCCCAAGGAGCAGGCACGGAGATGCATCACTGCCGGACTCAATAAAGCTGCTTTTTTCCACCACCAGCTGACTGTTGAGTTCTTTCCTGAGCAAAGCCAAGAACCTGCCCTGCATCACAACTATCCCGAGCGTGTCTGTTCTAGAGAAAGACTCCTCAGAATCACGTGGTGCCTTTAGTTGCTGGTCTCTGCAGTTTCCTTCAGTCTGGCCCAGTTTCTCAGTCTTCCCTTGACTTTCATAACCTGGACACATCTGAACATAACAGGTTGATTATTTTGTAGAATATCCTTCCATTTGGGTGTGTCTGATCGTTCCTTAAGATAAGATTCAGGTCTCACGTTTCTGGCATGCATATCATAGAAGTGAGGGTGTGTTCTCATGGCAACCCATCCAGTGGTCACCAACACCAATTTGTCCCATGACTGATGATGTTTGCTGTGATTGGAACTGGCTGTCAGGCTGTTCCACTCCCTTTTCTCTATGTCATTAATAAGTATTTTGAAGGAAGATTCTTTAAATGTATGCAAATATCTCATTCTCAAACTTTCAATTTATTCATCTGTTTATTTCCATCTGTATGAACTTGTGGTTTACTGTTCTATTTCGTGAGTTATAATCCATTACTCTCAGTATTTAGTTGACAGCTCAGATTATTCCTGATTTGGCCAGTGGGGGCTAGCCTCTATGTCCTTTCAATATATGGCCATCATTCTTTGAATACTTCCTCATTTTCTGGCACAAAAAGTCAGTGTGGGCTCATCTTGCACTTTATTTAAGATTCCCTGGAATCTGCCTTTCCAAGGAGCCTTTGTGGAAAACAAGATTTAGAAGCCAAGATCTGGGTGCAAAGTGTGCTCCTTGCTATTGGTGTGTTGCAACTTCCAGGCTCTCTCAGTGGTAAAAGCCAAGACATCTATACGTATGCACACACACACACACACACACACACATACGTTCACATGAAAATATATATGCACATATCTGTATTAACAGTAATTGGTTCCCACCAGCATCTCTAATTCCAATCCATTATACAAAATTCATTCAAGTTTTCTCCATTTCCATGTTTGTAACTCCTTTCTCCATAGTGAGAGACCTAGCTTCCATTGTCCTCGTTATAATTATTTATTTGCTCAGTCCCATTGGATGTAACTTTATTAGCGTCTTATTGTTGCTGAAACAAATCACCATAATGTTAGTGGCTTAAAACAAGACAAATGGCCGGGTGCAGTGGCTCATGTCTGTAATCCCAGCACTTTGGGAAGCTGAGGTGGGGGGATCAACTGAGGTCAGGAGCTCGAGATCAGCCTGGCCAACATGGCGAAACCCCGTCTCTACTAAAAATACAAAAATTAGCCAGGGATGGTGGTGGGCACTGTGATCTCAGCTACTTGGGAGGCTGAGGCAGGAGAATCACTTGAACCTGGGAGGTGGAGGTTGCAGTGAGCGGAGATCACAACATGGCATTCCAGCCTGGGCAACAGAGTGAGACTCCGTCTCAAAAAACAACAGCAACAAAAAGACAGATGTATTACCTTACAATTCTAGATATCCTGGGCTGAGATCAATGTGCCAGCAGGGCTGCCTTCCTTCTGGAGGCTTTGGGGCTGCATCTGCTTTCTTGCCTTTTTTAGCTACTAGGGGCCACCTGCATTCTGTGGCTTGGGCCCCTCCTCGAATCGCTCCAACCTCTGCTTGCATCCTCACACTGCCTACTACTGGCCCCCTGCCCCCGTCATATAAGGACCATTGTGACTACAGTGGCTCCACCTAGATAATTCAGGATAATCTCCCATCTCAAGACCCTGAACTTAATCACACCCCTTTTGCCATATAAGGGACGATTCACAGGTTCTGGAGCTCAAGATGTGGACCTCTCTGGGGGCTCTTATTCAGCCTCCCAGCCTCCCACAGTAACTGACCTCCCATCTCCGTGGCAAGCGCCACCCTGGCTGCACACAAGCACCCTCTTCTTGCTCAAGCTCCAACTCCTCCAAGTTCCTGGTCCCCTGGTGTGGATGTCCTCCTCACCCTGTCTGGGACCTGATACCCCGACTGGGTGATCCTTCTGTGAAAATGCTCCCCTCACCCCACATGGACTCTAACTCCTCACACAGGAGCCCCCACCCTGGACACCCTCCTCACCCCACTCTGAGCCTCTGTGGCTCCCATGGCAGATTGCCCCCACCTACTTGCTCTAGGACTGAATTGTTGAGAAAGGAAAGGGAAGACATGGGGAGGAGCAAGATCTTAGTTTCTAAATACGCTGTCCCTAAACATCCTTCACAACAAATTCCCAGTTCTAGCTAAAGTGACATTTGCTTCTACAGAAGCCCTGTGGCAAAGGAGTGAGCCAATGCCTCCTGCTTCTTTTTTTTTTTTTTTTCCTTTAAGGTAAAAAGGCCATGTAAGTTGATATTATTTGTTGGTAATTTCCAGAAACCCAACTAGAACTAGTTTAAGCAAAAAAGTAGGCATCTGCTGGCTCATGTAACCACATGGAGGCAGAATGAGGGCGGAGCTGGCCTCAGGAATGACAGGAACCAGGGGCTGTCATGACATCAGGATGTCTTCTCTGTTTCTTTTCTCTGCTTCTCTCTCCTCTTGGATGCATCCTCTCAAGCTGGAATCAGAGCTGAAGGCAGCTTTTAGGGCTCATTTCTTCTTAGTTTCATGACCAGGTATGAAAATAGACTTCTCTTTCCTAGTCCCATTTCTGACACAGCTCAGGAGTCACTCCCTAGATCAATCACCATGACCAGCAAAACGGGTCAGTTATGGATGAAATGGCAAAATATGAAACGGTCCAATGGTCCTGCTCCATTTTGCACTATCAGAGTGCAGCTGGAGCAAGTTTTTGAGGGGAGATATTCCCCACCCCTGCAGAGACCTAGACCTATAGAAGTGTACTCGTGCCCATGATTGGTATAGAGTGAAGATTCTGAATTGTCACAGAGGTAAGATGTGTAGTTTACAAGAAACAAAGCAAAAGCAAAGAAAAAGCACAGCAGAAAAACGGCTCATGTATTTGAAGGGCTGTCAGGTGAGACCTCATTATTTCCAGAAGCAGCACTGCTTCAGTGTGAGCAGGAACTTCCTGAGCATCTCAGACAGGAAGTGGAGGCCACCTGCCGCTGTGGATGCCTCAGCATGAGCTTGGCAACCACTTGATTGGCATGTGAGGATTTGAGATTTAAACCCTGAGGACGGGGGACGGAATATAGGACCTTTACAGCCCCTTCCAAACTTGACATTCAGTGAACCCCTACTCTGATGCTTATCGACTCACCTCCTCTCAGCTACAAATGCACCCTTTTTGCCTGTTCTGTGAAAATAAGTGTGGGCCCCTTTAACTATTTCTACTATGCCAGTTGGCATGATATTAAGCTTGACAGGAGAGGGTGCCAGAGAGATACAGCAGGAGGAAGGGTTTTGTTTCCTAGTTTGGTGTGTTAGCATCTAGGGCTCCTGCCCTGCTCGCACCTGCTCTGGTGCCCAGTTCTCCCAGAGCATGGCAGCCAGACCCTTCCCTGCACCCCCTGCTGTTTGCGCTGGGTGCCTCTAATGAGACACTTCCCCATGAACAGCTTTCTTGGTGCCCAAGAGGACAGGTTTCTGGCACCCAGGGAGTGCTGCAGTGCTCTCTCCAAAACCTAAACCTCAGCCCTGGGGGCAGGGGCTTCTCCCTGGATGCCCTATCTCAGCCCTAGGGGTCATGACTGCTCCTATGTCTGCTAATCCCATCTTCCTTAGAGTTCTGTTTACTTCTTTCTAGCCAATCCCTCCTTACTCCAGTCCTCTGTTATAATTAAAAATTCTTTGAATCAAATATTCCCTGTTCAAGTTACTGTGGAGTTTCCTTCTCTGATACATCTGCCTTTCTTCTAAATATTACTTTCTTCCTGATGCCTTCCTGGATAGCTCTTATTTGGAATTGATTGCTCCCTCTGGATCCTTAGTGATGCTCCACATTATACATATTTGTATAAGATGCATGAAGAGTTAATAACCCCTCGAAGTTAAGGGACTATGTCTTACTCACTTATTTTCCCAGAAGGGAGGAAGGGAGAGGGGCAGATATCAGAGCCACCTAGGACTTTTTCCAGTGACATCTTCCTCCATGAGATTGAGCTCTGTATCCACCCAGGACACAGCCCTGAGGCTCGTGAGTCACTCCTGGTGTACTGTGTCCTCATGAACCTCTGTCCAGGACCCTCACCAACTACGATGCAGACAGCAGGTGGGAAACAATTTTCTGAATAAAGCTCTACGCAAACAGATTGTTAAATAACACTACAGGATAAGCTTCCCAGAATGACGGAAACAAGTAGAGATGAAATATTCAAAACATTACCAAAGAAAACATTTTCATTTTCTAAAGACATCTGAGACACTCCACTCCCTTTACTGCAGCAGACGCTGACAAACCAAGAGGCCTCACTCCACAAGCCCAGCACTCGCAGTTCGCAGCTTCTCTGAACATAGGCTTGCTGGTGCCCCTCCCGCATGGCGGGAAACCCTCCTGAGCTTCAGGGGTTTCAGGGGCTGGTCCACATGGGTGCCTTCAACCGTGGCCAGGGAATTGGGAGCTTCCTTTTTGGTTCTCAGACTTTACGCAGGTGCTTCTGCATCTGTGACTTAACTCACTGAATTTGTGATCCTGTTCCAAGCAACCAGGTCATTTTCCAGCTCAGCCTATGTTCTCCTATGCTGGGAACCTTGGTGATGTGTTTTCTCTCCCTCTGGCCTTTCTTTATTGGCTTTTCCATGTCCTGTTTTTTTCTGCCTCAAGCAAAATTAAAGAGTTCCCCTTAAGGGACTGTAAGCGTATATCTGCCAAATGGCACCTGTGGTTTTCCTTAGGCGTTGGACATATGATGAGCCAAGCTCTTCCATCTGCCCCTCCAGGTCTACTCTCTGCCTTCCTCCACCTACTGTCTGCCTGGAAGGCTCCTGGGGCCTCTGGCTTCGGAGTGGGATTCACCCATGGGGCCCTCAGCAGGGGGGAGGAGGAGAGGGATATCACCTGCTCTCCCACCCTCCCCCCAGGGTGCACTGCAAAGCAGCCAACCGCAGGCAACTGGATCTCCTCCGCAAAGGTGGAGCCAGGTGTTGTGCGGCCTGGAACGGACAAAATTAGGGTAGTCCTGTAAGAAAAGGAGTATCACATGATAAACAAAATGCCAGTGTCATTCCAACCACCAAGCATGGGCCAATGTGCAGAAGGAAATAAGAACGGGAAGAGAAATAGAATAACCTGATCCTGGCTAAAATGTGTGACTTCTGCAAATTTCTCAAACACTTTGCTAACATGAACACATCCTGAGGCCTCTCCTAGGGCCTGGGAAGAGGCCCGTACAAGTGGCCAGCGTGATATCTCCTTAACCTTCCTATGACCCTACTTCTCGGCCCTGGGGTCCCCTCCCTCCCTGGGTCCCTCCCTCCCTTGTCCCTTCAGTGGCTACATGCTCTATGTTATTACTCAACTCCAAGTTTCCTACACGCAGAGCATGCCTCTGTAAATATTCCTTTGAAACCAAATACTTCTGAAATCACCCCATTCCAACTGCATCATCATAGTTCATCTATATTTTCTACCTTTTTAACAATAGCAAGCATTTACCATTTTTTCCAAATAAAATTATCTCTCTCCCCTCCTCCCAAAAAGGAAAGTTGTTTTGAATCACTGCCACGATAGTGATCACCACTACGCAAGAATGAAAAGGAGGGGGGAAAGACTGGGAGGACAGACACCAAAACCTGAGAAGTGACTTTCTTCAGGTGATGGGGGACTGTTGACAGTTTCCCTTAGTTCTGATTTTACTAATTTCCTCAAATTTTCACCATGTATAATAGAAAGTAGTTGAATGAACTTCAGATGCATGATCAGCCCTTCTCTCCCCAGCATCTGTCCCCTCCGACGCCCTCACATCCACCCGGAGGACACATTGAGAAGTCCTGGCCAGGGCGACTGAACAGCAAGGTCTCCCTCCCTTTTCACTCTCCTTTCAAGGGCTCACAATGCACATTTCCATCTTAAAAGACCAGCACCATTTTGCTCTGGGAAATCCCCTGGGTCTTCCTTACAAAATTGTAAATACCCTGCATCAGAGTATTGGATGGGAAACCCAGGCAGAAAGTTCTACGGGGGTAGAGACCAGGTTTCAGTTACCCAAATGCTGATTAAATAAGAGAAGAAGCCAGGCCCGAGTGCACAGGAGGGTCACCAAGCCACGAGGAGGGGAAGGACAAGCAGGCCGACCAGAGCTGAGCCTCTGAGCAGAGGCCGTGGCTACTTGATCTGCCGGGACCAGGGCAACGCTGTCTCAGAGTCGGGTGGGCCCAGCCCCTCCTAGCCTTTTGTAAGGGGTCCCACATGCAAGGCTCAGAGAACTAAGGGCAAAGGGAGCCAAGCCCATCAAGGTCTTGGAGGTCTGGGCTGAAATATAAATCAATGCTGGTTCACACTGAAAAGGAGAAGTATAACATTGTTTCCAAACAGTCCAAGGCACATTTTGGTATTTGCAAATATTCCATTTTGCCTTTTAGAAGCCATTGTTCTACTAGACCAGAGGGGGAAAGGGGAAGGAGTCTGGACACAGTCCATTTTTACATTGGAGTCAGTTAGGCTGCAAATCAGCTGGTGTCTGCACCCAGTTTTCCCACAGAGACAATACACACTGGGAGATTCAGGTGGCAGGATGGCCCCTGATGTCAGCTCACCCACAGCACTGCCGGACTGCTGTGCCCACCCAGTACCTCAGGGTTTCAAGGGGAAATGCTGTCTGAGTCCCTCCTGGGGGCCAGGAGCACACTTTCCTTCCTGCAGCCACAAGGCTGGACTTGGGGGCAGCCACCTCCAGCTCCAAGCCACCAGTGGGGTCTCCTGAGGCTTGACAAGGGACTCAAATGGCCGGGTAGGAGGGGAAATGGGGCTTGGGGCATGAAGCCTGAGAACTGGACTTCCTGGCTGTGCCCATATGCAGAGCCCGGAGCACCGGGAGGCTGAGGGAGAAGAGGCACCAAGCTTCCACTTCTCCTGGTGCTCGCCGGGTTCCTCCCAGCCCTGCCCTCGGGAAGTGTGAGATGCAGAAGCAGGGCCTGAACTTGTGGAAGAGCCCAGCAGGGTAGGTGTGCCTACAGGGCTGAGGAAGGCAGGGAAACTGAGGCAGAAACTTCCACAGGGAAGAAGGCACTGTCCCCATAACAAGGACTTACAAACAAGGTGGAGGATTGGTAATACGAAACCAAAAGGAAGGGCCCGGGCTTTCCAGCTGTAGGAAATAGAAAGGTAAGAGTCATTCTTGCAGCCACCCAGCCGGGGCAGCCGTGTGTGAATGCACATGACACGGAAAGTGGTTTCATGAACAATAAACATAAGGACAGCAGTAAGAAATATGTATTGAGTAGCCGCTCGTTAATGGAGACTTTGACTTTGCATTGCTCTTTGAACCCTGGTGACAGCCCTGCAGAGAATTACTAAGACACCCATTTTACCAATGAGGGGCTGAGGCTCCGAGAGGTTTCATGCCTTGTCCAAAGCCTTGCTCAGCGACAAGATGTCAGGTCAGTCCCCAGGTGACTGAGGGAGACTGGATTCATTTGCTCTCTGAGAGCCCACATTGCCGGAAGCTAAGTCTCAGGCCTGCTCACCCCTAGCCTCACCCTTGGTGCAGACCACCTACCTGAAACCAAGCAGAGTAATCTCACAAGCTGGATATCCTCAGAAGGTGCTGCCATCAATCAGCATGTATTTTACTGCCCGATGACGTGAAGAATGTTGACACATCAGCCCTAACTACACCAATGGAAACTGAAAGGTTTTCTTTTGCCAAGGTGAGCAGCGTGCACACTGGCCTGGCAGATGTGTGCGCAGCCGGGTACCCTGCCACCCCCAACATCTCCCATGCGGACCTCGTCTTGCAAAGCCATACTGCCACATTACGTGTCCAGTGGACACCAGGGGCAGGCACGAAGAAGGATGTTGTTGAATTCTCCTCACACACCGCCTTCACTGTGCAGAATGGCCAGGAAGAGCCAGCCCCTCGCATGGCCTTAGGGATGGAAACAGACTATGCACCCACAGGAATCCACGTTGCTGCAGTTTGGCTGTGGCAATAGAACTGGAGCTGTTGATGAACCTGCATTTAAAGAGCCCTTGTCAAAAGGGCCCCGGGTACCTGGGCAGACAGTGCCCTGCCCACAGCAGGCAGCCTTAGCATAGGCCCTCACAGTTGGGGATGTCAGAAACACCAGACAGCTAGAAATTCCCTCCGTCACATTAGAGAAACAGATGATTTGTAAACACTGTTTACCCATCAGTCCTCCAGAAATAAATGGATGGACAGTTCACAGCCAATTTTCTTCTGCCAAACCCAAAACAGATAATGTCCACTTTCAAAATACACTTCCCAGGGATGTACAGGGCTCCACCATAGTTGCACCTGACACAGCTATGGAGGGCAGGTCCGTGGTGGCTCGTTCCCTTTCACCCATGGGTTGGGTGGGACACGGACCACACACAAGTCTTCCAGCACCAACTATGATCCTACTACTGTTCTCACACCCAGAAGTGCAGCCAAGGGAGGAGGGTGCTGCCCTAATGAACATCTTGACTCCACTATTATTTAGTTAAGAATTAAATCGCTTGAAAAACTACTGGCCACATATCTCCCAGTAGACCAGACACACCACTTAGTCAAGAGGCCTCATGAAGACTAATCTTTCAGAGAGACAGACATGCCACCTCACTGTGTGAGGGGACCCAGAGGATGTGAGCCTTCAGGTCATTAAGGAGGAATGCAGGATACCTAGGTTACCCTGCTGGCAGGGACAGGGAACTGATGGAGCCCTCAGCAGGGGAGACTATGTAGGCTTCCACAAAAGGGTATGGGCAGGCTTACAGAGGCCAAGGAGGGACCGTGGAGCAGGCTGGGGCTGGCAAAGGTGGAAGCTGCTCCCTTTCCGCTCACTCTACCTTTGGGTCTGCAGGGTCGGAGCTAGGGCTGGAGGAGAAGACACAGGAAGAGGGCAGGGGCAGAGACCTGGACCTGAAAAGTGTCTCTGCTCAAATTTGTTGGAAATGAGAAGAGCTTATCTCATATTGGATAAGCAAAGTTTACCATGAGTTCTTAGTAACACATTAAAGCAGTCTCAGGTTCCTTCCAAGGTGGACCTAAGGTAATTAAGGTTTTTCACTTAATTAAACTATGCCAATTTTCGACCAAAAGATGCTCAAGTTAAAGTTGTAAGAATAGCTTTAAATATGTGCGCCCTTGTTGCTTGTCATCAGGAATGACACTCCAGAATGATCGTATGACCTCTTTAGATGCATGTGCACGAGCTTTTAATAAGCTAGTTGGCAAGAAACTCATCCAGTAAGTATAAATCACAATTAAATAAATACTGAACTGTGCTTATGTGAGTTTTTATTGGCTGTTATGTCAGAGAAGGTCAACATCTGCAACTCTCTTCAAACAATGCTCCATAGTCTCTGCCATTAGAGAGTCACATGGAGCTCTCCTCCTAAGTTGAATGATAACTCTTGCCCGTAAGGTTTACAGTGTCCTTGCTCAGCTGTCCTCTTCCTGAATTGGTTTGCTCATGAAAGACGGGGCAGGTGACAAAGCTGAGAAGTCAGATCAAAGACCTCCCTGCAAGATGCCACACCCTCCCTGGGAAGATTAACGAGGGAGATGGTGAAAATCTTACCATCTTAACCTAGGTTCTGGTGGGAGGGAGAAAAAATGTTCCCTGAGAATTCAAAATAACATACCAGACTTTATGTGGGTTTAGGGCCTGATTTCATAACATCTTTGTGGTCCAAAAATATCTTGGCTAAGAATTCAGTTTAAAGTAGGCCTTCATGCAGTAGCCAGATTGAAACAAACACACATGCTTTCTGGGAGAGGCATTCTCAACCTAGGCCTCAAACCATTCCCTGAATACCACTGATCATGAGTTCATAAGAAAAAAAATTAAATCATAAAATACATGAAAAAACCCAAGATACTATGAGAATTAAGCAGGAACAACAAACAGCAGGATCAAACCTGTAAAACTATAGTTATTAAAATTATCAGATACAGACTGCAACATTAGAATGTAGAAAAAAACATAGACATGGGAAATGGGAAGGAGAAATGAAAACTAGGAAAGGCCAGTGGGAATGTGGAAGATATGTCTAATTGCAATTCCAGAAGGAAAGACTTCAGAGAATGGGATGACACAACAATCAGGGAAAGTGGCTCCTCTGAGTTTTCCAAATTGATGAAAGACACAAATCCTCAGATTCAGGAAGCACAACAAATCTCAGGCAGAAGGCATTGGAAGAGCTAGCACCCAGATACGCTGTAAAAAAAAAAAAAATGAATGAAAGATAAGAGGGAAGATCTTAAAAGCAGCCTGGAGAAAAGGCAGACTGCACAAAGAATAGGCAATTAGATTGAAATATGACTTTTCAGCTGCAAAAATGGAAGCCAGAAATCAGTGGATTCATATCTCTAACATGATGAAAGATCACAGCTGTCAATCTAGAATTGTAAGCCCAGGATAATTACCTATTAAGAATGAGTGCAAAAATTTAAAAAACATTTTAACTATCAAAAAATTGAGTTTTCTGCCAGCAAAGCTTCCTTAAAGGAACTTCTCAAAAGGTTCCACTACTTAAAGGAATAAAATGGTCTCAGGAAAAAAATGGTCTGATATGCAAGAAGGAAACGTGAACAAAGAAAATAATCTGCTTGTCGGTAAATCCAAACCAACTTTATACATATATTTGTGGAGCCTATTCTTTTGTGTATAAAGAATATACATTCTTTGACAGATAAGCCTAGAGATAAATTTGCCTCTCTAAAGAACATTTCTCAGTTAGGACCTGAACTTCCATAAGTATACTAACACTTTTATACTGTAGGACTTGAAATATGTTAAAAAGCAAGAAGAAAAAAACAAGAATAATATTTGTAAACAGTCATTAGCTCTCTATAAAGAGGCTCTGGGCAACTTTTATTTCCTTCTTCACACTGTACTAGGTTTTCTGCAGTTTCTAGAATCATTATTGCTGAGGTCTCACAACCACCTGTCATCATGACAATGTGTGTCTATGGACAGGGGTGATGGATGCCATCTAAGACAGGTGGAATAAGAAGTCTCCACCAACCTCCAACTCTCTGACTCTAGAGTCAATGCTGCTGAAGCCCGACAAGAGAGGATGTACTGTTCAGGGGAAGACAAAAGTCACAGGGCCAATGCTGCATTGATTTACAGTGGGAACAACCACCTCCAAGGCCAGCCCCTTTCTCTCCCTGTAGGCAGCTCTTAGAGAGAAGCCAAAACATAGTGAGAACATGCTTTCACTGGGGTGGATTCAGAGCAAAGGAAGTGGGCTAAGTGAGCCTCCTGCATAACGGTCACAGGAAACACAGCCTCCTTGCCCTTCCTGCCAGTGGGCTGGGTCGCCCAGTCCCCTGAACGAGGCTCCCCATCCCCAGGCAGGGTCTGGATGGCACTGCCCACATCTGTTTGCCTCTGGTGCTCTGCGCACTCTCTGCTGCCCAGGTTCTCCAACCCTCTCTTCCTGTAGTGAGTAAAGCTTCAGGCAGGAGGGTGGTCACGTCTGGCAGGCCTGAGCGCCCTCTCCACGGTGACTGGCTGTCTGCTCATCTTTGGATGTTACAATTTAAATCTCAGAGCACACTCTGATACCTGTAAATTTAATTTATCATTATAACCACCAAAAACTGACAACAAATTTTATTAAATTTATAGTGGAAAAGTATCTATGTAGTAAAAATCACAATGTGAACTAGCCCTGCCCTTGTGGAGAGAGATGGACTCAGAGAGACAGAGGGGGAACTTCATTGATCACTGAAGTCAAGAGGTGTGTGTCAGTGAGTGGGCCCTGAGAAGCCGTCCTTCCAGAAGGAGGCCTCAAAGAGGTCCTTTTCCCCCAGGGGCACACCTGTCATCAAAGTACCCATTGTGCCTACAACGATGTAAAAAATCATCTTCCTATCACAAATTCAACAAACTTAGCTAATTATCTAGCTTCTCCTGGGACCAAGAATCGTTAGAAAGAAAATTCTGGTACGGGAGCAAAACATCGCATCGTTGGTGCTTCACAACTCACAAAACGTGGTCCTGTATTTTCTCCAGGAATACATGCAATGAGTCTCTGAAAAGGAAGCAAAACTTACAGTGGTGAAACGTGGCCCCTCCTTTGTAGTCGTGCTGAGAAACAGAGAACAGCTGTCCACAACTTCATTTCCTTTCTCGCAGACTTTAAAGTTGGGGCTTTTCAATTCTCATTACGCCGTATGTTTTCGGTGTGTGAAATTCAACAATGATACACTAAACCAGGCAAATAATTTAATAAATAAACATGACTTCTCTTTCTAATAATATAAATTTATTTGGCTTGGAAAACACAGTGAGCTCTCCCCATAAGAACTGTAAAGTATATTCCCAGGGGTTTTATTTTACATCCCCAGATAGAAGAGATTCCGTGTCATATACCATGAAATCGTAGTGTTTCATAACCAAGTTGTAAAGTGCAGCACTGAAAGTTGATTTTGTCCGTCTGCCACACTTTTATTGACGATTTGATACACTCATTCTTCCCCGGAGCCCTAATATTTTGTGCACTCTTCTTGCCATACCTTGAACATCATCGTCTAAACATTGATTGGCTGCCTGTGGCACTCTGGCTCCCAGATCCTGGGGTGTAGCATGTGTCTTTCCTACAGACATCTGCACAAATGCGGAAGAAATGTCAAATAGAAACCCTGAGTTTCTACGTGATGTGACTTTGAGACGGTAAATGAAGCGGAAAGCCTGGGTGTTGTCTTCTTAGGCAGGGTGACAGAAGGAGGGCTCTGGATCCCAGCAGAGGGGGCATTTCAGACCCGTGAGTGAGCCCACCAGGCACGAACTCTCAAACTCCCTTGGGCGACAGAGCCCCTGGAAGTCAGGGCGTTTGTCTCACATCCTTCAGTTGCTAGAAACAGAAGCCCTCCCAGCCACATGGAAGCTTCTAAAGATGACGAAGGCACAGAAAGGACCCGGGGTGTCCCACAGAATCCAAGGGCAGTGAAGGCGAATACCCTGAGTGACTATAGTGAACAAGCATGCCCGGCAGCCCCAAGATATCAGGCTCCTTGGGGGCCATGTGTCTTCCCCACCTCTGCTCTGCCCTGGTTGCCAGCCACCACCTGTGGACCAGAGTTCTCCTCTTTGGAGTGAAAACTAGTGGCCTGAGTTTTCTACAAATATATCCAAGTGTCCCCAATTAAAAGCAAACCAACAAACTCCATATTCTGTCTTCTATATTATGTTATACTTTCTAAGATTCTAAAACAATTGCCTGCACTCCGTGTCTCTACTTTCTCCCAAATCTAGCCCACATCTCTCTCCCAAGCACAAAACCTGGTACCTCGAATTCCTGGTCTGAGCCAGTCATTATCCCCCTGACCCCACTTTTCCTTTTATTCCCTCAGCTCGGTTACAAGACCACCATCCATCCAGGGGCTCAGCCCAGAATCCCGGGGACCGTCTTCATTCTGCCTTCGTCTTCAACATCTGCTCGTCCCTATTCCCATCGACTCAGGCCTTCAGGCATCTCTCCAGCCTGCCCTGAGCTCTCCAACCCAAGCTACGAGCCCTCAGCCTTGCAGGGCCTGTGCTCGCACAGCAGCCCCCCAGCCCTGGCACTGGTCTCCCTGCCTCCAGACCTAGCAGTCATTTTCTCCGACCTGCTCCGACAGGAAGCCACTGATCATACGATGCATATGATGCATACAACGCAAAGCTGATCATACGATGACCCCTGACCCAACTGAATGCCTTCCCCCCATCCACAGAAGCTGTAATAACCTTTCTGAATCCTGGATCCTTTTTTGTCCTTATAAAGATATGAACCCCTCCGGGCGCGGTGGCTCACGCCTGTAATCCCAACACTTTGGGAGGCTGAGGAGGGCAGATCACAAGGTCAAGAGTTCGAGACCAGCCTTGCCAATATGGTGAAACCCCATCTCTACTAAAAATACAAAAATTAGCCGGGCATGGTGGTGGGCACCTGTAGTTCCAGCTACTCGGGAGGCTGAGGCAGCAGAATCACTTGAATCCGGGAGGCAGAGGTTGCAGTGAGCCGAGATCACATACTGCATTCCAGCCTGGGTGACAGAGCAAGACTCTGTCTCAAAAAAAAAAAAGTGTATATATATATATATATATATATATATATATATATATATATATATATATATACCCTTCTCCCAGGAGAAAAAATTGCACATATCTGTAACCACTATGTCATTGAACAAGCACAATTCAATTCGTGGATATAACGATATAGTAATTTTATTTTGAATCCCATCAATCTTTCAAATTTACACTGGATGCTGAATCTTCTCCTGCCCTTGAATGAAATTTAGGTCACATTTCATCAGTATTCTGGTCACTTCCAGATAATACAAGTGACCATCCAAGGTAGTAGTTCAAACATCCAGCGTAGTGACTCCATTAAAATGTGCGATTTCACTTGCAGTTACCCCTCCCTGCCGGTCCATGCCTTCTGTAGACTGGGCACCCACTCTGGAGGGTGAGGGCTTCATCTCTTTACCCATGGTATACATTTATCCATCCACTCCCCTGGGGGTGGGATTGGGACTCACGACATATCAATAACTCTCTCCAAAATCTTCTTTTTATCTCCAAGCCTTTTTCTATACTCTCAGTGTGGGTAAAGGGTTAAGAGTAATAAAGCTGCCTGTTTTCTTCACCACCTCCTGCAGAGTGGCCTCAAACTTTGCTTTGGAACATAGCAGTCATTTTCTTGGGGATCCTCTGAAGCTGAGCAAAATGATTCCACTTTTATATCCTGCTCCATATCATTTCCACAGGTCCACAAAACGTGAGCCCCATCCTCCCAGATGGGTGCCTGCCACTGATCCACATCCCCTGAGTCCAAGAGAGATCCCCAGAGGCAAGTGGGTCTCCTTCTCACCTTCACCTCTCTCTGTCCAAAGCAACCTCATTTTCCTTGTCTGCTAGAATAACTCTCACTCATTTGCTTTGAAAATATATGTCCAAGTAGCACCTCACCTGGGAAGATTCCCTGATTTCTTCCTAAGTTCGGTAAAGCATTGATTGCACCCAACTGTCATTGCTTTATTTCCCAGTCTTCCACAATGAATTTGTAGTCCTGGAGGGCAAGAGCCACATTCTTTGTAGCCTTGACATTTATCACAGGGCCCGCATATAGAATGTATTGTACAAGTAGTAACTAATGGATGCTGTTTAGAACAAAATCTGTACCACTCCTTCCTAACCCAAAACATGTGTAAATAGGATTATAAGATTCATGCTGCCAATTTGGTTTGATGGTATAAAAGACCCAAGAGATAGTCCACATGCTGTCGGATAATTATTGAGTCAAAGCTATTTGGAAAATTTTCCAACTTGTTTTTTTAGGCAGTGTGCCTCTACATAAAGAGGGGTAGTAATTTTGAAGAGAGGGGGTCCCAGTCTCCTGCAATTGCTGGTGTAAATGAGTGGCACAAAGGCAGACACAGATGGGGACATACAGCCCAGGGCGCCCACCACTGGCCACGCCGTCTCCTGGACGGACCTCTGGAGACTGGTTATGAGGTTGTTCTTAGCTGGATTCCATCATAATGCTCTACATGATATTGCAAATTAATACAGTGTCCCCAGGCAAGTCTGTCTACAGCAGGGAGATGTCGGTCCCTAAAATGACTGCCTCAGTCAGGATGAGCCCTTCCTCTTCCCACACAGCAACAGCACATTATGAAAAGTCAACTGCTACCTTGCCTCCCTACCAGCAGAAAGGTCATGTCCAGTGATGTGCTGGTGTTTAACAATCTGCTCCTTGAGGGGGAAAAAAGCTTTAATTTTTAGCTCTTGCCAATGTCTATAGCGTAAAAACTCCCATCTTGGCTGATTGGAAAATATCAACATGATGTCACTGAACATGGGCTTGGGAAGAGACAGTGCAATCTGTCTCTTGTTAGGCCCTAAATTTTCATCACCAAGAGGTCCATCACTAAGGTGGAGGCACATCTCCCTGCTGTAGACAGACTTGACTGAGCATACTGTATTAACTTGCAGTAGCATACAGAGCATTATGGTGGCATCCAGCTGAATTTGTAGATTGTTTATGTGTTGTTTTAGTTCGTTCTCATGCTGCTAATAAAGACATACTCAAGACTGTGTAATTTATAAGGAAAAAAAAAAGAGGTTTAATAGACTCACAGTTCCACATGGCTGGAGAGGCCTCACAATCATGGCAGAAGGTGAAAGAGGAGCAAAGTCACATCTTACGTGGTGGCAGACAACAGAGCATGTGCAGGGGAACTCCCATTTATAAAACCATCAGATCTTATGAGACTTATTCACTACCAGGAGAACAGTATGGAGTAAACTACCACCATAATTCAATTATCTCCACCTGGCCCCACCCTTGACATTGGGATTATTACAATTCAAGGTGAGATTTGGGTGGGGACACAGCCAAACCATATCATTTTTATACCCACTATACAGGCGTTAAGTGTACGTGGTCCCTGCTGTGTACGTGGTTCTGTGCTAAGTCAAACAAAACACGGAGCAGCAGGTCTGTGCTAGGACACAGGCAACCCGTTACTCTCAATAAAGTACCAAATAAGAAGTACTGACCCTTGGGAGATTTTCTTTATAATAATATGACTCAATCATTTTGACTTAGATGCACATTTCTGAGAAGGAGAGAAAGAGGTGGAATCCCAGTTCTTGGACAGGGGAATTCTTTAGAAACTTGAATAAGGCTATGGGAGTGTGTCAGACGAGGGATGTTTCATGAACCACACGTTCTTTGGTATTTAAAAAAGGCTGAAATTCCTGGTATTAACACATAACCACTGGCATTTGTCTGTTGTGGTAACATTTTTGGAGCAAAAGTAGAAAAAGACTGAAAGTTAAGAAATTAGAAATGCAAAGTAAGCTTTATTTTTAAGAACTTTCAACAACTTATACTTTTATAATCTTATACGATTATTGCAGAGAGGAAGGGAAAATACATGTTTTCTACAGTGATATCAGGTAAGGATAGCCAGTCAATGCTTTTTTATAGATTAGCCCAGAGACAGGGTCAGAAACAGATCCAAGCCACTACAGGTACCAATGTAAAAATGTAGAGATGCTAGCAAGGAGCTGTGCAGTAAGATGTCCCCAGTTGTCTTGGCTTGGATTCTGCCAGAAAGTGGAGTAATCTATAACAGGTATTTGGGTACAAGTGATTTAAATACTTACTATAAAGTTACAATAATCACGACTGTGTGCTATTGTGTAAAGACAGATGTGCAAATTCATGGAGCAGGATAGACCCTAGAAACAGGCACACACATACATGATTGATCAATTTCCCACAAAGACACCAATGCGATCAATGAGGAAAGGGTGGTCTCTTCAGTAAATGGAGGAAAAATGTGGATAACCACGTGAGGAAAAAAATGAACCTCAACCCTTATTTTGCACCACACATTAAATTCATTCCAAATGGATCCTAGATGTAAATGTAAAAGATTAAATTATATAACTTATATAAGGAAATAAATGTTCTGTGACCTTGAGGCAGGAAGATTTCTTAGAACATGAAAAACACTAAACATTAATGTAAAAAATGACAAATTTGAGTTAATCAAAGTAAAACCTGCTGCTTTTCAAAAGACACCTATAAAAATGAAGAGGCAAGTCAGAGACTGGAGAAAGATATCTGCAAAGGGCTGGTGTCCAGAATATAGAAAGAACCCGTATAACTCAATAAGAAGACACATAACCTAACAAAAAAAAAAACAGACAAAAGACGAACACAAAATTTATTTACATACATGAATGGTCATTAAGCAAATGAAAAGATTTTCAACTGAATTATCATCAGAGAAACACAAATTAGAACCACAATTCTTAGACACTATTTTACAATTACTACAATAACTAAATAAAAACACAGACAACGTCGAGTGTTGGCAAGAATGAGGAACAAGTGGAATACTCACATATTGCTGGCCACAGTGTAAAATGGTACAGCCATTTTGGAAAACTGTTTTGCAGTTTCCTATAAAGTTAAATGTACACTTACTATATGATACAGTTGGCTGTGTCCCCACCCAAATCTCACCTTGAAATGTAATAATCCTCCTGTGTCAAGGACGGGGCAAGGTGGAGATAGTTGAATCATGGGAGCAGTTTTCCCCATTCTGTTCTCATGGTAGTGAATAAATCTCATGAGATCTGATGGTTTTATAAATGGGAGTTCCCCTGCACATGCTCTCTTGCCTGTTGCCATGTAAGACGTCCCTTTGCATCTCCTTTGCCTTCCTCCATGATTGTAAGGCCTCTCCAGCCATGTAGAACTGTGAGTCAGTTAAATCTCTTTCCTTTATAAATTACCCAGTCTCAGAAATGTCTTTATTAGCATCATGAGAACAGACTAATACAATATAAGATCCAGCAATTATACTATTAGGTATTTACCCAAGAAAAATGAAAATAATGGCTGGATGTGGTGGCTCATGCCTGTAATTCCAGCACTTTGGGAGGCCAAGGCGGATGCTCATGCCTATAATCCTAGCATTTTGGGAGGCTGAGGCAGGTGGATCACTTGAGGTTAGGAGTTCGAGACCAGCCAGGGCAACATGGTGAAACCCTACCTCTACTAAAAATACAAAAACTAGCCAGGCGTGGTAGTGAACACCTGTAATCCCAGCTGCTAGGGAGGCTGAGGCAGGAGAATTGCTTGAACCCAGGAGGCAGAGGTTCCAGTGAGCCGAGATCGCACCACTGCACTCCAGCCTGGGTGACAGAGTGAGACTCTGTCTAAAAAACAAAAAAAAAAAAAAAAAAGAAAAGAAAAATGAAAATAATGTTTACACAAAGAGAGAGAGAGAGAGAGAGACACACACACACACACAAATGTGTCTATCAAAACTCATAGAAGTATTATTCACAATAGACAAGAACTGGAAACAACCCAAAGGCCCATCCAGACGTGATAATAAACTGTAGTATTTTCTTACAGTAGAATACTACTCAATAATAAAAAGGAACAAACTACAATAGAGGCAGCAACAGGGATGAATCTCAAAATAATATACCAAGTAAAAGAAGCAAGACACAAAAGAAGGCATACTGCATCATTCCAGCTACATGAAGTCCTAGAACCTGAGAGCACAATCTATAGCCCTGACCAGAAAGGTGAGCCAACACAGCCTGTCCGCGCCTACTTTGCCCTGAGCTAGAGTATCCAGGCTTAGCAAATAAAAATACAGGATGCTCAGCTAAGTTTCAATCTCAGGGAAACCACACATCACTTCTTAGGATAAGAATATCCCAAGCAATATCAGAAATATGCATGACATCTACCTGCATGGAACATACTTATACTGAAAAACTATTCCTTGTTCATCTGAGATTCAATTTTAATTAGGCAGTCTGTATTTTATCTGGCAACCGTGCCTACACTGTAGTTTGCTGTTGGCTTTTTAAGGGCAGGGCAGATATCTACTCATCAAGAGGTCCACTAGACTTGGTCTTACCCCAGCCACTTCTCAGAAGACAGAAAGCAAGCTCTGCCCCGGTCCACCTTAGAACTGCAGCCCCTTTCCATGCTTGGGGCCAGTTTTGCCATTGATTTCTCCAAGGGACTCCTCAGTAGGAGGGTGGGGGTGGCAAGTCTTGCCATCCATCCAAGGTCAGGGTGGTGAGCCCACAGCACCTGGCTTCCGCTGTGGCCACAGACAGAGCCCAATCTCTGACTCGGATGGATCCTTTTGACCACGTTTTTAGTATTTCAAGTTGTGAAAATATATCATCACTGTGTTGCTGTTTCATTTCGGCAATCTGTGTCTGTTCTGCTTTTCTTTTCAGGAGACATCTAAAGCTCCTGTTACTTTGCAGAACACACTCAATAACAGTTAATCAAGTCAGGGATTATGGCCACACAAGGTTTTTAGCAAGTTTCTGAGAAGTCAAATACCAGGTGTGATGTGTGCTAGTATTAACCACGCTGCCCAAGGAAAGGATCTGGCTTATGTATATTGCTTTTCACGCTAGAAAAAAAAAAGAAAACAAAACCTCTTTGAATCAAGACCTGTTAAGAGTTGTTTGGGGAATTATTTTTAAAAGAACTATTCTTTTTGGAATACCTACTTCCAACATAAACACTTTCTTATTAGGTTATTTTTATTTTTCTAGCCTAGCAACTAAAAAAATGTAATCTGCAGAACTGATTGCCTAATAGAAGCACATTTGCTTGCTTGCTTGAAAGAGCATGAATACGCATTAGTGAAAGAAAGAAAACTGAATTTGATAAGAACATTAACCCTTTTGGAGAAAATGCAGACAAAAGTAAAGGCGGTGGAAGAGAGCACGTGGGTGATGAAGCTGGGACACATTTTCCCTCCCTCCAGTTCTTGGAAAATTCCTAATTCTGGCTCATAAGTAATAGTAGCAAAAAGGTAAAAACATAAAATTAAAGCAGCCACGTAAAGAGGCAAAATTCTTGGGATTTAAGCCATTCAGAAGGACAAGTTGTCCAGGTCTCAATGTGTACAGAGATATCCAAGGGGCCCTGTACCACTTGCATTTATGCCAGGGTGGCCCAATGGAGAACTGCTGTTCAAACTTCAGGGTCATGGATTATTATGACACTAATAAAAATGATGAACCTGCTTCCTAGAAAAAAGCATATGCACCCATGGGCCCATACATTTACAGGCCATTCGAGAGGCTGAGACACTGCCCCAAGCCTATTCATGGAGCCCTGGTAACAATCCTTGTACTAGGCAAAACCAGCCTCCTTACCAGCTTCTGCCTCCTCCTGGCTCATCTCCACCAGCCGCTCACACTTAGGACCAAGGCAGGCTGCCCCTGGGCTTGACCTTGGCCTCCTCCATTCTCCCTGTCAGCAGGTGGCAGCCATCCCATTGCTGGTATTCCTAGAATCCAATCAGGATTAGTAGACCGCTTGCCACAGTGCTACACAGCCAGGTAACACCGTGTTTAACCAAGCAGTGGTGAGAGATTTGGGGCAGGAAAGGGGCTGAGCTTCTGCAATGCAGACAGGCAGCGTGGAGCCTCCCAATACCACTTCCTGCAGGGCCCAGGGCAAGGCCCTTGCTCTCTCTGAGTTTCTGTGTCCTCATCTGTAAATGGGAATAATAACAGTGACTGCCATAGGAGCTGCAAGGAGGATGAGATGATATTATGCATATAAAAGTGCCAGACAGTCTCTAGGCACCTAGAACCCTCAAGGGGCCAGCTGTCATAACTGCCGACAGTTCACATGCGTCTGTGTTTCACTATTAGTTTCACTTCACACCTGCAGAGGGATTTACACACTGCAAGGCATTTCCTTTGGAAATTTATTATTGTAATTCCCTATTAACTCACAATACCCAGGAGATAGGAAATAAATTATTATTCCCATTTTACAGGTGAGAAGACTAAGACTCAGATAGATACGTTAGGTGAGTTGCTTTTCTTGACTCCCAAAGCTGGTACCTTCCCCCGGAATCAGGTCATCTAGCAGAAACCCAGGAATTGAAGGTGATCAATGTTCCCTCCCCCAGATAGAAAGACATGGGTTACCCACAAGCTACAACCAAGTTCATGAACAGTGCAGAAGCCTTTCTTGTTCCCGTCATATCACAGAGCTCTCTGCTTGAACTCAACGTCACGGCTTCTCATCCCACCTTTTACTCCAGCCACTGTGGCAGCAACAAGCTTCCTGCAGGAGGTACCTGTGGGCACCTTTTCTATGACACACGCATGGTGCCCACACAGCCTGGGAATGACTCTGTGTGGCAGCCCTGGACCAAGGGAAGGCATGTACTGGATGACGGCTCCTCCTTCTGTCCTCAGGCAGACCACTCTGAGAGGCAAGTCCCCCCCAGCTCCTCAGTGCCCAGTGGATGGGATCCGGCAGCCCACAGTGGCGGCCAGCCTGAGGAAGCACTGTGGAAGACCTTGCCCTTCTCCCCACTTCACTCTCTCAGCCCTGCTCCTGTTCCCTGATATGAGCTCCCCGAACAAACCCCATCATGCTAGGCCTAATACCTGGGAGGAACCCAGTCTCCAGCAGGAGCCCTTGCTCTTGTCTGTCTCCCTTTCCTCCCACTGCCCTCCCCACCATCCTCTGCACCCACCTCCCTCTGCTGGCCCAGCTAGGGGAGCCTACCGGACACCAAGAAAAACCTGTCTTTATAAAAGCTGCTGTGACTCAGGACTCAGAAGGTCCCCTACTCCACTGGGGCCTATCATGAGGTAGAGAATGGGAGGAGAGAGAGGACCAGGAAAAATAACAAATGCGTACTAGGCTTAATACCTAGGTGATTAAATGATCTGTACCACAAACCCCCCTGACACAAGTTTACCTATGTAACAAACCTGCACATGTACCCCTGAACTTAAAAGTTTAAAAAAAAGGACTCCCCTCCCAAGGGACTGGATCCCAACATCAAAGTTCCATGACTGATTGCCTGACATCAGCACTCCCCTTCCTCTGGAAGGCCCCAGCTTGAGATCCGGGCTTTCTTCCGTCATGGCCAAGCCAACTCTGCGGGGACAGAAGCACTGCTCCTAAACCCCCACCCCAGGGCTTCCGCCTTTCCACCCAAGGCGAGAAGCCAGCAACCTTCCCCAGCTTCCCTCGGATTCCTCCTTCCATGCGTGACCTTGATGGGAGGCCCTGACACTTCAGCCAGGGTAGTCTGGTGCCAATCTTGACTGGAGTCAGACCCACAGGTAGCTGATTTATTGGAGATAGAGTCTTCTTAGCAAGCCTCCACTTTCGGTTGATTCTACACCCAGGGCCTCACACACACCCATGCCTGCCTCATCCTGACCCACGGGTACAACACCAGGTTCATATCTGCCATGTTTGCATCAAGCACACCGCCAAGCTCTGCCTGTGAAACATTAGAAATACAATGAGTAATAACCACAGCATTCCCTGGCCTGGCTCCAAAAACACTGCATTGCTCCAAATCTGCTCCATCCTAGACCCCCAACCCAGTTTCCTGCTGAGGTTTCGGCTCTCTTCCTGACCCCTTCCGTGAGTGAGAAAATATGTGAATATGGAACTACAGGACTGGAAACAAGCATCCACATTTGCTAGAAAGTTTCCTCCTCAGAGCCGGAAGGGCCTGGAATCCTATGGAATTCAGAATAACCAGAAATGGACAAAACCTCCACTCGAATGGATGAAATTCCCCTGAATAATAATGATGGGAAATTGCTTGCCGTGTCCCAACAAGCCTTAGTGGGTCCCGCGGAAGGAGGCCATGGGGATGGAGCTTCTCAACCCCAACTGTCCCCTGTGAAAGCCCAGCCTGGCTTCTTTTTAGTTAGGATCCCAGCTGCATCCCAAGAGGCTGTCCAGGTCATTGCCCACTTTCTGAGCTGGGAAAACTCTAAATTCTAGCCATAGCGCCATACTATATCTGAGTAGTACATAGAAGAATCCTATGCCAGGCCATGAAGGACGAAAGAGACCCTCAGGAAGGCCACAGAAACACAGATTGTGAAAAAGCCTTTCCTTCACCATCAAATCCTTATATCTGTCTGTCCACCATTTTTGTCTAACCACTCAAGTCCCAGTAGTGGTAAGACCAAGACTCAAATTCAAGAACAGACCTCTTTTCCTCCTCTCCATCCTAACCAGTTGAAGAGAAATCCAGGAGAATTAGAACAGAGATCTCCCATTAAAAACACTTCCAAGATATTGCCTCAACTTGTTGAGTTGGAAAGGACTCAGCAACAACTTTCTCAGGCAAGTTGACTCCGAGGAAAACGAAGCAAATCATCCACATTAAAAGCTAGAATTCTTTGGAGGTGCTGCCTTCAAAGACCCAGTCCTTACAGTAATTCCACCCAAACATATTTGCCAAGAATTTCCTTCCCATCAGGCAACTCGCTCTCGGGGCTGGAGACATAAAGGGAAGGGACCCCATGCTTTTCATGTAGGAGACCCACGTGTTTCCCTGAGATCCCAAGACTGAGTCTTGTATGACAGTGGGACTGAGCAGGATAAAACCAAACACTTATGAACACCAGGGTTTGACGGGTAGCAATGCAAAGGCCCCAAACACCAGAAAGCAGAGCAAGGCCAGCGATTGCTGACACGTCAGCCATAGAAGTTGCAGAGCCAGGAGAGTCAGAGCTGGAGGAACCGAGGGCAGCAGGGGACAACTGTGAGCCACATCTCCCCACCTGCTCCCTGTTGTGGTCCTCCTGCTGTCCCCACACAAAGCCCATCAGCAAGAGGCCTGGCCTGGATGGGGAAGCAGATTGAGCCCAGACATCCTTGGTCCAAGAAAAGTAATCTTTAAAGTATACTTGGTTAGTGTTACTTTTATGAACTAGGCTATTTTTTATACAATTTTTAGCAAATATACTACATAAAGGGGAAATTTTCCCTAATATTTTAGGGAAGGTAACCATCACCATGCCATTGTCATGTGATAAACTACTTGTCACAAGGCCACTGTACGACTGTTCAGAGTTTGGTGCCTTTAAATCTGATCCCCATGGACCACACGCTAGAAGATTCCAGTTGGCAGAAGCATGTGATGCCATGAAACTCAGCAGGACAGGGACAAGGCAGCTGTTTCCTGTAGGGCTGTGCATCTCCACAGTGAGTGCTCGCCCAACCAGGCTGTCTCTGCTCTTCCATGAGTGGGATGAGAAGTGTTACAACCTGCAAATGCTTCCGATGGAAAGAGCCTTTGGGCTTCCTCTACCAGATCTTCTGGAGGTGGGGGTCTCAGCAGAAGCAGCTGACTGAGAACCATGATATTTCTTCTAATGGAAATGGGACATTTTTGTGGATGAGTGTTTGGGGGTCACACAAAAGGAGTTGTCTGATCAGTTTATAGATGTACAACGTGTCATATGGGTTCCTAATCAAGTCATCCTCAGGTAAGACTGGCACTAGATGGGGTAAGCGGTGTTCATGCCTCAAACCTATCAATGGCTTCACTTCACTTAGGCAAAACCAGACCTCAACCTACCCACCATCTCCTCTTCACCTTTAAAGAATAATCAGCAAAGATGTGCTCATCCATCTGTCCACTCATCTATCCATTCGTCCACTCATCCACCCACTTACTCATCCATCCACTCACCCATCCACTTATCCATTTATCCATCCATTTATGCAACCCTGCATTTGCTTACCAGATACACATTGAGTACTATCTAGGCACAAATCTAGGTGATCATAATTAAGACCAGTCCCTACCATCACAGAACTTACATTACCAAAAGGAATTAGGCAGTAAACAGATCAAAAATATATATGACACAATTTCAGGTGATGAAGTTATAAGAAAGAAAAGTTAGCAAGAGTTGATGGGGGACATGGAAGAACTATTAAGTAGAGGATAATTATCAGTCCCTGATTATTTGTAATGACTCTACCGCCATAGGTACAGAGCACACCATATCTTCTCTAAGCTGTATCAGACTATTTAAGGTTGACAGGAAGAGATATGCCCAGATTACTTTTGTTAATGAGAATCATTCCTAAGTATGTGTTGCCAAAATGCCTTTCAAACTTTATTCCAGTTTATAATCTGACCACAGCATATAACTGAGTGGGTCTCCAGATAACTCACTGACTCCTGGGTGTTATCATTATTTCCAGTCATTGCAATTTATAGATCCAAAACAATTTTTAAAATTTAATTTGCATTTCTTTTATGACTTGCCCATTCATGCCCTCTGCCAATCTCTTGTAGTGTTTTCCACACCCTCTTCTTCCAGCCTTACCCTGGTGCTCAATAAGCCACCCAAACACAGGGGCACCTGCTAGTCACCCATTGGTGTGCTGTGACAGACACCTGCCACTCCCACCAGAGAGCTTTCTGAGAGGTAGTGCCACAGGGAGCAGCCACAGCCGGTGCTGGGGCAGATGGAAGTTAAAGACTTCAGCTTCCTTGCTCTGCAGGTGGAGTAACTCTGGCTGTCTCATCATCACTCCTCAGTGGGAAGGAGCCCCAGAAGCCACAGTGGAAACCTGCCTGAACCTGCACCCTTTGTTGGTTTCTTTTTCTGTCCTGTCACATTTTTCCCACCCTGATAGCAGTGCTTTCTGGGATTGTCTGCCAAATACTCTACTTGCACTCAATTTCTTGCCTTAGAGTCTACTTTGGGAACCCAGCCTGAGAGAGTGTAATGAGGACATTTACTAGATTGGACTCAAGGCCCACAGTTCTTCAACAGCAAAGAGAGAAGTGATAAAATACAGCAGCCCAGTTCAGGCACCACTCCCATGTGCTGCCAATAAGGAGGGACCATGGACTAATGCCCGAAAGGAAATCAGAGGTTGGCTTGTGGACCAGCAGGCCAAATGCACGGGCACTCTCACCTGCTGTGTGACCCTCTTCACAGGGCTGGCCTCACCCCAGGGTCTACCTTTGTGGAGCTGTATCTAACACACAGCTGCAGACATCTGCTTACCTCAGATGCAATGCCTTTGGGCACCTGGCCTGTGAGTGATGGTGAAAGAGAGGACCATTTTCCAGGTGATCAAGGCAGTATTTGCCTTGAGGTTTCCCAGCCTTTCATATGTAGTACTTAAGCTCCTTGGATCCCATTCATGACTGTTGTGTGGACGTAACTTCAGAGGGTTTAGGAAAGTGGGGAGATGGGAAGAAGAGGCTTTCAACTCCAAAGAAGGAAGACATGATAGTGAGGCAGCACCATAAGAAGCCACATGGGGTCTGAGCGTGCTGACAGGGTGACTCCAGGATCTCAGCCTGGGAGGCAGCTGGCTCGTCTACTGCGAATGCTTCCCTAGACCACCAGAGCTGTGGCACAGACACCTGCTCTCCACAGATGAAGGGAGCACCAAATTGTGCAACGAGGCCTTTTCTTTTCATGGTTCTATGGTTTTAAAAAAGTTTATATATTGGTGGGGAATACGCGGGTGAATACAAATGTCAGGTAATTCCACACCCACCACAGCTCTCCCTGGATTTTCTGACAGTTGTGTCTCTCTTCTAAAACTTCCCATTGTCTCTTTCAGCTAGTATGCCCAGATCCGTGTCATATTCAGAACCTGTGTAGAGAACTAGAGAAAGGCAAACCCAATTTTACACAGTCTATTCTCTGAATTACATACGTGGAAGATTTGGAGATGTTACCATGTCTCAGAACCTATTCAGCTCTGACTTTCTGATTGTTTTACTGTTGCTTGAAAATCTGATATAAATATGTTCATGTTGCCAGTAATCTTCAAAATTAACTGTATCATGGCTGTATTAGGGCTGACACTACAATTTATTTCACTGTTCTCCTAATATTGAATGCCACTTCTTTACTGAAAATTAATTTGTGCAGATAAACTTTTTCTCTCTTGGGAGAAATTCTCAGAAGTAAGTAGAGGTCATAACATTCTAAATCATTTCCCTTGGGGTGAGCAGTAGAGGGCAGTTATGTCCTCTGATTACTCCTGGGAGTTAACATTTTCTCACTTATTTGTACTGATTCTTGTGAAGATGTTTACTCATAATCTGCCTATTCACATGCTGACTACTTCGTGTGTTTCTTATCAATCTGTGTGGCTCCTGATGTAATATGAATATTTTCTCTGGGCATTCTAATGTAACCTTTTCCTAGTTAAGCTATGAGTGCTAAGCCTGCCTGACTTTAGATCCTGAGAGCCATCTATGGATCCATCTCTATGCTGTGCACAACAGCAGAGCATCCTATGAAGTCCTGAAGCAAATCAAATTCATCATTTTTTGAATGAACTCAAATGTCTTTGTACACGCAACAGAGAAAGCTGGGAGACAGACCTCCTGGTACTGCTGTCTGTTCCACTGTCTTCTTAGATGAACATTTTGGAGCTTTCTAGAAAATTTCATTATTGATTTATAGCCCAGTTTTTATTTACTAATTATATCTTCTCTTACAGAAAAAAAATCATGATCTACCCAAGTTTAACTTGTAGGTTTAATAGTCAGTGTTGATGATCAGTAATTATTCTATATAATAGAAGTCCTACATTGAGAAGATGCTATTACAAAAAATGAAAGCTAAAAAGTTTTGAGAAATAATAGATGTCAATATATATATGAAATTTGGTATGAAACAGCATATAAAACAATAATTCCACTTTGTTTAGAAATGATTAGCAGTTTAAACTTGACATGTGACTATTTCCCCTTCATAGAGCCTTGAGTATTTCCTCAGTGAACAATATATTAGAACATATATGGTATTTTACCAAGTACATGTTTACTACCTAGGAAAAGCAACGGATTGAGAGGCCCAGGGTTTGGCATTTGAAATCTGACAAAAAGCAGAGAGAGAAGGATTGAACAGTGCTGCGCTGGGAAGCAGGACAGGGCCGGCAGACCCACAGAGAGAGTGAGGTCACGGGGGAGGCTGGCTCTCTCTGTTCCTGGCAGTTTTTCTGGAACAATGGCCCTTATGAGGTCTAGCTGATCTTGGATTCTGAATATGTCCTTGAGTCTTCTTAACATATCCTCTTTTTGTGTAAGTTAGTTGCATGGATTTCTTTTCCTTTTGCCAAGTGATTCCAGTGGTAATGCACTTTGCAAAGCTCTCTCAAATTCTCTCTTGTTCTGAGAGGTTCTAGACTGTAAAAGTCTTGAGGTCAGTCCTGGCTCTGCTACACTAGCTGTGTGACCTTGAGAAAGTTATATGACTTTGTTTTCATGTTTATACAATAATAAAGCTTGCCTCACTACTATAAAGTCTAAAGGAGAGATAGATATAGATATATAGATATATAGATACAGACATAGATATGAAAGGTGCTTTATAAACAAGAAAATGCTACTGATATGGTTTGGCTGTGTTTCCCCACCCAAATCCCATCTCGAATTGTAATCCCCCAGTGTTGAGGGAGGGACCTGGTGGGAGGTAAATGGATCACGGGGCAGTTTCCCCACATGCTGTTATGATAGTGAGTTCTCATGAGATTTGATGGTTTAAAAGTGGCAGTTTCCCCTGCGCTCTGTCTCTCCTGCCACCTTGTGAAGAAGGTGCCTGCTTCTCCTTCACCTTCCGCCATGATTGTAAGTTTCCTGAGGCCTCCCCAGCCATACAGAACTGTGAGTCAATTAAACATCTTTCCTTTATAAATTACCAGTCTCAGGCAGTTCTTTATAGCAGTGTGAAAATGGACTAATAGAGCTACATTCAGTTTTTTGATATTATTTTGTTCCCAAAACCATCCTGAGTAGTTTGTAGGAAAAATGCCATCACAGCTGTTTTCTGGATGAGGACTCTGGAGTTATGTGGGGCTTCGAAGCATGGAGATAAGACCAGCCAGAGCTGACTCTATTGATTGGTAGCAGAGTCAGGACTGAAACCCAGGCCCATGCAGGCCTGGCCGTTTCTTCTAAAGGTCCCCACTGATGGGGTCAGAAAGGCAGCATAGACAATGATTATGTCTGGAGTCATTCAGGGCTTTTCTTTCTGGAGAAAGCACAACTCAAAACAGTAGGTTGTAAGCCTGGTCCCAGATTCCCTCATCAGACCTCGCCAGGTGGAGACACAAGGCATTTCAGGGTGTTTCAAGCCTTCCTCTCTGGCCAGAGCACTTATGCGATTTGCATATAGTGTAATTATTGATGTCGTGGGATTTGAGCCTGCCATCTTGCTTTTTTCTGCTTTCTCTGCCTTCTCTTTGTCCCCACCCTCTCTTCTTAGAGAGGAGCGCAGGTCAAGAACAGAGTAGGCTCCAAGGTGGAGGTGCCACAGGAAAGTGGCCCTGCATCATGGTGGGGGACAGTGAAGTGCTGATGCTCCCTTGGGTTTCTAGGACTCAAAGGAAACGCAGAACCAACCCTTTGTCCTTTGCCACTCAAATGAGATTTGTTTGATAAAGATACATTTTTCACTTTAGTCACAAGAATGGTTTTATTTATTCAAAAAAGAAATGCAGCAATAACTATAAAGTCAAACATTTTCATTTGCCATAAGTAGTAAAAGTATTAATTGTCCATCAATTAGTATGGCTTTCAATTGTTGATAACATAAATCACCAGCTCACTTCCAAGGGCCCAGAAAAACAGAAAAGATGTCCTAGTACTCAGATCTTCTAATTGCATGTGAGGCAAGATCTGTTTATTTATACACGAGAAAGAAAGAAAAAGGGGGAGGGAGGGAAAGAGATCCAGATGAAAGTGATGTAAGTCCTGTAACTCTTTAAATGATCTGATATTGGCAGATACATGGCTGACTTGAGATAAGCTAGAGAAGTATCCTGTCTACATTGCCGGGCAGGGACAGTGAATCTGGTCACAGAGAATGAGATTCTAGTATATGGGAAAAAGAGAGGAAGCCCCAGGTTCAGCTTTGCGGGGAGGCAGTGTTAACACCCAGTGTCTCAGGTTTGCAAGCCACTAAACATATCTTTTTGCTAAGCCAACTGGAGTCAATTTTTTCCCGCCATTTACAACCTAAAAAAGCAAACAATCCTGCAGGAGTTTAGATGAGGGAGAGCTGGCCACAGACAGGGCTGGTAGGAGCGGGCCATGGCAAATGTGTGACTCGTCTGATCTTTGAAGGCCACACAGGAATGAAGTAACTGAAGGAGTTGCTGTGCAGGAGAGGAGCTTGCAGTTCTCAGCCCCAGAAAGAGCTCACGTAGGCCGCTAGGCAGTAATGTGTCGTTTAGTGAAAGGTCTCAGCTCTGGAAGAAGAAACGGAACTAAAATTTTCTTCTCTAGAAAAAAGGCGCCCATATTGGGAAGGAAAACATGTGGTGGTTTCTGGTGCATGTTTTGGTTTATCTTTCACCGAGAAGATAAGGAACAGCCCTCGTCTGATAAACAGCTTGAGATTCCAAGTGCTCGACATTGCTAGCATTCATGTTACAAGTTTAGTCTTAAGTACAGTGTCAAAAAACCTAACCAAGGGGGAATTTTTAGTCTAAGCTGGGACATGGTTGACAATTGTTATTGAAAGCATGTCTGGTGTGTTTACATTTCTGTAAAAGGTAACCCTCTCTGAGCCTGGAGAATGAGAAAAGCTATCAATAATGCCTCTTAACTTGTTACAAGTTCACACCAGGTCAATGTGCCACTAATAATTCCTTCAGCCAGAAGATTTATGTTGCCCCACCACTAGTATTTATTTTACACCATGAGCAATAGCCCTCTTGCCAGCTCTCAGTGAGCCCATGTAAACAGCCTTGGCTTGCTGATGGTACCTTTACCCCACACCCCTCGCTTCTGTCAAGAGACTGATGCACCACCTGCAAGCTGGGTTTGCCTGCACATGTGAAGCTGGCCACCAGGGTCTACTGCAAGTTGCCCTGAAGGCTACTGGTCACTACTCTACTGCCAGTGTTTAAAGCATGTGTGTGTTTAGCACCTTTTATTTTTTGTAATAAAGGAAAGCGGTTCAAAGTAGCGTCTTGTGCCATTATGAAACACAGAACATCTCTAAAACAGGAGAGGCCCTGGAGAGTGGCGCCATTTAGATGACGTTTTCCTGGGCTGACTGCAAGCACTCAAGAGATGCTCAGTGAAGGGATCAGGTGGAATCCGCTTACCAGGACCTCAGGACAGCAGCAGCCCCTCCCTACTGTGCCATGACCGCGCTCAGCCTTACAAGAGGTCACGTCTAGAGTGGATTCGCTTCCTTTATTCATGACACAAAAGGGAATGCAAAAAATGATCAAGGCGCAAACTCTACAGTTGGGGCCGGGCGCGGTGGCTCACGCCTGTAATCCCAGCACTTTGGGAGGCCGAGGCGGGCGGATCACGAGGTCAGGAGATCGAGACCATCCCGGCTAAAACGGTGAAACCCCGTCTCTACTAAAAATACAAAAAAAAATTAGCCGGGCGTAGTGGCGGGCGCCTGTAGTCCCAGCTACTTGGGAGGCTGAGGCAGGAGAATGGCGTGAACCCGGGAGGCGGAACTTGCAGTGAGCCGAGATCCCGCCACTGCACTCCAGCCTGGGCGACAGAGCGAGACTCCGTCTCAAAAAAAAAAAAAAAAAAAAAACAAAAAACTCTACAGTTGGAAAGGTTGTGAAGCGGTGAGAAATGGATACGAAGTCCAAAAGAAATTACAGTAGTCCCCCTTTATCCTCAGGGGATATGTTCCAAGACCCCAGTGGATGCCTGAAACCTATTGAACCTTATATATACTGTGTTTTCTCCTGTACATACATACCTATGATAATGTTTATAAATTAGGCATAGTAAGAGACTAACAACAATAACTACTAATACAATAGAACAATTATAACAATATACTATGATACGAGTTATGTGAATGTGGTTTCTCTTTCTTTGTCTCGCTCTCAGAATGTCTTATTGTGCTGTACTCACCCTTCCTCTTCTTGTGATGGTCTGTCTTGATAAAATGCCCAAGAGATGAGATAAAGTGAGGGAATGACCTAGGCACTGTGACATAGCATTCAGCTACTACTGACCTTCGATGATGCATCAGGGGGACCATCTGCTTTGGGTGCCCCTGGATCATCGAGCCGTGACCATGTGGATGGTTGGATGTCAGGAGAAGATGATGTGGATAACTAATGGGTGGGTAGCGTCTACACTGTGGAGACACTGGATGATTCATGCCATGAGTGGGTCGGCACAAGATTTCATCATGCTACTCAGAGCAGCATGCAATTTAAGACATAAATTGTTTATTTCTGGAATTTTCCACTTAATATTTTCTGACCATGATTGGCCATGGGTAACTGAAATCAGAGAAAGCGAAACCACATATAAAGGGGGACAACAGTACAAGAGCAGGTGGGAGGTGTTAAGCACCTAGAGACAGCAAAGGTCCACGAGGAGCTGGCAAGAGGTGGGCTCACTCTGGATTGGGAGAGCCAAGAGGGAGACAGCTGATGTGGAATACTTTGCTTCACACATACACATGCACATATGTGCGCGCACACACACGCACATACACATCCATGCACACGAACCCACATACATAAATGCACAGATGCACACACACACACATTCTAATTCCCTTACACTTGCAGAGCAGGGTCCATTCTGCAGAGGCTTTTCACAAGCATGACCCAACCAGCCTTGCAACAACCCCACGTAGGAGAGAGGTTTCACAGAGCATCTCCATTCGATAGAGGCTGGCCAGCAGGAGACGTCACTTCCAAATACGTCTATTGTTTTCTTCATTAGCCAAAGTGTTTTCTTCATTAGCCACATGCTTGATTTAATGGCATGTGGCAGGCAGAATTCTAAGATGGTCACCCAGATTCCCACCCCTGTTAGATATGCCTTTAAGCCCTCTCCTCTCGAATGTGGGCAGGACTGTGATTGGCATGAAACACTCGCTCCCTTGCTGAGACTTCATTGTAGTGGACTGGAGAGAGGTTCTCCAGCTGGCTTTGGAGGAATGAGCTGCCATGCTGGGAGAGGACCATGTGCCTGGGACCTGGGGGCGGCTTCCAGGAGTGCCACAACTTCAGGCATTTGAGTCCTGCCGACAGCCGGAATAGCTTGCCAGAGGACCCAGAGCTCCAGGAGGGAACGTAGCCTGGTCAACACTCTAGTTCAGCCTTGAAGACCTCAGGAAGGCAACCCAGCTAAGCTGTGCTCCGGCTTCTGGACAACAGAAACTGTGATACTAAATGGGGGCTGTTTTAAGTCAGTGAGTTTGTGGCAATCAGTTACAAAATAATGAAAAATGAATACAGAACACATCTTCTATATGGTTTATCCATTTCTCCTTTCTTTGCCTTCCCCCCACCCCCCACATCTGGCTATTTATCTTCTCCATTTGTCTCTGTCTGAATTCTGTATCCGTTACATTGTTTAATAATAATAGAACTTCCGTATCACAGAAAAAAGCAAAAGTGAGCCTCGTTAATCCTAGTTCAGCTCTTTTTTTTTTTTTAACTCATCCAAGACCTTGAAAGAAGCAGAAATAAAAGTAATCTCACTCTCACTTCTGGTTCTGTGGAAAACAGAGATTTATTCTTACCAGAGATCCCTGCATTTTCAACAAATAAACCAAAAGGTTTGATTTGGCACGTGATTGTCCCAGATCAGCTGAATGGCCAGTGTGTGAGCACAGGGTCAAGACCTTCATGCTGGGATCAGACTAGGAGGACACCAGAACCTCTTTCAGAGTCTGAAGACATTCTGTCAACCATAAGCAGGGGAAACAGAGTCTCTTGATTTGTCTCAGCAATGTGGAGATACCAACAAACGGGCCAGCAGCCCAGGCCTCACCTAGCCAACCTGCACACCTGTCCTCCTCCTTGCATCTCCAGGTCTCTGGGCACTTTTCATTGACTCTTGTTCCTAGTGCCTTTTTAGAGGAATGTGGATGAGGGCCCCATGCCCAGGAGGTGGCCTTCTCTAAGAGGAGCCAAAGGTTGGAAGTTTGGATGCTCCAATGTCAAATCTTTCTATACAAGAGAACTAAAACCGAACTCACAGTTCAGGTCACTTCTAGATTTGAAGTAGATAATTGGAAGCTGTATTCACAAACAATAACAATAATAAGTATATAGAACACTAAAAAGTTAAATGAAATTACAATTTGACTACATACCATTCATTTAAATTCTAGATGATTGTAATGATTTCATAGCATAGTATCTCATGATCCATGGCTTTTCTGAAATGATTTTTAAACTCAATCAGTTACAGTCACAAGAAAGCCATCAGTACTACAAATGGAGGTGCTGCCATTCTTATTAGCTTTATGCTACAATTATTGCTGATGTCATTAAATCTAGATGTAGCAAAGACAGAAAAAGAACAGATGTTAACAAAACAGTCTGAAGCAGAAAGTGTAAAGAAAGAATTTTTGGCAGAGAAACAACAAGTCCTATGGAGCCTAAAAGCCAAAAGCAATTACTTATTAAAAGAATAACTCTTTCCAGCCCTGATGAATTAAGTGGTACTGGATCAGCCCTCCCATCATAAATAATGATAGAACTGGATCAAATTTGTGAATTGTCTGTTTTTCAGGCATTTTCAGACCTGAGGTAGTGCAGAATCGGAGAGAAGAGAAAAGTAACAGGGATGAGCTGTGGCTTCTGGGAGGAGGTTAAAGAAAGACCCTGGCTCTCCTTTTGCTGCTCCTCTCATGCTCTCTCTTGCCTGCCCACTCAGATGGAGTTCAGCTACCATTCTGTGAGCTGGAGAGGCCTGTGTGGAAAAGAACTAAGGAAAGCCAAGGAAGAACTGGATTCCTCAGTCCAACATTTCACGAGGAATTTAATCCTGCCAACAGCCACTCAGGTAAGCTTGGAAGTAGACGTTTCCCCAGCCGAGCCCTCAGATGACACCACGGCACCTGCCTTCTCCCTGACTGCAACCTCATGAGGAGAATTCAAGGCAGAGGCATCCCACTAAGCTGTGCTTGGATTCCTACCCCACAGAAACCCTGAGCTAATAAATGTGCGTTGTTTTAAGTCACTGGGTTTGGGGATAATTGTTATGCAGCAATAGATAACTAATGTAGGAGATAAACAACAAAGAAAATTAATCAAAACAAAGATTGCCCCTTTGAAAATATCGATAAAAATGATAAACCCCTAGCAAGATCAATCAACGAAAAAAGAGAAAATATAAATTACCAATATCAGGAATGACAAAGGGAATATCACTATAAATCCTATAGATACTAAAAGAATAATGTGGAATATTATGAACAACTTCATATGGTAAACCCCACAACTTATATGAAATAATAAAATTACTTGAAAGGTACAACTTATCAAAACTAGGAAGAAATGGAAAATTTGAATAGTGCTATATCTATTAAAGACATTGAATTCTTAGCCAAAAGCTTCCCACAAAGAAAATTTCAAGCCCAGATGGCTTCTATCAAACATTTAAGGAAGAAAATAGCAATATAACAGAAACTCTCAAAAAATACAGGAAAAGGAGCACTTCCTAATTTATTTTATGAGGTCCAAATAACCCTGATAACAAAACTTGACAAAGATATTAAAAGAAAGAAAATTAAAAACTATAAATGTAGATGCAAAAATCTTCAACAATATCTTAGCATGCAAAATTGAGCAGTGTATAATAAGTGTAACCCACCAAGTGCAGCTTACCCCAGACATGCATACAAAAATCAATCAATGTACCTCACTCCATTAACAGAACAGAGAGAATCATATGATCATTCTAAACATGCAGAAAAGCATTCAACAAAATCCAGCAGCCCTTCAGAGAGAGACCCACACATATATGGACACCTCACTAGTGACAAAGGTATCACTGCAGAGCAGTGGGGAAAGGATGGTCTTCCTTCCTTCCTTCCTTCCTCCCCACCTTCCTTCCTTTCTCTTTTTCTCTCTTTCTTTCTCTCTCTCTCTGTCTCTCTCACTCTCTCCCTCTCTCCCTCCTCCATCCCTCTCTTTCTGTCTCTCTCTGTCTCTCTCACTCTCTCCCTCTCTCCCTCCTCCATCCCTCTCTTTCTGTCTCTCTTTCTCTTTCTTTCTCTCTCTCTGTCTCTCTCACTCTCTCCTTCTCTCCCTCCTCCCTCCATCTCTCTCTCTTTCTCTGTTTCTCTCTCTCTTTTTTCAGAAACAGGGTCATGCTCTGTTTCCCAGGCTGGAGTGCAGTAGTGCAATCACAGCTCACTGCAGCCTCAACCTCCTAGGCTCAAGCAGTCCTCTTGCCTCAGCCTCCCGAGTAGATGGGACTACAGGTGGTCCAGGATGGTCTTTTTATCAATAGTGCTGATTGATTTGAATTTTAATATAGAAAAGACAGAAATTCAATCCATCTACTTCACACACACATTTTTCATAGAAAAATTAATTCTCAATAGATTACAGATCTAAATGTGAAAGATAAAGCAATGAAGCTTTTAGAACATAATATAGAAGAATTTTTTTTCACCTTGAAGTTTGTAAAAAATTTCTTAAAGAGAACATCAAATACGCACTAATCTTAAAGAAAATGTTGATGCATTAGATTTCAGTAAAATTAGGAAAATCTGTTCATTAGAAGACACCATTTAAAAAGAGAAAACGAAAACCACAGGGTGGGAGGAGATCTTTTCAATAAAGGCATTCAACATAGACTTGTGCCAGAATACATAAATATCTTCTACCAAACAATAAGAAAAAGATAGAGGAAATTCAATAAAAGTGGGTCAAAAGATTTCCATAGGCACTTCACAAAATATCCAGACGGTCAAAGAGGTACACAGAAAGATTCTCAGTACCATTCTTACCAGAGAAATGCAAATTAAAGCCCCTGTAACCGGACGCCCACCCCCCAGTACCGGTCCGTGGCCTGTTAGGAACTGGGCCACAAAGCAGGAGGTGAGTGGCAGGTGAGAAAGCAAAGCTGCTCGCCATGGCTCGCATTACCACCTGAGCCCTGCCTTCTGTCAGATCAGTGGCAGCATTAGATTCTCACAGAACTGTGAACCGTGTTGTGAACTGCTCATGAGAAGGAGACAGGTTGTGTTCTCCTTATGAGAATCTGACTAATGCCTGATGATCTGAGAGGCACAGTTTCATTCCAAAACCATGCCCCCCACCCCATGGTCCATGTAAACATTGTCTTCCACAAAACCAGTCCCTGGTGCCACAAAGGTTGGAGACGGCTGCCCTATGAGAGAATGACACTACAACTCTAAAAATAAAGAAAAAGATAGAAAATACAAAGGGTTAGGAAGCCTGGGAATCAACCAGAACTCTTATTGGTAAAATGGAAGAAAACATTGGTAGAAACATGGTGGAAAACTTTTTTGTCAGTGTCTTCTGAGGCTGAACATGTGTATACCCCATAGTCCAGCAAGGAGTATGTGTGTGCACTGAAAGATATGTATGTGAATGATCTCAGCAGTGTTACTCCCAATAACCTAAGCCTGCATGCAACCCAACTGTCCCTCAATAGTGGAATGGATAAATAAGCTGTGATCTGTTCATATGTGGAATACTACACACAGCAATGAAAACAAACTACATCTACATGCAAGAACGTGAATGAATCTCACGATCAATCATAAGTAGGTTGAAAGGTGCTAGATACAAAAGAATAAAGTGGACCCTTGAACAACGTGGGTTTTAACTGCATGGGTTCCCTTATATGTGGATTTTCTTCCACCTCTACCACCTCTGAGACAACAAGACCATCTCCTCCTCTTCCTCCTTCTCCTCAGCCTACTCAACATGAAGACGATGAGGATGAAGACTTTGATGAGGATCCCCTTCCATTTAATGAACAGTCAATATATGTTCTCCTCCTCATGATTTTCTTAATAACATTTTCTTTTTCTTCAGCTTACTTTATTGTAAGAATACATTATACAATACATACAACAAACAAAATATGGGTTAGTGGACAGTTTATGTTATCAGTAAAACTTCTGGTTAATCGTAGGTGGGTAGCAGTTACATTTTTGGGGAGTCAAAAGTTACATTCAGATTTCTGACTGCCTGGAGGGTTGGTGCCCTTTTAACCCCTGCATTGTTCAAGGGTCAACTGTACACTGTATAATTCCATTCCCATAAAGCTTATATATGAAGTCTTTCTTTACAATGGAAAAATTAACCTTTGGTGTTAGTCAGGCAGCATTTGCCTTTGGGAAGGAGGGATAGAATGGGTTTGGAAGGGGTCCTCTGGGAGCCTCTGGGATTCTGCTATTCTCGTGAGTCTCGATCTGGGTATTTCATACACGGGTGTTTTCGAATTGTGAAAATGCATTGAGCTGTACGCTAAAGAGTTGCCCACTTTACTGCACTTATACTTTTATAAAAAGTCTTTTTAAGGTAGCTATTTAGTATTTTTACCTGCATTTCATGTCCCAGGACATCTACAAAATCTGAAACCATTTTCGTAGCATGGAAAGTGTAAGTAAACAACTCCCTGAGAATACACTAGGCAGACACATGCCCAGGATGGCTTTAATATGTAAACCTCCACAGCAGCAACAGACTGCACGGGGTCTAGACCAGTGTGACGCCTTGGGGGAAGCTGACAGGCGAGGGTTAGCAGCGTTCTGCCTGCAGTGAGGGCTGCTGCTCCTCCAGCCCTGGGACAGAGCAATGCCTCATCCAAGAAGTGCTGCACTTCTCAGTAGGAAGAGTGAGCAGGGCAGGGCATGGTGGCTCACGCCTATAATCTCAGCACTTTGGGAGGCCAAGGTGGGTGGATCACTTGAGGTCAGGAGTTCGAGACCTGACTAGCCAGCGTGGCGAAACCCCATCTCTACTAAAAATACAAAAATTAGCAGGGCATGGTGGTGGGTGACTGTAATCCCAGCTACTCAGAAGGCTGAGGCATAATAATAGCTTGAACCCGGGAGGCGGAGGTTGCAGTGAGCTGAGATCGTGCCACTGCACTCCAGCCTGGGTGACAGAGTGAGACTCCATCTCAAAAAAAAAAAAAAAAGAATGAGCAGAGGACAAGGAGACAGACATTTGGCAGACAGAGGGAGGAAGAAACAAGCCTACAAGAATTCTTACCAGCCTCCTGCCTGATATTTTTTAAACCAAGATTATATTTCTATTAAGTCTGGTGGTATTCTATGATTAATTAATAGATTAAGTAGACATTTTCTCTGCTCTTAAATTACATATTGCTGATGTAGTCAGAGCCATTGCCAATTCAAGACTTTAAGTATGTCTCATTAATGACTAAGTGTGTCACATTTTTAAGAGATGGGGTCTCGCTCTGTCGCTCAGGTAGTGGCACCATTATAGCTCACTGCAGCCTCAAACTCCTGGGCTCAAGCGATCTTCTTGCCTCAGCCTCCCAAGTATCTGGTGTTACAGGTGTGCACCATTGTGCCCTAGCTTCACTTTTGTTTTATGAACAACACAGCTGTTATTTGTAATTAGCTTTCTACTGTCAGTACCAAAAACTATTGTTTTGTTATAAGCACTGTGAAAATAAAATAGTAAGAGGAGGGATATGAGAGTCAAATAGCAAACACACACACCAGAAATTGGACAGACACATTATTTATTCAAAAGTTTTATCAAAATAAAGGAAACCGTCACTTGAGGTAGGTTTCAGACTGAATTTATCAATGGCTTGTGGAAATTGTGTTCATTTTAATAGACAGCAGGTGTTAAAACAATTGAAAAGTGACCTTCTCTGCATCTGGATTACAAAAGCTGCCTCAGTGTTTGTGAAAAAAACAGGATAATAATAAAAAAAAAACCAACATCCTGCCTCCAGCTAGTTCCTTTTTCTTTTTTCTCACACTGGGCAGTTTTATTAATAGATAATAGCAGCAGCTCATAAGAAACACACACACAAATTTACACTCATTTCCCAGTGGAAGTGATGTTTATTTGACGTAAAATGGCTTTGGTGTTTGTGAGATCTATTCTCTTTGGAACTCTATTCAGAAGGTTACATACACATTGCTCATATCCCTTTAAATTAGTTTACTAGCATATTCTCAACAAAATCTATCAACTCAGATTCATTTCCAGTGCAAACTATGCGTTGATATGTTACGGGAACAGACTGGAGAGAAGCCAAGATTCACAACCAAAACTGTTTGCTGTTTGGGAATGTTGGTGTCAGCTGTTGCAGGAGTTTGTAGTTATCATTGTTCTGAATGCAATGTGCATGTTATGAGCCCTCAACGGAACACCCTGTATGGAACGGGTCTTTGACACCTGGGATTTCTGTGAAGCCTAAACTGAGGAATACGGCTAACTGAGATGCCGATTTTCAGCAGCCCTCTAGACTTCCCCAGTAGCTTACAGGACTGCCAGCCACACAAGAGCATGCTGGTTTAAATTCGTGCCAAGTGCTTTACATACATTGTTTATTTAATCCTTACAGCAATCCTCTGAGGGAAGTAGAACTGTCCGCATTAAATTATAACATGCCATCGACCTTAGGGGTGGCTCAGAATAAGACAAAACTGTGAATGTTAGATCTCGAAGTATTAGGCCAAGGGTCTACCAATGCTTACTTTTAATGATTATGAATTAGTGAAACACATTTGATTTAGTTCCAGGTATGTATTCGAATTGAACAAGCTTAGCATTTCATCCATTTCTTTTCATACAGACATAACATTAGACATGAAAAGTGGAATGTTACCGCAGACAGTTTAATATCTGACATTTTAAAATACACCTCTTATGTAGAATGACATTTTATACTTAGAAGCATAGAAAATGTTTCTTACATCTAAGTTTAGAGGAGAAGGCCTTCAAATTCAATGTGAACTTTACACCTTTTCACTTTCATCTCCGCTGACTTCACTCTCTGCAGTTCTGCAGGCCTACCTGAGGAACGTGTTGGAACTGAATCAAAGTCAACCAGAAACTTCCACTTCCCTTTCACTGTGCCTAGAAGTGCCCATCAAATCACGGTAGGATCACAGCAGTCACTGTTCTCAAACTCCAGGACTCACACTCAGGGACAACTCAAACGACAGACTTATGACTTATTAAACAGGGAGGTAAACCCATCTTTCAAAGACTCGATTCCTTCAATACAAATTCAGTGAGGACGTGAGGAAAATTTCCAACAACGCTACAAACACTGAGTTTTCAGAAAAACACTTCGTGAACGAAATCTCTGGAATATAAAACATGTGAGTCAAATGATCACCTGGATACTAAGTACACAAGGTCACACCAGTTTTCTAGCAAAAGGCAACTTAAAAACCATTCAAGGAGTTCCATCACAATGCTTTGAGTGACACAGTGGGTATTCTTCCCTTTGTAGAGAGATAGACTTGGGTTCAGAAATGTTACTGGACTTTATCCAAGTCACACTGTTAGAAAATGGAAGAATCAGCCGGGCGCGGTGGCTCATGCCTATAATCCCAGCACTTTGAGAGGCCAAGATGATGGATCACCTGAGGTCAGTAGTTTGAGACCAGCCTGGCCAACATGGTGAAACCCTGTCTCTACTAAAAATACAAAAATTAGCCATGCGTGGTGGTGGGCGCCTGTAATCCCAGCTACTCAGGAGGCTGAGGCAGGAGAATCACTTGAACCCAGGAGGCAGAGGTTGCAGTGAGCCGAGATGGTGCCATTGCACTCCAGCCTGGGAGACAAAAGGGAAACTGAAGAAAGAAAGAAAGAAAGAAAGAAAGAAAGAAAGAAAGAAAGAAAGAAAGAAAGAAAGAAAGAAAGAAAGAAAGAAAGAAAGAAAGAAAGAAAGAGAGAAGGAAGGAAGGAAGGAAGGAGAGAAAGAGAGAGAAAGAGAGAAAGAGAAAGAAAGAAAGAAAGAAAGAAAGAAAGAAAGAAAGAAAGAAAGAAGGAGAGAGAGAGGGAAGGAAGGAAGGAGAGAGAAAGAGAGAGAAAGAAAGAGAGAAAGAGAGAAAGAAAGAAAGAAAGAAAAAGAAAGAAAGAAAGAAGGAAAGAGAAAGAGAAAATGGAACAATCAGGAACAGTTGCTCCAACTGACTACAATTTTACAGTAATCAAATGCCCAGTTTTTATTTTCTAATGAACAACCAGCTTATAACATGCCTGACTACATTGTTACCTAGTTTTGAGCATCAATAAACTAAGTAAAATATTAAACGAAAATAAGCAGCATCCTGGGCTCTACAGACTCATAGGCATGATCCACACATTGCGAGAGTTTTAGGAAACCTATAATTAGGAAGGAAGGGACACAGTGTGACACTGGGTGACCCCCACTGTGCCCTGGCCAATAAGAGAGGCATGATGCCTTCCTGGCCTTTCTCTGGGGTGTTACAGAAACCTTTTCAAGACTTACCAAAACAGCACTCTGCCACTTACTCCAGCTGGTTCCTTAAAGGCTGAATCACACCACCAAAACTCTCAGGGAAGGGTCTATGTATGGTGTGAGAACACAGAGTATTGGGATTTCTTGGAAAGAAATAAGGGTGGTGAGATGCCAGTGCAAATTATATCCCAGAAGAGTGCTTCTAGACCAGGGTTTAAAAATTGACGTGCACTTGGCAGAGGAATACATCTTCAAATTCTTTCTTTCCATTTATCCTAAAAATAAGTTTCTGACTCCCTAATTTGAAACATCTTCCCATATGCTTATCACTTTTGAGCTACCTTCCTGTCTCCTTCACCAAGCTTCAGTAGGTGTCTCTGTACTTACTCGCTCTAGCTCCTCCATTCTTCAGCCTCCATTCCTTCCCCAGCCCAACCTCCAGCTCTGCTCCTTCGAGCCACCTGCCACTGAAGCCTCAGCTCAGCTCAGAATTCTCCCTCTCTGAGCCACACCGCAATCCCATGAATTGTACTTTCTCAACATTTTATACCTTCTCCTCTATTCTTCGTTTCTCATTCAAAAATGTCTAGGTATCAGTTAGCTTCTCCTTGGTCAATGTCAATGATCAGTTCATAGCCAGTGCCTCCCCCCAAGCTGCCAGGAGCCTTAGGCGAGGTCCTCAGTCTGTTGTGCTTAGTTTTTACAGCCTGGTCTTTTGGTAGAGTGTATTTCTGTCTTGTCATGCTTCTCTCTCTCAAATATACAATGTGCCATTTTAGCTTTGTAAGTGTGTAATTCAGTGACATTAATTACATCCGCAATGTTGTTGTACAACCATCACCACTATATTTCAAAATTTTTCATCACCCCAAAAACTCTGTACACATTAAGAAATAACTCCCCACTCCCTCCTTCCACCAGCCCGTTAACCTCTAATCCACTTTCTGTCTTTACAAATTTGCCTGTTCTAGACATTTCATATGATGTGGAATCATACAAAGTGTGTTCCTTTGTGTCTGGCTTATTTCACTCAGCGTAATATTTTCAGGGTTCATCCATGCTATAGCATGTGTCAGAACTTCATTCTTCTCTACAGCTGTATGTTGTTCTATTTACATATACACCACATTTTGTTTATCCACTCATCTCTACTTCTTGTCTTTGAATTGTCCCCTGCCTCATGACCCTGTGAGCAATTATCTTGCTCACATAAACCTCCATAGTTTGAGGGTCGCCGTACAATTCAGTCCAAAGTTCTCGGCCTGCTATCAAGTCCATATAACATCTGGCCTGAGTCGATTCCCAGGTCAAAGGCAAATACTGGCTCTCGAACGAACATATCCCTGTACTTTTCCTGCTGCTCTACCTTTGCCGTGTTGTTTCCTTCACCTGGCATGGTCTCCCATTTCCTCAGGTCAAAGCCCCACTCACCTTTTACGTAGCTAGCTCTAATCCCACCAGCATAACACCTTCCACTTTCCCAAGGGCAAAGTAGCCCCTCTCTCTTCTAAACTCCCAAAAGACTTTGTGCTGTGACATTTAATCACCCCCTACCTTTATCTCTTCTACTCCACTCCCTGAAGGCTGAATTCCTATCAAAGGTTTCTTTTTCTATTGCACCACATTGAGTATTGTGATTGGCATAGTATGGGTGTCCATAATATTTGCCCAACTGAATTCATACATATTGAGAACACGGAGAAAAAAACATTTTCCCAGATACCTGGCAGTCTGATTATGAGGCTGTATAAAGACATGTACATTTGACATAAAATAAGGCATCAACTGTTTAGGACAAAAACATAGTAATTGTGGAAGAAATAGTGACCAATTTAGAGGAAATTATTTGAAAAGTGAATCAAAATAATGATTTGGACCTCAGATGCCTAGCAAGGTACACAGAATGGTTACTAAACAAGTAAGCTCAGAGTTTTCATGTAAGAAGAGAAAATAAGCTTATTAATATCACTCAGGCCTGGCAGGATGGGACCCTGGAATGGAACTGAGTAGGATAGAGAGACCAGGGTGGATGGAGCAGAGCTCTGGTCCTCCCTGGAAGCCCAGGACCTGCTCTGGCCCTTCAAGGAAGTAGCTTCTCCTTGGTGGATGTTAATGGTCAGTTCCATGGCCAGTGCTCTCCCGCAAGCTGCCAGGAGCCTTCCTGGGCAAGGTCTCAGTCCACTGTGCTTGGTATTTACAGCCTCATCTTTTGGTACAGTGTATTCCTGTCTTGTCATGCTTTAGTCTTACCGTTACTGGGGGAAATGGGAGGGGGTGTTAGCGAAGGAGGTGAGGAAGGAGCCTGGGTCCTTGGGTGAGAAGGTGGCAGCAGGAAGCATTGCATCCTCCCCACTTTGACTGGTTAGTGGCTGGCCTGCCACCGTGTGGCAGGAAAAGGCCCTGCTTCCTGTTGCAGCTTGAGTTGTCTTAGACCGAGGTGTAGACAGATGAGCTGCTTTGGGACCCTTTAACCCCGGTTCAGGCCTGGTAAAGAAACAAGTTCCCTGGTTTGGCTGAATTGTCATGGCATAATGAAAAAAACTACAGGAGAGAATTGTGCGGTTCTGAGTGACTGATGACTCATTAAAATAAAATAGGTCAGGTTCTGGCCCAGTGAACTTCATGTGATCACAGGAAATATTCCAGACCATTAAAATGATTTGTGAGTTTTTAGAAAAGGAAGCAGAGATAACAAGTATTATCATCTTGGATTTTCCAAAAACAAGACATGCCAGATCAGCCTAATTGTAAATTTCTGTAGTTACTAACATAATACATAAGGCAATGCTATAGCTAGGATATAGCTGCATATTACTGTGCGCTTGAAAATCCTTATCTCATGGATTTGTTGAGGGCAAGGAGGAATACAAGCCAGATGATAGCACAGCTGGCAGGTTTATAACTTGTGGATTGGTGCTAACTTGAACTCATTTCTGGTGCCATGCTGTGGGGCGCCCTGGCTTTGTCATTGAGAACATGTTTATCAATAGCATGGATCATTTGAGGGATGACGTGGAACTGGATGGGATGATGTATGCACTGAATAACAGAGGAGACATTCAGCAGGAGACACTGTAGGCAGTTTTGGGGGGTTAGCTGACTATGGGCATCATGAGTCATCGGTGTGGCGTGACCGCCCTACAATGGATCTAAGGTGTGGAGACTCAAGGAAGGGCCCCTTTTGCTACTTGATGAAATGCCTACCACCTCCCACTAGAAGCTTTTGTTTCATTGGTTTATGTCTGAAGGATGCTAAGTTGTGTTAACAGCATCACAGAGGGAAGGACAACTTAAAATCTTGTAATGTAGAAGAAGCTGAGGGTTCTTACTCTGTAACCAAGAGGACTTTGATTAGGGGCGGGGGGTGCAGGTGGACAGGTGGACATGGGCTTAAATTTTTCAAAGACTGCTCCCATAAAAGAGGGATTGGAAGCCGGGCACAGTGGCTCACGCCCGTAATCCCAGCACTTCAGGAGGCCAAGGCAGGTGGATCACCTGAGGTCGGGAGTTTGAGACCAGCCTGACAAACATGGAGAAACCCCATCTCTACTAAATATACCAAAAAAAAAAAAATAGCCTGATGTGGTGGCACATGCCTGCAATCCTAGCTACTCGGGAGGCTGAGGTAGGAGAATCGCTTGAACCCCAGGAGGCGGAGGTTGCCATGAGTCAAGATCGCACAAGATCTTGGCAACAAGAGCGAGACTCCGTCTCAAACAAAAAAAAAAAAAAGAGGGATTGGATTGTTCTGTTTTTCCCTGGAGCTTCAATGTAAAACCAAAGAGCAATAGTGAGAGTTTTCCGAAACCAGAATGGGCTTCCCAGAGGGGTCAGGCGCCCCTCTCACTGCAAGTGTGTTGGCAGAGAAGGGATGCTTAGGAGGTGGCAGGGTCCTGGGGGCTGGACGAATCTGAAGGAAGCAGATCTGACGACCAACCTGGAACAGCCCTTCCAGGCCTATTACCCCACGTGAAAATGCACGTGTGATGAGAAGCCTGTGTTCTGCTGAATGATCCCCTCCTCTCCTCCACTCCTGCAGGCAGAATTCTTCCTATCGGAGCCAACTTTTTTTCTATTGCATGGTGTTGAGTATTGTGTTTTTCACAGAACAAGTATCAATAAATATTTGCCCAAATGTCACATGTAGCAAGAAGACTGAGAAGACTAATTTCCCCAGGGACCTGGCAGTCTGGTTCTGAGGCTGTATGAATTATTAAATGTTGAGGATAAAGTAACCTTTTCTACTGTATCCATGTACCTAGGTAGCAGTGATTTTTCCTAAAGGATGGGTTGTTATGAGAACCAGCTTTTAGTAACATTTGTCTCGCAGAAAACCTATTTTTTTAAACAAATAGTAAGGTAGGTGTTGCTACCAACAAAAAGATAATAGGTGTGTTATCTTTGAATCCAGACTACCAGGTGACTTGAATACCAACTACATGATCATTTTGAGTATGGCTTTGGACATACCGTTGCTTAACTTCTCTGGGTTTCACTGAGGTCAGGAGTTCAAGACCAGCCTGGCCAAATGGTGAAACCCCCGTCTCTACTAAAAATACAAAAAAGTAGCCGTGTATGGTGGTGGGTACCTGTAATCCCAGCTACTCAGGAGGCTGAGGCAGGAGAATAGCTTGAACCCAGGAGGTGGAGGTTGCAGTGAGCCGAGATCACATCGCTGCACTCCAGCCTGGGCAACAAGAGCGAAACTCCATCTCAAAAAAAAAAAAGTTGGTGGGGGGAAGAAAATATTACCTACCTCACAAAGTTAATAAGATTTAATAAATGATCTATGTCAGGTCCCAAATACTTCCTGACAGAGAACAAGAGGTCATTAAGTGCAGCAACTGGCAAAGCTCCTAAGATATAATCACAGAGGAACTATATTTGTTCTCTTGCAGAATTGAGAAACCTTGTTCCACCGTCTTCTCATATTGAGTATTATGCTAATCTTTTTCACCTGATTTGTATCTTTTGATTGTCTGTATTTCATCATCAAGTAATTTATTTGCTAGAAGAGTTCATGGGTGGCTCATACTGAATGGTGCCTACATTACAGCCAATCCTGCCTTCTTCTGTGCTGACAGAGTTCTGATTGGGTTCCTTCATCTACCTCTCTACCTCTTAATGCAGGTAAATCCCCATTACTCTAAAACAGTAATGTGTATCATATTTCCCTGCTGGTTCTTTTTCTATCTTGGGATGTCACAGTGTGAGGATATAAGACCTAGAGCTGTGACAGGCATTTTATGACCACAAAGGAAGTCATTTCGTATGGTTACTATGACAGCTCCAAAAGATGGAAAGACCATTGAAGACTGATCCTTGATGATGTCACTGAGCCACTGAGATCATGAGCCACCACCTCTATTCTTGGTGTTAAGGGAGATTTTAAATCTTCCTATTGTTTAAGCCAATGTTCACTGGGTTTCTATTATTTGCATTTGTTAACACGTCAATCTGCACATGAGTGCTGTATCTCCTGAAGGCTTTCATATTGGGACTATTAACGTGAATGAGTAGAAATAGTCTTGGGTCACACTTTTCCCCAAGAACTTTGTAAATATTGCTTCATTTTCATCTGACATCAAAATCTGAGGCTAGCCAGATTTCTCCTACCATTTCTCTTTGAAGTTCAATAATGTATCCAGGACATTTCCTGATGTTGAGTGTTGTATATCAGTTTTCCCTGGAACACAGTGAGAATTTCTGATCTGCAGATTTAATTCTTTTATTTCAAAAACATTTCTTGTATCTCTGAAAATAGTCTAATGTTGAAGGTCTTTCTTGCAGGAATATCAACTAACCCTTTTTGTAAATTGCTCAGGTGTCTCACTCTTTCCTCTCTACATTTACTGTAATTGAGTCAGGTTTTTCCTCTAAGTCAGTAATTCAGCTGAATTGTGCCTGGTCTATTTCTTGGTTTTTCCAACTTATTTTCTGTATTGCACTACTTCTGTTTTTCTTTTGGTTTCCTTAGCTGTGTAATCTTCCTTCCTTTCTCATTCCATTGTTTTATATTTTCTCCCAGTTCTTATTTTATTACCTTAATGTTCTTATTAGCTTATTCTATAGCATGGAGCACAAGTAAAGATTTTTCTGTTTTGGCAGGGCGCGATGGCTCACGCCAGTAATCCCAGAATTTTGGGAGGCCGAGGCGGGCAGATCTCCTGAGGTCAGGAGTTCCAGACCAGCCTGACTAACATGGTGAAACCCTGTCTCTACTAAAAATACAAAAAATTAGCTGAGCATGGTGGTAGGCGCCTGTAATCCCAGCTACGTGGGAGGCTGAGGCAGGAGAATTGCTTGAACCCGGGAGGTGGAGGTTGCCGTGAGCCGAGATCACACACTGCACTCCAGCCTGGGTGACAGGGGGAGACTCCATCTCAAAACAAACAAACAAAAAAGATTTTTCTGCTTTTATTTATTTGGTTAGATTTTCTCCAGACTTTCTTTCACTTGTCTGGCCTATGTTATAATCCTTTCTTTTCTTCTACTTTTATGAAAGTCTTGGTTTTAGACAGTGGATATGCTGCTTCTTTCTGTCTTATTCCTATTTAACACGTGTTGCTCTTTGAAAATGTTCTGTTTGTTCAAATATAATGTGGGCGAATTCTCTTTGACTGTCTTCTCACTGTATCTGAGTTCCAGAGCTGAGATACTGCACTTTTCTCTGCTTTTCTGGAACCTGAGTACACATTTAGGATAAGGACTGCTCCCTTGAATCCACACAACTTCCAGGCTCTGTGCTCTCTTCTGAGATTTTGATAAGCTCCTTTACCACCATCCTCCCACTCTTGTCACGAGTGTGCCCTATTCCTGTGACAACATGCCCTTTGACTTTGAATCTTTGCCTCAATTCAATGTAGGGACCTAGAAAAAGGCAAGCCCTGGAGATTTCTCCTGTCCCTGCTCAGGTCCTGGGAGCGGTAGGGATTGACCTCCACTCAGGATGGTTTTATCTGGCCGGATTTCCCCAGGTGTTTCCTCGTTCGGCTCACCCTTTCATACCCCTTCTTTTCAGTGTGTGTATTCTTTGCATCAAAAAGCATTAATGAGAATTCTTGGTGTTGTGTCTACTTGGTCTCTGCCCCCTGAAGGGCTTTGGGAGGGTGGAGATGAGGCTGGACACCATTCTCCACGGCAAGCTGCTATTTCACTGAGTTTTTGAAGTTTACGGTACAAGGTTGTACTCAATTTCTCGTCTGAGAAATAATTTGCTCCATTATTTGAAGGCGGTGCGGAGGGCTGGCTTTTACTATGCTTTTGCGCATTTCATTAGTAATGGTGGGGGAGAGGTTTTGTGATCCTGATTATAATTTTTACCTGGATGTCCTCTCCACGCCTTTGACAGCATTAAACCTGGCGTTCCAATAGGAGCTGCAGGGTCTAAAATGTGCAAATAAACCTCAACAGTTACTAAAGTCGAAGAAAGAAGAGCAATGAAAGCCAACACTCATAGCGACTTACGGATAACTGTTAATAGCATCCACACTGCATTTTACATTTACAACGCACCCGCGCCTTAGTTCATACTCATTAAGTCTCCGAAGGGCGCGTCTGCCTAAGTCTTGGGTGCCCAGAATCTAAGTCTGCACTTGGCCCAGAATAGATGCCCAGTAAAGTTCTGAACGAACGACTGTTATACCCAGTTTACAGATGGGAAAACTGAAGACCACCATCATTAAGGGCCTTGCCCAAGGCCGCAGAGCTGACAGTGGATGAAAATGGGGCCAGCAGGAAAGCGGGAAGACGGCCTGGAGGACCACAGGCTAAGTGCTGGGGCCCGGAGCAGGCTCGCCAAGCGGCCGGGCCCCGCGACGGAGCGCTCGGACTCCGACCGGCTCCCACAGCTGCGCCCACCCAGGCCTCCCGCGGTGGCGCAGGCGCGGAATGCGGGGGGCGGGGGGGGGGAGGGGGCAGGCGGAAGGCAATGCGCAGGCGCGGCGTTTCCGTTGCTAGGGCCGCGTCGCGCCCACCTGAGTGGCCGAAGTGAGGTTCGCGAGTCTCTGGGTCGCGACGGGAAGGAGTGAAACACCTCTCTGCGCCTGCGCGCTCCGTGCCTGCGAAGCAAACCCGGCCTCACCTTTTCCTGCCCGAAGCAGAAGATTCTCGCAGTCCTGGTTTCTCCCTCCAGAAGACCCCCCACCCAAATCCTCTGTAGCTCCTGGTAGTGCCCTGACCCCTGCTGCCACCGTCCTTCAGAGAGCAACGGAAGAGCTTCCCGGAGGGCGAGGAAAAGAGGGAAAGTAGCCAGCAATGTCGAACGCGTAAGTGATGGGCTCCCAGCCACAGCCATGGAGTGGGCTTCCCCAAGCCAGAAGGTGGCTTGCTTTCTGCTTCTCTTATTTTCTTTTTTCTTTTCTTTTCTCCTCCCCTCTCAACTTCCCTCCTCTCCCCCACTTTTTTTCCTTTTAGGAAATTCAAATATGCCTCGGGATAGAGTATCTGCTTCTTGTGAGCAAGGAAAATCATACACTTAGATCTCCCCCTCCCCTACGCGTCCCACCACCCCATGGGGATGAGCTCCCAGTCTTCCGTATACCTGCCAAGCCCTTAGGGGCTATTGCTGAGAAGCACTATGCCATTTTGTCTGCTTTTTTTGTTAATCTTTCACGGTAACAAATACGGTGCTTTGTGGAAACACCTAGGTCCTGAAATTTAAGTCTAGAAAGATCTTGGGAAAGCATTATTGACATTTGCTTTTCACAGACTCGAGTGGCATTGGTACTGAAAGAAGTGTGTGCCTAGCACTGTGTCGTTTACACAGCACTTGCACAAAGTTACCTCATTTGGTCTTCGTAAGAATAATTTCCAACAGGTATTACAGCGCTGACCCTGTAGACACTGTTCTAACCGCTTCACAGCAACCCTGTAACGTAGGGGCTGTTAATATTGTTATTTCCATTTTACAGATGAGGGAACTTGGGGATGAAGAGGTGAAGTAGTTCACACAGCAAGTGAACAGTGCCAAGCCGGGCACTGTAGCTCCAGCCTGCACTGTTGCTATTACGTGCCCTGTATTCTAGGCAAGGAAATAAGAGCAGAGAGGTTAAAGGCTTGCCAGGGTTTGGAAATGGGGAAGATCAAGAGTTCTGTTTAAGACGTATTGAGTTGGAAGTGCCCATTGGACATCACGTGGAGATGAAATAGGCAATTAAAATATTCAGATCTTGGGTTCAGGAGCGAGACCCATGTCTGAAATATAAACTTGCTCACTGTCAGCCTGTGATGGTCTTTGTGAGACATAGAATGAATATTAATAAAGAGGTGTAAGGACTGATCCTGGGATCATCCACAGTAAGGCTGGGGGAAGAGGAGACCTGGCAAAGGAATCAAAGACATGATCCATGAGGAAGAAGCGAGTGGAAGAAATAATAGTGTTTCCAGGAGAAGTAACTTCTTTCTCCTCCATCAAGTGCTCCTGAGACAAGTTGGGGTAGAACTGAGAACTGACTGTTGATTTGGCAGTGTGGAGTTCACCAGTGACCTTGACAGGAGCTGATTCAGTGGTATGATGAGATAGAAAGACTTACTCAAGTGAATGTAGGGGGAGAGAAACTATAGATGGTGAGCATAGCTAACTCTTTAAAGGAGTTTTGCTGCAGAGGAAAGGAAATATGTTGGCAGCTAGAGGCAGAGGACATGGCTCCAAGACAGAAAACAATAGAATGTTTGTGTGTGGAAGGGAATGGCCCAGAATGATATAGGAGGAGGAGGGAGAAGTGGGTGACATCGTTGGTAGTGAGAGGACATGGGATCCAGGGGGTGCTGGCCTTAGGTAGAGGAACTCAGCACTTAACAATGGAACAGGTAGGAAGGCAGCATCAAGATGCTATTCAGTGGGTGGGTGCTCTGGAGGTGGCCTGGAACGATCATGGTAGATGGAAGATGATGGTGACTGAGGGGCAGTGGTGACAGCATCAGATGAAATGGGATTCAAAGCCTGGGAGTGTTGGGAGGAGGGAAGGCAAATGTCTGGAGGTGCAGTGAAGAGAAGGGGTCCCCTTGACCCAGCCCCACAGCCAGAGACAGAGGGCTCTGGGGGTAACAGGAGCCTCTACTGAGAGGGCTTCTGAGCAGAGACAGGCCTTCCGTAGAGCAAGAAGGCAGGGGGAGTATTTGGGGAAGAAGACAGCAAACTAGTTAAGATTGGAAGATTCAGAAGGTTTTATCTTGTGCAAAATAACTTGAAAAGAATTCCCATTGTGCAATATTTTGAGTTCCCACGGAAGTGCATATATTCAAGTGAATATTCAAGTGTTTCCCTCCCCTACCCACTCCGTTATAGGAAAACTGCCAAGCTGTAGAAATAACAGTCTGGTCTTTTTAACTGTCATATTCAGTCTTCATCCACAAGCCTCCTGACTTCAAAATCTGTCATATCTCTAAGTCATATGCTCAAGTCTGAAACCAATCATATACTTTCAAAAACTGTTAAGTAGTCTCATGGATAAAATATTACCTTCTGTTTGCAAAGTGCATTTAAAATTCCAGGAACACTTTCACACCTGTTGTTCCATCTGTATTAGTCTGTTCTCACACTGCTAATAAAGACATACCCGAGACTGGGTGATTTATAAAGGAAAGAGGTTTAATTGACTAACAGTTCTGCAGGACTGGGAAGTCCTTAGGAAACTTACAATCATGACAGCAGGTGAAGTCAAACATGCCCTTCTTCACATGGCGGCAGCAAGGAAAATTGCAGAGCAAAGTGGGGAGAAAAGCCCCTGATAAAATCGTCCGATCTCGTGAGAACTCACTATCATGAGAACAGCATGGAGGTAACTGTCCCCATGATTCAGTTACCTCCCACTGGGTCCCTCTTACAACACGTGGGGATTATGGAACTAAAATTTAAGATGAGATTTGGGTCGGGACACAGCCAAACCACATCACCATCCCACAGTAGTCCCTGGAGGTGTCCAGAGTTGGTCTCATCATCCAGGTTTGCCAGTGAAGGAGGCGTAAGCATGAAGAGATTGAGTGACCTCCAGGGATGAGCTGCTCAGGACACTGGTTTCTATTTTAAATGTAGAGCACTTTTACCTTTGAAAACCACCTTGCCCTACCCAGGGAAAATAAAGACATATTTCCACGCAGAAACTCGCACAGGAATGCTTCTAGCAGCATTACTCACAGCAGCAAAGAAGGCGGAAACAACCCAAGTGTCAATGGGCTGGCGAATGGATAAACAAAATGTGGTGTATCTGTACAAAGGAAACTTAGCAATAGAAAGAAATGAAGTACAAAGTATGCGACAGTGTGGATGAATTTTGAGGACACCGCACCGAGGGAAAGGAGCTCAGCACTGAACGCCCCCCCCCACCGCCGTGTAATTTCACTTCTGTGAAGTGTCCAGAATAGGCAAAAAGAGATGGAAATTAGGTTAGGGGTTGCCAAGGGCAGGGAGGAGTGGGGAATGGGGAGTGACTGCTTCACGGGTGTGGGTTTCTTTCCCAGTGATGAAAATGTTCTGGAGTTAGATAATGGTGGTAGTTGCACAACTATGCTGAAAACCACTGAATTGTACACTTGAAAAGAGTGAATTCTATGCTGTGTGAATTCTCTCTCATCAATGCTCTTATGAAAAATCATCTTGCCGCCTCTCTTGTCTCATTTGACCTTCATGGCTGGGCTCAAGCAGAAAGAGGCTTGAGGCTGCAGGGCGAGGAGGTGGGGCGCAAGGCCAGATGGGCTGAGCGCAAAGTGGGGGCTCCCCAGGCTGGCGTGGCCGAGGCATGGTGCCCAGGTCCCTGGCGGTCCAGTGTGGGAGGGGGTGTGGTCACGTGGAGAGGCATCAGGACAGCTGGGGAGCAGGAAGCCAGAGACAGTCTCGAGGGAAGAGGGTCTGGTGGAAGGAGATGACGCCGTCTCTCAGCGCTGAGGAAAACAGGTAATGATGCAGGGATCCGTGTGCTTTCAAAGCTGCTCATTTTCCTGTCAGCCGGGAATCTTTGCCTGGTCTCCCCCAGACAGGGATTCCCCAGACAGACTGCAGTTGGGGAAGAAAGAAATGGCAGGACCCGGAAGGCTCAAGCCACCAGGACTGTCTTTGACCAAAAATTCCAGTTATGGGTCAGCTCCGTGAGGCCCTGGAAAAGTCCTGCTTCTCTGACCCAACTGAAGCCAATGAGGGCTCTGACCTGGAGCGACTGGGCTCCCCTGGATGGTTCTGCCCACAGCAGGTCTAGACATCCAGAAAATCTGGCTGTGCTCTGCCCCATCAGGTCGGCTGTGGTTTCCCCCTGGTGGAAGCAGGAGCCTCTTCAACCCGAGATCTCTTGCTGTTGTTGACTTTGGGTCTTTGTGGGGTTCAGATCACCCCACCTGAACTTCACGGAGGCAGCCTCTTCAGGGTATTGTACAAACTTAATGCTTGTTGGTGTGGCCAATGTTGGAAGTATAAGATGCCTTTTAACTTTTACTGTCTGTTCCACTCCCATATTTAAAAGTTATTACTAGATTTATTTATAGTCTTTAGTCTATTGTTACTGAATTCTTGGCCATATTAAATCTGTATGTATGTCTTGAAAGTCTTCTGTCTTTATAGCTTTTCTTTTCTTTTTTTTGAGATGGAGTCTCGCTCTGTTTCCCAGGCTGGAGTGCAGTGGTGCAATCTCGGCTCACTGCAACCTCCGCCTCCCGGGTTCAAGTGAGTCTCCCATCTCAGCCTCTTGAGTAGCTGGGATTACAGGCGCATGCCACCACACCCGGCTAATTTTTGTGATTTTAGTAGAGACAGGGTTTGTCTCTTTAGACAGGAGCAGATAGTGACTTCTGCTTGCACTGATCTGTACCTAGCATTCTAGAATTTCCTTTAGCTAGATTTCATGTGGCTTCCACCATGTGAATTCTTAAATATTTATTGTTCTTTATTGGTGCTGTGAATGGGTTTCTGCTTTCATTTTTTTTCTCTGCATTAAAGTATTGCAATTTTGCTGTATTTTTTTTTTTTTTTTTTTTTTTTTTTTTTTTGCTGGAGTGCAGTGGTGAGATCTCGGCTCACTGCAACCTCTGCCTCCACATTCAAGCAATTCTCCTGTCTCAGCCTCCCAAATAGCTGGGATTACAGGCGCCTGCCACCATGCCCAGCTAATTTTTGTATTTTTAGTAGAGGTGGGTTTTCACCATGTTAGCCAGGCTGGTCTGGAACTCCTGACCTCAAATGATCCACCCACCTCAGTCACCCAGTGCTGGGATTACAGGCGTGAGCCACCACGCCTGGCCCTTGCTGTACTAATTGATGTATTTTTGTTACTGATTTCCTTGGATTTTGCAGTCATGCCATTTATAAGCAGTGGTGTTAAAAAATGGTTTATATTAATTACTTACGTATCCCCTTGTCCTTTTTTACTGCTAATTTTGGGGGCATATTTCTAGCATTTCTCCACTGAAGGTCCATTGGGTCACTGGTTTTTGGCACTTTGAAGAAGTCGTCATTCTTTTTTTGTTGGTGTGTGGGGAGGGCATTTTTAATCAGGCCTGTGCTGCAAGTTACAATTTACTGAGCATCTTCTTGGCATCTATGAAACAAGCTGGGGTTTTGCTGGACTGTTGCTGTCTGGAGTTATGCTTTCCTCTGTGTTGAACTGAAAAGCACTCCTGCAGTCAACCCTCCTGGGTTAGAGGGAACAATTCTTTTGATCTGGAGCTGCAGTCTGTTTTCTAAGTGGAGTTTCAGATCCGAGTTCTAAACAAAATTAGCCTGTCATTTTCCTCTTGAATGTTGTCCTGGCAGGTTTGGGCCCCAAATCCTATTAAGCTCACAAAGCAACTTGAGCATGGTTCTGTTTTATGTCAACAGTTGTCACACCTGTTAGTATGTCTAGCCTGTATCCTCACTCAGGCCAGTGAGCGCCTTGGGTTTACTGTCCCTTCTCGGGCCCTAGAAGTCTGGACTTTGGAAAACTCACACCATGCTGATCCTCTGTTCTTGATCGTTGTCCACAGCCAAACCATTCCCTTGATCATCTCAATCATCTTTGCTTCTTCCAGCCCCTCCTGCTTGTCTATTTGAGGTGGGACAAGCAGAATGTCAGAGGGTCCCAGGAACTTTGAACTGGCATGAGGTGTTGCTTTTGTTGTTGTTCTTTTGAGTGATGGTTGTTGTTGTTCCTGATCAGTGTAATTGTTTATTAGTCACTAATTCTGCCAGGAGTCAATGTGTGTTCTGTGTGATATGGTTTAGATTTGTGTCCCCACCCAACTCTCCTGTCAAACTGTCATCCCCAATGCTGGAGGCGGGGTCTGGTGGGAGGTGATTGGATCACGGAGGTGGATTTCCCCTTTTGTGCCATTCTCTTGATAGTGAGTTATCATGAGAACTGGTTGTTTAAAAGAGTGTGGCACCTCCCCACCTTCCTCTTGCTCCTGCTCCCGCCATGTGAGATGCCTGCTCCCACTTTGCCTCCACCATGAGTAAAAGCTCCCCGAGGCCACCCCAGACGCAGATGCTGCCATGCTTCCTGTACAGCCTGTGGAACCGTGAGCCAATTAAACCTCTTTTCTTTATAAATTACCCAGTCTTGCTGGGCGTGGTGGCTCACACCTGTAATCCCAGCACTTTGGGAGGCCGAGGTGGGCAGATCACTTGAGGTTGGGAGTTCGAGACCAGGCTGACCAACATGGAGAAACTCTGTCTCTACTAAAAATACAAAATTAGCTGGGCATGGTGGTGGATGCCTGCCCAGCTACTCGGGAGGCTGAGGCAGGAGAATCACTTGAGCCTGGGAGGCAGAGGTTGGAATGAGCTGAGATCGCACCACTGCACTCTAGCCTGGGCAACGAGAACGAAACTGCATCTCAAAATAAACAAATAAATAACCCAGTCTCAGGTATTTCTGTATAGCAATGCGAGAATGGACTAATACACTGTGCCAAGTGGAATCCTAATTTTCTGATAATAACCTTCTTTCTTATAATAAGCTGGTCTGGAAGAGTGCTCTTTCACTAGCAATAGTTTAAATATTGCTAAGTTTTGAGAAATCTGGCATTCGGACGTGCTGGGGATGGGATTCTAAAGGCAGAATTCAGTCTCCTGACTCAGTGGGGTGTTGGGGGGAAGAGTGTTGGTTTTTACGCTCAGTCTGTTTGCTTGTGATGTAATTACCTCTGTGTCACGGGACCCCTCCTTCCTCGTCTGCTTTCTCCCTGACAAACGGGAAGCGATGAAGTCAAGTGGTTTAGAGCATGAACTCTGGAGCCGGACTGCCTACATGTACGTCCTGCATTCAAACTCTGTGACTTTGGGCAGTAACTTCTCTTTGCCTCAGTTTTCTCATATATAAACTGGACTAATAATTATGCCTACCTCATAGGGTTGTTGTGAGGATTACACGAGTTATTACATGGAAACCACTTAGGACAGTGACTGACAGTATATAAATGTAAGCTGTTACCTTCGCCATCATCATCATCATCATCATCATCATCATCATCATCTGAACCCAAAAGTCTTGCAAACATCAAGATACGCTTTTACCTTTTCGCCAGAAAGGTGAAAAAAGCACATTTAATCAGTGCTTCAATAAATGATGCTTAGTTTGTAGGGAAGAATGGAGCATGTTTGAGGAATGGCAGATGGTGAGCCTGGGGCAGAGGATGCCTGGAGGGGCTGCTTAATAATGACTTGGGAATGTAGAAGAGAGAGTCCCAGTCAAACAGGGTGGTTAACCATGGATACTTATCTCCTCTTCCTCCTGAATTGCCTCCAAAATGGCAATAAAGGATTTTAAAGCTATGAACTCACAAGGACAAAGAAAACATTTGACAAGAGATACCAAGAAAATGCAGGAGGCCAGGCACAGTGGTTCACGTCTGTAATCCCAACACTTTGGGAGGCCAGGACAGGTGGATCACTTGAGGTCAGGAGTTCGAGACCAGCCTGGCCAGTGTGGTGAAACCCCCATCTCTACTAAAAATACAAAAATTAGCCTGAGGTGGTGGCACACGCCTGTAGTCCCAGCTACCCAGGAGGCTGAGGCAGGAGAATTGCTTGAACCCAGGAGGCGGAGGTTGCAGTGAGCCAAGATCGTGCCACTGCACTCTGGGCTGGGTGACAGAGTGAGACTGTCTAAAAAGAAAAAAAGAAAATGTGGGAAAGGGAGAGCAGGCATGGATGAGAGGGAATGGAGGAAGGGCAGAGAATGTGGGACCTGAAAGCCAGTGAGTGGGGCTGGGTGATCAAAAGCCAGCTGTTTCCCTGGGAAGCCAGGTGGGAGCCTGGTTCTTCTGGGACAGGGCTGAAATTGGAGGACTGCTTGCAGATCTGTATAGGCCACATTTAGGCCGCCAATCACTTGTACACCCCAGAGAGCAAGTGGCTAAGGCACTAGCCAACCAGGCAGAAAATGGCACATGCAGCCAACCTGGACTCAGGACGCCAGGCACAGGTAAGCACGGGAATGAGTGGCCTGGCTGACAGTAAACAAGAGGTGAGCCCCCTTGACCGGCTTGCTTCTCCTTCAGGGGATTAGGGCTGCCCCCTCCCCTTAGCATAGGGAAAGGCCTTACAGAGAGATACTGACATTTTTCGATTTCTCCTTCATCAATGATCAGGGCTCTCCACACCCACTTTCTACAGTGAAGCTCCTTCCCAGACACACTGACTTTCCAGTTCACTTTTCAGTCCTGGTTCTTGAATGTAAAAGCAGAATAAAAAAATCACCTGAAATTTGGTAGGGGAAGGTGGGAATCTCTACCATGAAGGTATTGGCTCTGGCAGGAAAAGCGGGGACACTCATGAGGGCCTAATAAAGGGACCAGTAACAAAGATGTGGACATAGTCTCGGGAAACCGGCAAAGGATGGGGCAGTATTCTGGGGCCAGCCACAGCAGAGCCACCACCACCTTAAGGCTTTGGTGGAAGGGCACACCCAGCCTTTGTTGCCTCGCCAGGGTGTGGACAAGAGGGTCATACTCCTCTGCTCTCTGGCTTCCTCTTTGTTCAGTCCACTAACTCAACTCACTGGAATGAGGGCAGAGAGCCCAGCTGGTGCATTCCAGAGAGCTCAGCCTCCCAGGCCACAGTCTGCACCTCACCTCACTCTTTTTTTTTTTTTTTAAGACAGTCTCGCTCTGTTGCCAGGCTAGAATGCAGCGGCATGATTTCGGGTCACTGCAAACTCCACCTCCCGGGTTCAAGTGATTCCCCTGCCTCAGCCTCCTGAGTAACTGGGACTACAGGCGGGCGCCACTATGCCTGGCTAATTTTTTTTTTTTTTTGTATTTTAGTAGAGACGGGGTTGGCCAGGGTGGTCTCGATCTCCTGACCTCGTGATCCACCTGCCTCGACCTCCCAAAGTGCTGGGATTACAGGCGAGAGCCACCACGCCTGGCCTGCACCTCACCACGCCCAGCCTGCACCTCATTTCTCACACTGTACATCATGGTTCTAAGATTCTTAGTGGTTGCCTTTTGCTGTACTTCATTCATTCATTTTTCACTGCTGTGTGATAGTCCATTGGTGTATATACTACAATTTATTTATCCACTCTCTTACTGGTGGACATTTATGTTATCTACAGGTTTTTACTATTATTTAAAAAATGCAAGTGATCATTCTTGATGCATATTTACAAGTTTCTCTAGGGTATAATTATTCATTCACAGGGTATGCACACGTTCAACTTAATAAGAAAATGCTACATTACTTTCCAAACTGGTTGTTCCAAAATATACTTCACCAGCTGTGTATATGGACAAATAAGTTAACTATTCTGGATATCAACTTTGTCATCTTTTAAATGGGTATAATAATAGTGGCTTTATGGGCCAAGTGAGGAACAACTTTATATCATTTAGACAAAATGCTTTTTAAACTATTTATTTGATGATAATAGTGGTGGTACATATTCAGAAATCAGAAGGACATCAGAACAGGATATAAATTGTCTATCAAGCCTTGCAACTATATAACTATATTCTTAGCTCACACTTGATTCTGTGTTATATTTTGCTATACCAGAGGCCCGATGTTTATGTTTTACCAAGTGATTTTTATTTACTGTATCATCTAAATTCTCTCTCTTCCCCCAGAATGTATAATAAGATGTGGCATCAGACCCAAGAAGCCCTCGGTGCTTTACTCGATAAAGAGCCTCAGAAGATGATTGAACCACAAAGAAATCAGGTTTTCATCTTTCAAACATTAGCCACCTTCTACGTAAAGTATGTGCAGATCTTTAGAAACCTAGAGAATGTCTACGACCAGTTCGTCCACCCCCAGAAACGAATACTGATCAGGAAAGTCCTGGACGGGGTGATGGGCCGCATCCTGGAGCTGAAGAACGAGATGGTGGAGCTGGAACTCACGGAGTTCCATTATTTCGATGATATCCTGCAGGATCTCAAGCTGGCCCCCGTAAGCACTCTGTTGTTTTCTTATTAGTTGCTTTTTTTTGTTATAAATAAGATATGTACCCGATATCTGTACACGATACTCTACAGACTTCCTGTCCGTGTTTACTAGTTGGTGTACGGAAAATCTAAACATTTGCCTTCAATTACACCATGCTGTCACGGACAAGGATTGGGCTCCCTTTCTTTCTGGTGCAGATGCATCTGCACACTTCTTGGCTGTGTTAGGCACTGTCGTGGCTGTGGTCTTACCTGACATCGTAGTGTCTGCCCAGGGCTGTTGGAATGCAGTGGGCCAGCCCTTTCATCAGCACCCTTGAAACACAGACCCTCCCAGCATCCAGTAGCAGCGCCCGCTCCTCTGTTTCCATGGAATCTCTCTGTAGCCTGTTGGTCACAGGTTCCCTATTGCCAAGTGGATGCATCTCCTCCTTACTTTGGGTCAGTGGTGACCCAGGGGAATGTATGGCTTACATGGCAGTGGGCCTCAGACATCAAAGGAGAGCTCATGTGCTTGCTCTCCCTCTTTCCCTCTGCTTCTCTTCCCTTCCTTCCCTCTCTCCCTGGAGCCCTTGCTGCTGGCGCCTGGCAACCACAGCCCCCTCCTGCGAGCATTCGGCCCCTGCTGCTGCCCTCCGACGTTCCTGCCGAGCACAGGGCCTCTCTTCTGACTCAGGCTGGCTGGGCTGCCGGGGCCACTGGCCACCTCCCCTCAGTGTCATGGTCCTGGGAGCTCACCTTCATTTTGAAAGGAACATTTCCTTGAAGTAAAATCGAAAGGAGAAAGTCTTTAATTTTCTACATGAGGGTTTCACGTTTCTTCTCCTTGAAAATATTTGGGCTTTTATAGAGGTACCTTTCTTTCTGAGATAGGCTTTCCTCACATTATTATTTTATCAGAATGGAGTAATGAGAATAACTGAAATGAATGAAAATGTTGATGATTATTCTAAAAGTTTTATGTTTATTGCATTCATCTATAAGAGCATGGGCCAATCACCAGATTTAATCTGGTGCACTTTACTCACTAAAGTGACAATATGAACAATTTAGGATAACTGTGAAACAAATAGTTATTAAATCATATTCCTAAATTTAATTAATGAATATTACATTTATTAGTTGAATTTCAAGAATAGGAAGTCATGCCCCTGTTGTTAAGGAATAGCGCATTTGGGGCTCTATGTGGCGGCTACTCCACGGCCTTGCCTTTCCTGCTGCATCAGCCAGGCCCCTCTGCTCCAGGGACATCATCTTCCTAAAGGACATGCCATTGTTGCCGTGGGGATGGGGCCACCAAGCACCAAGAGCAGTGACAAATGAGCAGATGGCATCCAGGAAGCCTTCGTGCAGAGGGCGGTCAACAGTGTTTCCTAGCAGTCCTAGAAATAGTGACTGAACCATGTGCTGTCACTGAATCCCACATGGTTGGTTGGGGTGGGCTGAAGGCATCTTCATTCTTGGCCACAACCCTGGTACTGACAAACACCCAGCTGGGTTCCTGCCCTTGGTTCCATGAGTTCCCCAAATCCTTCCTTAAACTGCCCCTTAGTCCGAAGACTATGTCTGTAACCTGCCATGTGAGGAACCTTTCCTAATGGGCCCACCTCATAGAGAGACATATATGGTGGGGAAGAGGCTTTCTCTACCACCAGAAGTTTCCTAGATTCCACTCCATAGGGAATGAGAAACCTCAAGGTTTCAGGGATGGACATGAAACGCATCATGGACATAGATGGAGCAACCAATATCTCTCTTTGCTTCTCTTCCATTCTCAGTTACTCTGTTTTCTCATCCTCAAAATCCTAACTATAATTTTTTTTTAGATGGAGTTTTGCTGTTCTTGCCCAGGCTGGAGTGCAATGGTGCAAGCTCAGCTCACTGCAACCTCCGCCTCCTGGGTTCAAGCAATTCTCCTGCCTCAGCCTCCCAAGTAGCTGGGATTACAGGTGCATGCCACCACACCCGGCTAATTTTTGTATTTTTAGTAGAGATGGGGTTTCACCATGTTGACCAGGCTGGTCTCGAACTCCTGACCTCAGGTGATCCACCTGCCTCAGCCTCCCCAAGTGCTGGGATTACAGGCATGAGCCACCACGCCTGCCTGCTAACTATAATTTTGTGGTACCAAATGGACCAGATGGAGCTATAAGACAATGAGGTTTTGTCTTCAAAGTTATAAAAGTACCACACTTGAATGTGCTTGTTAATAAATAAAATCACATTAAATCAAAGTGTCATCATTCTTCTCCTACTGCCCTCTCTCCTCAGGCCACACCCACCCACTAGACTCTGCTAGTTCACTCTCCCGTCACCCCCAGCACTCCATGAGCCTCAGAAAGGTTTGGTGTTCAAAAGACATTGTCACCTCCCAGAAGTCATGGGGATACTGTCCCACCAGGTCCTAAAAATGATACCCTCTTAGGCTTAAATGTTTACTTAGGGGAAGGCCTATCCAAAATTCTCTGGGCTGGAGGGAGGTTATGGGGAGTCACACCTAGAATTGGAAAAAAAAATAAGGTAGCCAATTCTGAAAACAAAGACCTTTGCTTTCCTGTCAAAACAGCCAGGCAGGTCTGACAGAAATTCTAGGATAATGTTTCTCAGTGGGATTGGCCAAGGGCATACCCATATCCTTAAATAGCACTTCTGTACTCCTTTTTACTCAATTTGAACTGATAAATTTTCATCTGAACCCCCACTGGTTTGAAATATTTGGTAACATGCACAAATGAAGGATAGAAGTTTATTATATAAAAACAAGTTTCACAATAAAGCAAACTACTTTTGTAAATAATTTTTGCAATGGGGTAATTTTGGTAAAAATAAAACCAAATTACTAGAAAAAAATGTGACTATTTACATACAAATAGTCGGTGCTAATGATAAATTATTAGGTTTAATTCAAAGATCTCTACAGCTTAATACTTTACTACTGCAATTTGAACCATTATTTTAGGTAAAACGAGGTAATATTGTATTTCTTTAAAGAAATCTATTAAGTAATCATTAGTTAATTGAGGCCTAATTGATGTGAACTCTTGATGCTTTTCTGTAATGATTAAAGCAAGGGGCATGGTTATGATTTTCTTTCTGACTTTGTGTCTCTTTAGTAAATGAATTCTCCTCACTCCGCTGGCCTCATTTTTTTTTTCTTAAATGAAAATGGGAAGTAAAGCAAGCGTCTTTGATGTGCACGTCCTTACTGTATATTTTAAATAAAGTTCTAGTCCTGGCATTGTGACGGAAATACTCTTTTTTATTCTTTCTCTTCTCTAGCAACAATTAGATATTCCCATACCCAAGTATTTTTTGAAGGAGAAGTTGGAAGTAATAAAAGGAAGAGAGAAAATTCTTGCTCAAATATTAGCGGACAGCGGAATAGATACATCTGACATGGTTTGTATATCATTTTAACAAACATTAATCCATAATCTGTGTAACTTCCTTTTTCTGCTGCTCCTAATTGTGTGAGCAACACTTAGATTATTTTCAGTTTAAGCAGAGAATGATCCCTCCCTCGTTATACAGTACATAAGAAGTTGCATAACTTTTGGATGTGCTTTTGGTGATATATAATCATTATTTTTCAAGAGCTTAGACACTGAGATCAAGAGCTTAGACACTGAGATATGCTACTTAAATCAGTATCTGTTGATTATCAACGCAGTTTAATGTTTCATCTCAAATTCATCTAGCTGAAGTCAGAAGCTAAATGTTGTTCATGTAAAATAATTAAGTGCTGACATAACTTACTAGGAACTTGAAAGTTACTACACTTTCTAAAAATGCTGATTGGCCTTTTATAATTGCAGGTTGAGTAGATATGGTTTGACTATGTCCCCACCCAAATCTCATCTTGAACTGTAGCTCCCACAATTCCCATGTGTTGTGGGAGGAACCTGGTGGGAGGTAATTGAATCATGGAGGTGGGTCTTTCCTGTGCCGTTCTTGTGATAGTGAATAAATCTCACAAGATCTGATGGTTTTATAAAGGGGAGTTTCCCTGCACAAACTGTCTTGTCTGCCGCCATATGAGATGTGCCTTTCACCTTCTGCCATGATTGTGAGGCCTCCCTAGCCACATGGAACTGTGAGTCCATTAAACCTCTTTCTTTTGTAAATTGCCCAGTCTCAGGTAAGTCTTTATCAGCAGTGTGAAAACGGACTAATACATTGAGTGACACTTGGATCACCTTGAATGGACTGTCATTGGGGGAAGAATAATCCATAAAGATCCCTCCTGGGAAGCAAGGAACAGAATCCATTTAGTTCTGTGCCCCGATACCTCCTTTGTCCACAGGATTTGTGCAGCTGCATCTTTTTCCTGTTTCCACAGCTGTCTTAGCCTGACTCTCATGACCACCTCCTGGATTCTTGCAGTCATCCCCCATGCAGCCTACTGGTGGGGAGTCTTCTTCCCACCCTTTCCACAGGGCACTGCCCTATCTACCTTCTGGCAGGATGGCAGATCTGCCTATACATTTCAGTAACTTACTGCCTCACCCTTCTGGCTGGCCTTCATGTCCTAAGCTGTAAGGCAGCACTTGTCCATTCAAGCTGGGACACTCCAGGGTGAAAGGGGCACTATGAGTAACTATGCTGAGGCTGCAACTGCAGGCCAGGGTCCCAGGGTAAACCAGCACCTGCAGTCTTTCTACAAATAGCCCTCATTGGGTATTGCCAGCCTGGGTGATGGTGTTAAGGAAGATTCCAAGTGTATGCTGAGGATGGCAGGAGAAAAAAGTGCCCTGTGTGCCTGCCTCAGAAGAGAGGTGAAATGCATGCCCTGTATTTGCCAGCCCAGTGCTGTCTCTCATTTCCCATAGGCATGTTCCCTGCTGGATAGAGGGCTTGTTCTTCTCCCTTACATACCTGCTCATCAAAATGGTACCCATTCTGCGGAGCCTAACTTGATACACCATCCTTCAAGAAACCTTTCCTGACATACTGGCTTAGTCCATTTTGTGCTGGTATAACAGAATACCACAGACTGGGTAATTTAAAGACAACAGAAGTTTATTTTGCTTATGGTTCTGGAGGCTTGGAAGTCCAGTATTGAGGAGTTGCATCTGGTAAGGGCCTTCTTGCAGTGTCATAACATGGCAGAAGGAATCACATAGTAAGAGAGCAAGAAGTAAGGCGGTGAGCTCATCCTTTTAGCAGGAAGCTATTCCCCCGATAACAGTATTAATTCATTTTGAGGACAGAGGCCTCATGACCTTATCACCTCTTAAAAGTCCCACATCCCAACACTGTTGCATTGGGGACTAAGTTTCTAGCACATGAAGTTTGTGGGACACGTTTAAACCATAGCACCCATTTAACTCAAGATGACCTCTCCTTCCTGTGCCCCTGCTCCCAGCTACTGGCCCTTCTTTTACATTATGAATTCCTTGAAGTCCATTCCAAAGCCAACTTACTTGGGGGTCAACTAGCCATCCTTTCACCACTGGGCTCCTATGTCTGTGCTTTCTGTCCATGCATCAGTCAGAGCGAAGCACTCACACTTCATTCCCTGAAAGGAATCCCTTTGCACCAAGCAGTGATGAGCACTGCAGAATTACTAAAGATTTTGTGTTGGAAAATGGAGAAGGGAGATTACGTTGCACTCACTACAGTGAAATCCTAAAAATTCCTCTTTGCCATTTGTCCTGCTCACTGTTCCTCTTCATTTGTTCTCAGTCAGAGCAGACAGGCTTCTGTGTTCCTTCAGCATCCAGCTTTGGCCAGCCCCTATCACCTCCACTGGGTTAAGTACTTCATCTCCACCCCAGTCTCATTTCACATGTGCCAGGGGCTCAGAAAACCACAAGGACTTCCCTGCTGCGACTTCCCCATGGCCTTTGGTGTCTCATAAGACCCCTTTCTTTAAGCTGCTTATATACTGTGTGTATATATATATATATATATATATATACTGTGTATATATATATATATATATATACTGTGTGTATATATATATATATATATATATACTGTGTGTATATATATATATATATATATACTGTGTGTATATATATACTGTATATATATATATATACACACTGTATATATATACACACACACACAGAGTATATATTCTTCTTGGGGTATATACTGTGTGTATATATATATATACTGTATATATATATACACACATATATATACACATATATACACACAATATATTCTTGGGGTATATACTGTATATATATACACATATATACACACATATATATACACACTCATATATATACACATATATATACACACACACACACAATATATTCTTCTTGGGATACGTACTGTATATAAGCAGCTTAAAGGGGTCTTATGAGACATGTATATATGTGTATATGTATATATATACACACACACGCATGCAGACACACACACAATATATATAACCCAAGAAGAATTTTGATGCATGAAAATTATTGTCCATCTCCTACATTAATATCCACTGTGGGCCTCCTTAAATGCTTAAAAATGTTTGACATGTTGAGTTCCCTACTCAAAATCCCTTAGAATTATTTGATAATGGCCACGACTATTTTCAGAATGACAGCCCGGAATCTAAAGGAAAGAAATACGATACTAACTCATGTTTGCTGGGTACTGTATGCTAAGTTCATCATCTCATTTAATGCCAGAATGATACTCGTTCTACTCTAACTTGACAAGTGCATTATTGAAAATGTGTGCTCACTGCAAATTTGAAGCGGTGAAATCTTACTGAAAACAAACTCAGAGGGATTGTTATGTGAAAGAGCTTCCTCATAAGCAATCATATTCCTTGTGCCATGTTGAAGGGTAGTGGGTTGCTTAGTGGAAAGACGGTCAGTCTGTTCAAATTGGCTCCTTCTCTTCTTACCCACGGGGCCTTGCATAAGTTACCTTACTTCTTTGATCCTCAGTTGTCTTCACTCTTAAGTGGTCACAGTAACACCAGCCTTGGAGTTTGCTCTTGTGAATGTGATGAGCATGCATAAAAAAAGCATCTGACATCTGCAGGTTCTCAGTATACATGTGCCTTTCCTCTCCTTCTCACTCCTTCCTGTGCCCCTGACCCTGGCCTTGTTGCACAGAAGAGGGATCATCCTGGCAGCAGTGGCCCTGGTGGCAGCGCCCCACACATGAAGCCTCAGCACCTTCACATTGTCCTACTGTGGCAACCATTGCTGCCCTCTGAGGCCTGGAAACAGGCTTCACCTATGCTTTGGTGCTTTTCTTTTTAAATTTATTTTTAAATTCTTTTTAGAGACAGAATCTCACTCTGTTGCCCAAGCCACAATGCAGTGGCATGATCATAGCTTATTGTAGCCTCCAATTTCTGGGCTCAAGTGATCCTCTCGCCCCAGCTTCCCAAGTGGCTGGGACTGCAGGTGTGTCCCACAACACTCCACTAATTTAAAAAAAATTTTTTTAGAGACGGGGTCTCACCGCTTTGCCCAGCCTGGTCTTAAAATTCCTGGACTCAAGTAATCCTCCCACCTCGGCATCCCAAAGTGCTGGGATTACAGGTGTGAGCCACTGTGCCTGGCCTCTTTGGTGCTTTTCTGACTCCAGTGATCTGTCCCTTCTGCTTCCATCCATGCATGGACACCCCCCAAGCCAGGCCACATGAGCCCCTGTTCCCTTGCTCTGGGGCCTCTGGAACAGCACTGGGGCCTCCCATTGAGCCTGCTCAGAGTTCACACAGGCCTCAGCTGCACCCGGAGCCCACATAGGCCCCAGCATGCACCCAGAGCCCACACAGGCCCCAGCATGCACCCAGAGCCCACACAGGCCTCACCTGCACCCAGAGCCCACACAGGCCCCAGCATGTACCCGGAGCCCACACAGGCCCCAGCATGCACCCAGAGCCCACACAGGCCCCAGCATGCACCCAGAGCCCACACAGGCCCCAGTATGCACCCAGAGCCCACACAGGCCTCACCTGCACCCGGAGCCCACACAGGCCTCACCTGCACCCGGAGCTCATACAGGCCCCAGCATACACCCAGAGCCCACACAGGCCCCAGCATGCACCCGGAGCCCATAAAGGCCCCAGCATGCACCCAGAGCCCACACAGGCCTCACCTGCACCCAGAGCCCACACAGGCCCCAGCATGCACCCGGAGCCCATAAAGGCCTCAGCATGCACCCGGAGCTCACACAGGCCTCACCTGCACCCAGAGCCCACACAGGCCCCAGCATGCACCCGGAGCCCACACAGGTCCCAGCATGTACCTGGAGCCCACACAGGCCTCACCTGCACCCAGAGCCCACACAGGCCCCAGCATGCACCCGGAGCCCTTTGTTCTTGTCCCTCTTTCCTCAAAAAATGACACAGCCCCTCGCCTAACTTTGTCTCCACATACACCATGTGAGATCTCCCAAAACAACATTTTACTTACCAGCCCTGATTTTTCTGTTTTACTAGTACTCATCATGTTTGAATGTTTTAAGATGCAAGTTTATAGACACTGGAAGACTTTTCATATATAAAATTAAATGCCCCCAAAATGATTTCGATATTAGTTGTATTCACTGGGCATTCTGTACTTGATTTTAAGATCAGCATTTTACTTCATATATATTTTAAATTTTAAAAGCTCATATTAGAGGTAGGTTTTTCATTTCTCTGTTTCTCCTATTAAGTTAATGAAATATTGATAGCAATTTCAAGTTTTACTGAATCAATTTTATTGACATTTTTAGTATAATTTGCTGCCAACCTAAAATATCGTGGAGCTAATTAGTATTTTGTTCAGAAGGATAAAGGAAAGTCAGGGGGCCCTTAAATTTGGGATCACAGCATGAGCATGTCATGTTATCAAAATATACATCATTCACTGGAAAAATGAACAGTGTTCAGCGGTTCTCACACTCATGATCAGCCGTGGGGACCCTTAGCAGGATTGTGTTTGAAGTAAGCATGTGATGTGTCTGGGATCAATTGATGTGGTTAACATGTTCAAACATTGGTTTATCTTGACTGTTTTTTGCAGAAATACCCTGTAAAGAGTATCCCTTTCGATGAGGCTGTTAAATTAATCCAGATTGCTGAGAGGGCACGGCAAGGTCGCCTAAGGGCTTTATTCATGAAGCAAATCTATCTGCAAGAATATAGAGCAAAGCAATCCAAGATGCTTGGCAAGAAAGTGACAGATACCTGGGCTGCTGCACTCCGCATTCAGAAGGTGCAAACCTAGGGCTCCTGGAGTTGGGGTACAAGGTGCCTTATACACTAAAGATACATCTCAATTTTGGGGCTGAGCTTCAAAACTCAAACACCAAATCCTACCCTTAATAGAACTAGATTACATTCCAGAAAGATTTATTAACTTACCCTGGGGAAACCATTAACTAAGCTTGGTCATATTTTCAAATTTTTACTCTAAATAGGTACTAAACTCAGGGCATTTTATTCAAATATTGTTAAAGACCATTGGTAATTGTTGAAATGAATGTTGCTGAAATGCAGTGAGGATATAAATCCTTAATGGATTTTTGGAATACATTCACACACAGATATATAATTACAGAAGAGGGACCAGGCCTTAATAGATTCCAGAAACATGCAGCAGCCATCACTAATAACCAGCACATCAGTGTCCCTTCTAGAAGGAATCCGTAAGGTTTTCTTTCCTTATCAGATAAGCACCATGGATTTGTGCCCCATTTTTTTTTTCAAATAGAGGCTAGGGTTACTTACAGGGAAACACAGCAGATGGCAAGGTGATATAAACTAGCATTAGGTTTCAGAGAAAATAAGTATAAGGACATAAAATTAGGCCAGAAGATGAGGACTCTGTCCCTAATTTTCCCTGAATAGGAATAGGAGAAGGTGATGGGGAAGGATGGATAAGAGTCTGTTTTCTTTCGGGTTTCTGTGGGAATATAAAGTTGTAGCATCTGAGTTAAAAGCTTGAGTTGTACATTTCTTGGAGGTTACTATATTTCCCCACATTACTTTGGAAATTTTTCCTTTAAAACCATGAAGTGCCGTCCTTAGATCTAGCCTCACATTCCTGCTACCTAGAATGTTCCTCTTGAAGAAACCAAGGTAAAGGAATCTCACTAATAACAATTATAGGTTAGTTCTGTGGTTCATTCTTTTTAACAATGTTTTTGCCTGTGATCACAGAAGAAAAAATATTCCATCAGCACACACATGGACAGCCTAGAGCTTAGGATTAGTTGGCATTTTGAGATGTGCAGTTTATATGGGAGAAACTGCAAGCCATGTTTTCTTTATATTTGTATGTATTAAACAAGTAACCATTTATTTGTTTTTAGGTTTGGCGACGTTTCCATCAACGTAAGGAAACTGAAAAACTGAGAGAAGAGGAGATGATCTTCCTGGGTATGGTAAGTTTTTTTTAAGAGATAGCATCTGGTTTTCTTAAAGACAATAGAATATGTGAGACTGTGTCTTCTTCTGAGAGTTTTTGAGGGAAGAAAGAAAGAAAAATAAATGATTTAATGGAATGGAGTCACCCATATGGTACAGAAGCCTGCCCAGGGAGATCTGAAGAGATCAGGGTTATATCCATTTATACATTTCTGTGCAAGATGCAGAATGCTGTAGATGTGGAAACAGGCTAGGAGCCGTCACAATCTGCTATTCCTGTCTGATGTCAGCAGTGCACACCACTATATTAGGATGGGCGGTCACAACAGTGGGTTTGCATTGATACAGCTGGCTTTTTTTTTTTTCTGGTGCTGGTGATTACTGAATCATAGAGATGGAAAGGTGGATTAGGTGGATTAGTTATCTATTGTCACATAACAATGTTACCACAAACTTAGTAGCTTAAAACACCAATTTGTTGTCTCACAGTTTCTCAGGGCCAGGAATCTGGGTACACCTTAACTAGGTCCTCCCCTCCAGATCTCACAAGGCTGCAGTCAAGGTGTCAGCCAGGGCTGAGGTCTCAACTGAGGATCAACTGCGGAAGGGCCTGCTTGCAAGCTTGTGTGGTTGCTGGCAGGATTCTGTTCCCTGTAGGGCATCAGATCCTGGGCCACAGTTCATGCCAGCTGTTAGCTGTAGGCAGCCCCCAGCTCCATGCCATGTGTGCTTCTCCATATGGCAGCTGGCTTCGTCTAAGCCAGCAGGGAGAGGGGGGCTGCTCAGAATCTTATGCAAATGATCACAGAAGTGGCATCCCATCACCTTTGCCCTATCATATTGGTTAGAAGCAAGTTATAGGGGCCACCCACACTCAAGGGGAAGGTATTACATGAGGGAAGAAGACCAGGAGGCGGGGTCACTGGGACCATCTTAGAGTCTGTCTGCTGCTAGAGATGTTTCTGCATGCTTTGCCTCATCGAGTGCATGGCCTCTGAGGAAGGCTGACTCCTCTGCCCGAGCCCCTCCTGAAAACAGAACCTCTGCCTCCCACAGGAGCCCATTCTCTTTCATTGAACTGCAATTGGCCTTCCTGCAGATCCCACTGCCAGGCTGGGCTCTGTCCCTGCAGTAGCTTGGAATGTGTCCTCTTTCCCTTTCATGTGACAATCCCTTAAGCACTTGGAGGCAGCTCTCAAACCCCCTGAAGCCAATTCTTTGCAAAGCTCATTATGACCAGAGAAGGGGACCAGTCAGTCCTAGTGGGGCTTTGTTGACCTGCTCAGTTTTCATTAAAGGACATTGTAATTTTAAAAAGAAAAGAAACAAAGCCCTTTGGGGCCTCATTCCAGCATTGACCTAAGGTGTATTCTGGTGAGCTACTTGGCTTGATACCCCCATCCAGTGCCCAGGTAAAAATGTTGAAACAGGAACATTGATAAATACAATGACTCAGTCTTTGAAAACGCTAATAACATACAGAGCCCTGGTGAGGCTAATCAAGAAAAGAAGAAAATACAAATGTATGACAAATATGTATGTATGTGTATATGTATATTTACAAACACATGATGTATATTATATATATATACATACATATATATGACATATATATATGTAGTCATATACACAGTATACAGTGACCACAGGCACTAGCAGGTTAAAAACTATTAGGTGATGTCATGAACAACTGTGGTCATAAAATAGAAAATATTGAAGAGAGAAAACTGTCTAGGGAAGTATGAATAGTGAAACTGACCAAAGGAGAAGAAACCTTAATAAAACAACCATGTAGCAAATGCTGAAAAGATTTTCAAAGTCCTTCTGTTAGTTTGGGTCCTGTGAGAGCATGCATGGAATTAGGCATGCAAGAGATTTAGTAGGAGAATGTCTGTAAAGAATAAAGGGAGGGCCCCAAATAAGGCAGGAAGAACCCTCAGATCACGACGCAGGTCGGGAAGGAGGCACCAAGGAATGGGGGCTGAGAAGGGGGAGTTTCCGCCTACAGCACAGTGCCCATAAGGAAACTTAAATCGCTTTTAAAAATCCATGCTAACGAAAGAAAAGAGACCCAGTAAGGATGAGACTCAGTTTGGGCAGGGACCCAAGGGCAAGTACAGTCTCAGGGACTGCTACTGAGGGTTTCATTGCCCGCCTTTCTAAGTTCAGTTTGTCTCATGACAAACACACCTTTTTTCCCAGTAGTGCCAACCCTTGGAATTTCTTTGCTACAAAAAAAAAAAAAGCCAAGAATATGAGCAAAGTATACAATATACAGATATTCATATTAGTATAGCTTTAGAGTTGTAAGAAATTGGTGCCCATAAATAATTAGTTAAAATATCCTATTATGTATCTTTAGAAGTGATGTTTTAGAGTTTCTACATATTTTGTGAAATGTAAAATATGAACACCATGATTGTTTTTTAATTTTTGCTTAGCTTACATCTTTCTGCAATAAACATGTGTTTTATGTCTAAAAAATTACAGATAAAATGCATGTTCAAAATTATGTCAGAGGGGGAAAAGACATGAATCATGACTTAAATAATTTGTAGCTTTTAAAATTGTACCTTCATCAAATAATAGTCAATTTGAAATACATTTTGCCAATTCTGTGTACTTAACAAATATATATGTCAGGTAGGACAAAAATCGGGATTCTTTTCTGTCTATTTATAAAAGCAGACACAGTAGAAATGTCAGAGAATAACATAAGAAGTAAAACAAATACGACATTTTAACCAATGTGAGGATATGGTTTTCTTTTTAATCTTCTTTTTAGGTTTAAGTGTTAATTTCTAATACTGCCTTCCTCTTTTCACTTTCAGGGAAAATAAATAAAGTGGTCACCACTATGTGGTTGATACTTTAAATCCTTTTGTTCTATGATCAACCATAAACCTAACCATTTAAGCCATATTTTAATTAAGTCTTCTTGTATAAATATTCAGTTTTCTTTTTGGGGATTTTAGGATTTAAAATAAATTAAAAGGTTTTGCCAGTGGTATTAAGTATAACTAAAATATAATTTAGTTCAATTTTCAGGATATTGCCATGTAATATTCATCAGTTTTATAATGGCACATTCTAAATGACACGGCAAGTTCGTTTAGTTTTAGAATAGTTTACATTTTACCCTGGCCCCTCATCCTGCATTGCTTCATCTGCAGTCATGGCCTCTCCACACAGCCTTTGTTGTTCACCATAATTATTTTGCTTGAGGAAAGAATTCAAGTCCATGTTCCAGAAACTTGGAACTGCCTAGTTTCCTGGTGGAAGGGCATGGTCTTACCATATCTGTGTTTGTAAACTCTCAAGTTGTGATATCCAAGCTTACTGCCTTAAAAAACATAAGAAATAACACCAGAAGAGCAGATATGATTTCAAAAATATCTTGATTTTATCACCTACATTCTTAATTTCTGTTTGATCTTTGTGTTTCAAAAATAAGCCAACATTTGTTTTTGGAAATTGGAACCCCTTGGGACCCAGCCTGTCCTTTGCTTTTTAGTTGTTTAGGTGTGCTGTCAGAATCCAATGGGTCAGCAATTTCTGCAAGTTGTTATAAATTTTTATGATTTAGAAATTCACTGGGTGGAATATTATTCAGCTATAAAAGAGAAGGAAATTCTGACACGTGCTGCAACATGCATAAACCTGAAGGACATTATGCTAAGTGAAATAAGCTAGTCACAAAAAGACAAATACTGTATGATTTCACCTATATGCACTATCTAAAGTAGTCAAACTCATGAGGGCAGAAAGTAGGTGGTGGTTGTCAGGGACTGGGGGAAGGAGAAAAGGGGAGTTGTTGCTTAATGGGTACAGAGTTTCCATTTTCAAGATGAAAAAGTTCTAGAGATCTGTTGCCCAATAATGTGATTATAGTTAACACTACTTAATGGCACACTGAAAAATAGTTAGACTGGTATGTTTTATATTATGTTCTTTTACCACAGTTAAATTTGTTTTAAAAAGTTCACTCGCACATTGAAATGGTTCTGTATAAATCATGGCTCTTAGCTAGTGGTCAAAAATACAAAATAAAAATTACATGAGATTCTACTGTAATTTCATTGAATCTTTAAGATATCATCAATTGTAAGATGCATCATTATTTTTAGGTGCCATTAAGAAAAAAAAGTGCTGCCAAATAAGCCAAAACACAACCTTGAGTGTAATACACACCCATCCCTAATTTCAGATATGCTAAACTATGAAAAATGTACATCTTAGAATTAGTGAAATGGGGTAAGTGGTGTCTGTCTTATTAGCAAAATATTAAAAGTTTTTAAAATTATAATTATTGACAAGGTAGTGATGAGATGCTCATTCTTAACACAAGGAGTTAAATGGACTCAGCCTTTCTGAAAGCCAGTTGGCAAGTTGCCACAGGATAGTTAAGATATTTATATTCTTCATCCTTAAGTTATATTTCTGTTTTAAGATACTCACCAAAAATAGAGATGTGTGTGCATAGAAGTTCCTGACAGTGTTCTTTTTAATAGCGAAAAAATTGGGAATAACTTATTTTAGTATTCTTACAGTATGTATCTAGTTAAATAATTACAATGTTAAATAATGTATGATGTCCCTGTATAATGTAGTGATATGCCAGCATTAAAAAGTATGTTTCTGACTAATTTTGACTACATGAAAATGCTCAAGGTAAAAATTCAGGATTTAGAATTATACATATAATATGTAGAATTATACATAGAATTATACATATAATATGTAGAATTATACATAGAATTATACATATAATATGTAGAATTATACATATAATATGTAGAATTATACCTAGAATTATACATATAATATGTAGAATTATACCTAGAATTATACATATAATATGTAGAATTATACATAGAATTATACATATAATATGTAGAATTATACATAGAATTATACATATAATATGTAGAATTATACATAGAATTCTACATATAATATGTAGAATTATACATAGAATTATACATATAGTTATACATATAATATGTATAATTCTAAAGTATATAGATTTCAACTAAAGTGTAAATACTTCAACTAAGTATATACACACATCCATGCACATACAAAAGAAAGAAAGAAAATACACAAAGTCTGAATAAAGCTGATGTTTTAATGTGTGAGCTTTGGGAGATTTCTTTTTTGTCTGTAATCATCTTCATTTTCTAAAATAGTCAAATTTTACTTTGTTAATTAGAAAAAAAACACACATTTAAAAGTAAAAGCAGCTCACCAAAATGTCAGAATAGAAGCAACCTGGCTTCACTCCCCCCAACAGAAAATCAAAAACGAATATCCAGCACCAAGATTATCACCAGCAATGTCCCATAACTCAGATTTAAGGATGACTTGACCTCCAGGGCCACAGAGAGGTAAAAAAATTCTGAGCCAATAGTAAGAAAATCAGACTTCTATATTCACAGTGCTCCTCCCCGCAATCTGCCAGGCACCTCATGTGTGGAAAAAATCTCCCCCAGACTCATGGTTTCTACCCTGGAAAAAGTGAGATCAATGTAAATAACCAGCTTCCCCATCTTGGGTTCCCTTGCAGGAGAACTATCCCTGCCTCAACCTACAGGAAGCATCATGAGTATCTGTAAGGATAAAAACCTTTTAGGGCAGCCAGAGACAAAGGGAAAGGCAGGACTAGCATCCCCAGCCCACAAAACTCTTCTCTGTATCTTGGCCAAAAGAGATGCAAAGTCAGAATGGCTGTTCAGCAGCACCACACTGTAGAAGGCAGGCTCCACAGGTCCCCTGGGCAAAAACCACTAGCCAGCCTTCCTGCATAGCAGGGATATCCCCTTTGGGACCTTCCCCATTGGGCCAGGCATCACTCCAAACATTTGCTAGAGCTAATGCAAACCTGGGCTTAAGGTTCCATAAAGTACTGAAAAGGAGGCAGTTACCTAGCAATAAAGGAAATTCAACAGGTAAATTGTAAAGAACCCCTAAGCAAACATATCAAAAGGAAACCAAAACAATCCAAACAGAAAAGACTGGAATAAATAACTAATTCTTCAATGACAATACATAGACATACACCAACAAGAAATAACAGCAAACAGGAAATGTGACCTCAATGAGACAAAGCAAGAAGCCAGTGACTGACACTAATGAGATGGCAACATGTGTGCCATCAGATCAATAATTCCAAATAGCAATTTTAAGGAAACTCAGCAAACTCCAAAATAACACAGGAAAGCAACTTTGAAATTTGTCAGAGAAATTTTTAACAAAGATATTGAAATAACTTCTAAAAATCAAATCCTGGAACTGGTAAATACATTTGCTGGATAGAAAAATACATTAGAGGTTCTTAACAGCAAAATGGATCAAACAGAGGAAAGAATCAGCTTGAAGGCAAGCTATTTGAAAATACACAGTCAGAGGGAAAAAAAAGAATGAAAAGGAATGAAGAATACCTACAATATATAGAAAATTACCTCAGAAGAGCAAGTCTAAGAATCATTGGTATTCAAGAGGGAGTTGAGAAAGGGTAGAAGCCTTATTCAAATAAATAATAACAGAAAACATTTCAAACCTAGAGAAAGATAAAAATATCCAAGTATAGGAAGGTTAGAGATCACCAAACAGATTCAACCCAAATAAGACTATCCCAAGGTATATAATAAACTCTCAAAAGTCAAGGACAGCAATGGGATTCTAAAAGCAACAAGAGAAAAGAAGCAAATAACATATAATGGAGCTCCAGTTTGGTAACAGACTTATCAAAGGAAACCATACAGGCCAGGAGGTAGTAGAAAAACATATTTATTAAGTTCTGAAAGGAAAAAAAAAAAAAAAACCTGTCAACCAAGAATACTGCACGCAACAAAGCTGAACTTCAAACATGAAGAAGAGATAAAGTGTTTCCCAGACAAACAAAATTTGAGGGAATTCATCACTGCCAGACCCATCTAACAAGAAATGCTAAAGGGAGTTCTTCAGTCTGAAAGAAAAAGACACTAACATGCAGAAAGAAAACATTTAAAGATCTAAAAGCCACTGATAAAAGTAAGCATACAGACAAAGCCAAATTACTCTAATACTGTAATTGTGGTGTGTAATCCACTCATATCTCTAGTAAGACTAAAAGACTATCAAAATTAACAGTAACTACAGCAGATTGTTAAGAGACAAGTAATATAAAAAGATGTAAATTGAGACAACAAAAAGTCAAAATGTGGGGGAGATAAAGTGTAGTTGTTTTAGTTTTTCCTTTGTTTCTATGCCTTTCTTTGTGATCAAAGGTAAGTCCTCATCTTTTTAAAATAACTTATATGACTTGTTGTAAGCCTCATGATAACCATAAAGCAACAACCTATGATAGATATACTAAAAATAAAAAAGCAATTAATTAAAATATATTGCCAGAGAAAATCACCTAAACACAAAGGAAGAGTATAAGAAAGGAAGAAATTACAAACAACCAGAAAAAAAAATGTAAATGGCAGTAGTACATTCTTACCTATCAAAAATAACATTTTATGTAAATGGACTTAATTCTCCAATTAAGTGATAGAGAGTGGCTGAATGGATTTTAAAAATTAAAAGATCCAACCATATGCTGCCTACAGGAAGCCAGTTTCACCTATAAAGACACACATGGACTTAAAGAAAGGAATGGAATAAGATATTCCATGCAAATGGAAAAAAAGGACAGGAATATGTATACTTCTATTAGATAAAATAGACTACAAACTGGCCAGGTGCAGTGGCTCACGCCTGTAATCCCAGCACTTTGGGAGGCCAAGGTGCGTGGATCATTTGAGGTCAGGAGTTCAAGACCAGCTTGGCCAACATGTTGAAACCCCGCCTCTACTAAAAATACAAAAATTAGCCAGATGCGGTGGCAGATGCCTGTAGTCCCAGCTACTTGAGAGGCTGAGGCAGGACACTCGCTTGAACCTGGGTGGTGGTGGCTGTAGTGAGCCGAGATCACACCACTGCACTCCAGCCTGGGTGACAGAGCAAGACTCCATCTCAAAAAAAAAAAAGACTACAAACCAAGGATTGTAAAAAAAAAAGAACCCAAAAAGGCTACTATATAATGATAAAGGGGTCAATTCAGCAAGATAATATAATAATTATAAATATATCTGAAACCAACATCAGAGCACCCAAATATAAAGCAGACATTAAATCAACCTAAAGGGAGAGATATACTGCAATACAATAATAGTAGGTAGCTTCAACACCCCATTCTCAGTAGTGGACAGATCATCCAGACAGAAAATCAACAAAGAAACATGAGAATTAAGCTACACACTAGACCAAATGGACCTAACTGACATTTACAGAATATTTTACCCAACTGCTGCAGAATACACATTTTGCTCATCAGCACATGGAATAGTCTCCAGAATATAGTACGTGTTAGGCCACAAAACAAATTTTAAAAATTTGAAATCATATCAAGTATTTTTTCTGATGACAATGGAATAAAACTAGAAATCAATAACAAGAGAAAACTTGGAAATTATACAAACATGGAAATTAAACAACATGCTCCTGAATGACCAATGGGTCAATGAAGAAATTAAGAGGAAAATTTTAAAAGTTCCTGAAACAAATGAAAATTGAAACCAACATATGAAAATCTATGGGCTATAACAAAAGCAGCACTAAGGGAAATGTTTATAGCAAATAAAGGCCTACATCAGAAAAACAGAAAGAGCTCAAACAACCTAATAGTGCATCTCAAGGTACTAGAAAAGCAAGGAGAAATCAAACCCAAAATTAGTGAAAGGAAAGAAATAAAGATCAGAGCAGAAATAAATGAAATTGAGACTAAAACACACACACACACACACACACACACAAATCAACAAAACGAAAAGTTGAGTTTTTGAAAAGATAACAAAATTAACAGACTTTTAGCTAGACTAACTAGGAGGAAAAAAGAGAGAAGACCAAAATAAAGGAAATCAGACATTTAAGAGGAGACTTAACAACGATACCACAGAAATATATAGGATCGTTAGAAACTATGACAAAAAAACTGTACACCAACAATTTGGAAAGCCTTTAAGAAACAGATAAATTTCTGGACATGTACAACCTACCAAAATTGAACCATGAAGAAACAGAAAACCTGAACAGACCAATGATGACTAATGAGATTGAATCAATAATAAAAAGCCTCCCATCAAAGAAAAGCCCAGGACCTGATGGATTCCCTACCAAATTCCATCAAACATTTAAAGAACTAATACCAATACTACTCAAACTATTAAAAAAAATTAAGGAGAAGAAAAGACCAGGTGACACTTGAACCACACAGGTTTGAACTGCATGGGCCCACTTATAAGCAGATTTTTCTTCTGCCTCTGCCACCCTTAAGACAGCAAGACCAACCTCTCCTCTTTCTCCTTCTCCTTAGCCTACTCAATTTGAAGACAGTGAGGATGAAAACTTTTATGATGATGCACTTCTACTTAGTGAGCAGTAAATAATCTTCTCTTTCTTATGATTTTAATAACATTTTCTTTTTTCTCGCTTACTTCATTGTAAGAATACAGTATGTAATACATGTAATATATAAAATATGTGTTAATGGACTGTTTATGTTATCAGTAAGGCATCTGATCAACCAGTTATTAGTAGTTAAGTTTTGGGGAGTCAAATGCTATTTGTAGATTTTTTTACTGTGTGTGTCACCAGCACTCCTAACCCCCATGTTGTTCAAGGGTCATTTGTACTTTCAAACTCATTCTATAAGGTCTGGTACCAAAGCCAGACATAGACACAACAAAAAAAGAAAACTACCGGCCAACATCCCCAGTGAACATAGATGGAGAAATCCTCAACAAAACACTAAAAAACCAAATTCAACAATGCTTTAAAAAGATCATTCACAACAAGGAGAACACATGGACACAGGGAGGGAAACAACACACACCGGGGCCTGTTGGAGGTGGAGGGCCGGTGGAGGGAGAGCATCAAGAAAAATAGCTAATGCATGTGGGGCTTCATACCTAGGTGATGGGTTGATAGGTGCAGCAAACCACCATGGCACACATTTACCTATGTAACAAACCTGCACATCCTGCACATATACCCTGGAAATTACAATTTAAAAAAAATACAATCAGGAAAAAAAAAGAAAGGTCATTCACCATGACCTAGTGGGATTCATCCCAGGGATGCAAGAATGGTTCAACATACACAAATCAATAAACATGAAACATGCAGGACAAGGATGCCCACTCTCACAACTTTTATTCAACATAATACTGGAAGTCCTAGCCAGAGTAATTTGGCAAAAGAGAGAAATCAAAGACATCAGAATTGGAAAGGAAGAAGTCAAATTAGCCTTTTTTGCAGATGATGTGATCTTATAGCTAGGAAAACCTAAAGATTCCATAAAAAAACTGTGAGAATTTATAAATGAATTCAGTAAAGTTACAGGTCACAAACCAGCATGCAAAAATCAGTAGCATTTCTATAGCAAACAGTGAAAAATCTAAAAAAAATTCAAAAAAGTAATCCCATTTACAGTAGCTACAAAAAATATGAAACACCTAGGAATAATTTAAACCAAAGATGTGAAAGATTTCTACAAGGAAAACTATAAAACACTGATGAAAAAATTGGAGAGGACACAAAAAATGGAATGATATTCCATGCTCATGGATTGGAAGAATTAATACTGTTAAAATATGAATACTACCCAAGAAATTTACAGATTTAGTGCAATCTCTATCAAAATGATATTCTTCACAAAAATAGAAAAAAAATTCTAAAATTCCTATAGAACCACAAGAGACACTGAATAGCCCAAACAATCCTGAGCAAAAAGAACAAAGCTGGAGGTATTACATACACCACCTGACTTCAAAATATACTACAAAACGGTAGTAACCAAAACAGCATGATACTGGCCTGAAAACAGACACACAGACCAGTGGAACAGAACTGAAAACCCTGAAATAAATCCATGCATTTACAGCCAATTTATTTTCGACAAAGACTCCAAGAACCTACATTGGAGAAAGGACAGTCTCTTCAATAAATGATGCTAGAAAAACTGGATAACCATATGCAGAAGATTAAAGCTAGACCCCTATATCTCACCATATACAAAATCAAATCAAAGTACATTATTATCAACAAGACAAAAAATAATGGATTCCGGCAAGAATGTGGAGAAAAAGGAACGCTTGTGCACTGTTGGTGGGAATGCAAATTAGCCACTATGGAAAACAGTATGGAAGTTCCTCAGAAGACTAAAAATAGAACTATTAGGCTGATAGAACCATTAACAGTAATGGCAAAAACCACAATTACTTTTGCACCAACCTAATACCGTATGATCCAGCAATCTCACTATTGAGTGCATATCAAAAAGAAAGGAGACCAATACATTGAAGAGATATCTGCACTTGCATGCCTGTTGCAGCACTATTCACAATAGCCAAGATATGGAATCACCCTAAGTGCCTATTAACAGATAAGTGAATAAAGAAAAGTGTGGTATGTATATACACAATGGAATATTATTCAGCCATAAAAAGTAATGAAATCCTGTCATTTGCAGACATGAATGGAACAGGAGGTCATTATGTTAAATGAAATAAGCCAGCACAGAAAAACAAAAATCACATATTCTCACTTGTACGTGGGAGCTAAAAAAGTGGATCTCCTGAAGATACAGAATAGATTGGTGGTTACCAGAGGACTGGAAGGGCAGGTGGGTGAGGGGAAATGAAGAGAGATTGATTAATGGGTAGAAAAATACAGTTCTATAGAAGGAATAAGATCTAGTGTTTAATAGTTCAATAAAGTGAGTATAGTTAACAATAATCAATTGTATATTTCTAAATAGCTAAAAGAGTAGGATTTGAATGTTCCCAGCATAAAGAAAAGATAAATATTTGAGATGATGGATAGTCCAATTACCCTAATTTGATCATTACACATTACATAAATATATCCAAATATCACGTATACCCTGAAAATATGTATATCTATTATGCATTCATTTTTAAAAATAAATAGTACTACATTTTACAAAACAAAAAAAGTAATATTAAATGGCAGTAGAGTTTCATAAATTTTTCCCCTAAGATCTCCAGATTGTTTGGTGTATATGGATAGGTAGGTACATGATGATATGTCAGTATTTCTCTGTTCAACACCCGTAAAATACACATGGATATAGAATGTAATGATAAAAACAATTGTTATGTCCAGTTTTCTACTTTAAAAATTAAATTAGAAGTCAAAAGATTTAATCTAGTACAGTCTAAGTTTAACATGAAATTTTACTTTAGAATCAGTTGGGATTCAACAACTTCTATTTAATTAGAGTTCCATTTTATTTAATTCAGTCTACATTTACTGAACACCTATGCTGTGCCACACACCAGAAACTTAGGCAATGGCTAAACACAGTTTGTTCATGCTAAAGTCTTACTAGCTTACACTGATACCATACAAAGATAGAATTACATGCTTTTAACTTTATTTTAGTGTTACTTTGTAGTTTACATGTACTCAGCTCAAATGAATGAAGTTTGTATTAATTTTTTCAGCAATACAGTTTGAATAGTATAAAGAGAATAACGTCTGTTTTGTATTCAATGTGACTTTCTTCAGTTTGCTTTTTTTTTGAGTGTGTCTTCACTTGGCATTACATATTCTATTGAAATTGTACACCATTGAGAGATATATGGATTCAGTTTTTAAAAGAATGTTGTCTTCTGTTCACTGGCTGGAAACCATTTTTAAAAATCCAAAATCTATCACCCTAAATCAAAGAAATGTTTGCAATTGAATATATTTTCCACTATATCACTGGTTAAGATATTACCTACTCATTTTAAAATTTATTTTTTATGATTTCATTTTGTTGCACTATACCAATGTAGAAATCATTGACTTATCTGATCAAAACCATATTTGTATCTTTAGGAGATGCTTGGCATATTTCTAGGAGTGACTATTTAGTAACTGAAACCAGAATTAGAGCAAGAGACATCATCATGCATTCAATTCCTGACCGAATGTTTCTCTTACCATTGTCATATAAATTTTTTTTTTTTTGGATATTGTCATTTTAAATATTTATATTCTAAAATCTACAAAGAAAAATAAATAGCACTCTAAAAATTTATGTGCAGTTATTTTAATTGGCAGAGCCAATGGAGTGGATCAAGTAGAAGGAAACTTAATGATTGTAATACATTTCATTTTGTGGATCCCTTTGAAATAATTTGTCCTACAGTCATGACCATCATATATTTTATGTTACCCTGAAGCTATCAGTGTTTGCATTATAATAAAGAACACTGGGGAAACACTTATTAAAGAGGAAGACCTGTCACTTTTAAACGCATCTACTGAATCCTAAAAGCATCGTAAAACCCTGTTCACTTTCCCATTCTAACGTGAGGCAAGCTGTATTCTAAATTATTTTTTGGCCAATACATTCAATTTCTTTCTTATTAACAACTAACCTCAAGTACGAGCTTGGGCGCCCAAATGAGCGTGGCCCTCTCCCGAGACTCTGTTTGGGAAAGCTCTGTGCATATTGTAATTGTGCTTTTGTTGCCCTCAGAACATGGGGTTCCTCTTTGGGAATTGCTGTCAAAGCCAAAGTGAGCAAAGAATCTAAATGAAATGCTCTTTGATGATCACACTTTCATTTCAAAATGAAATGAAACTATGTAGTCTAGCTTGGTCATGTGCATTATTCATCATATTTGCTGCAGATGATCTTTGATTATTTTTATTTAAAAAAATATTATTCTCAAAAAATACATTTGCTGTGATTTGTGGGATTTTGTTTGGCTTTGGTTTTGTTTTGTTACACTTTTTAAATGCAAAAGGGCTGTTCCCTACATGTCCTGGGAAGGAAGCAGCACCTTGGAAACGAGTGTGAGTTTCCAGGCACCAGCTTTGAAGGCCTGCTCCCCTGCATTGAGGGAGAACCAGGCATGGGATTGGGGGACAGTTGGGAGTGTGCGCTTCCCAGGCAGACAGAGCTAGGCTCAAAGCCCAGCTCTGCAGTTTGCCAATGGAAGGATTTTGAGTGACATACTTAACCAGTGAGCCTCAGTTTCTTCTTCTGTAGGGGCTGGAGAGTGCTACCTATTTCACAGAGATGCTGTTAGGAGGCCCTTATGACAGATTGAAGGAAAATGGTCTAGCCTGGAGCTTGGGATAGGATATGCCATTATGGAATGCTGGCTGATATTAATTATCTTGAAAAATTATAGTATGTTGTCACGATATCTGACTGATTTTATACAGTGGAAAACTATCAACAACTATAACTTTTCATGCAACAAAACACAAACTATTCAAAATAAATAGATTGTTGTGTAAAATACATGTGCAACTGAGTTTCAACTATAAAACGTCCTGGCCTTTGTCATCATATACTGCTGAAGTTATGAACTGAAAATGTAGTCTGTTAAAAATATGATCCTGTAAAGCAAAGGGTTTGGAGTAGCCCATAGGGTTTAAATCTCACCTGCGTCTACCATAGCTAGCTGCAGGGGGGAATTGTGGAGGCAAAAATGGTGCTACCTGTGCACACAGCTTGTGTTGTTGCACCAGCAAAAAGTTTGCAAACACAAGCAGTGCATCCTATACAACTGTGTCTTCAGGGCCATCAGACACCTGAGTGAGGAGATTAGAATTTCAAGAAGGACGCCTGGAAGCATCTGTGGTTTCAAAAGGCCACTCTAGGAGGCTTTGGGGAAAAAAAGGAAAAGTCACCATTTTCTTTTCTATTACGTGGGATTTTGCAATCTAGTTACTTGGGAACCTCTGGTTTTATTTTTAGTTTTTTCTTTGTATTGGGATGCAGTTTTATTCTTGTCTCAGGTCTCCAGATCATCAGAGACTAAATGATGAAAATAATTCTCTTCCTTACCCTCCTGTTTGTCCCCTGAGCCCAGGAATCTTTTGTCTACATTCTAGGGCAGGACATCTGTGTTTACTTATCTAATATGAGGGCTCATTGCAAAGTGCTCTAATGCATCAGATTAAAGCCGTTAAGGTCAAGAACCCTGGAGCCAACCTGCCTGGGTTCAGATTCCAATCCGACTGTTTTCTAGCTGTGTGAACTTGGGCTGGCACCTTGACCCCTTTGTGTCACAGTTTCTATACATGCAAAATGGAGGTAGTAATAACGCCTAGCTCATAGATTTGTGTTAAGCATTAAAGAAACTGCTGTCTGTAAGGGATTTAAACTAGTGTCTGGCAGTAGTAGCATGCAGTAAGCACTACGTAAGTGTTAGCTATTAATTTTTTAAATAGCTTATAATCATGCATTTAGATGCTCACATCATTCATAATTCAAAAGTCCTTCTTAAATTGCCATCTTTTACCTATTTAAGTTAGCAAATATCAAAAAAGTTAACGTTACAGTGTTGGCAAGGTATAGAAGCACAGATATTGTCATGCACTTCTTGTGAGGGGAGAGTAAATAGTCCAACCTCTTTGCAAGGTAGTTCAGCAGTATTACAATTACAAATGCACATTTTTTATAAAAGTATGGTCTATAGTACCCAAAAGTGTTTTTTTTTAAGTCAGAGGAAACCTATCAGCAGAGAGAGACAGCAAAGCACGGAGAGTAAGAACAGAGACTCCAGAAATAGATGCCTCAGGCCAAAGCCCCAGCCACTTCCTGGCTGTGTGACCCTGGACAAGTTCCTTGACTTCTGTGTACCTCGATTTTCTCATATATAAGATGAAGATAGTAATGCTACCTAGTAGCATAAGGCTGTGTTGAGAAGTAAGGGAGTTAATACTTTTCAACCACTTAAAATAGTGCCTAGCAAACCATAAATGCCATCAAAGTGTTTAATATATTTTTAAAGAAAGTAGTGCACAAAAGTAACAGATGAAAAGCCCACCACTATTTAATTATAAGCACAACTAGACCTCTTATAACCCAGTTCCTAATAAAGCAATTTTTTTATATACTAAAATTTTTTTTAGAAATTAGGCTTAACAGGCTAGAACATTTTTTATTCTTTAATAGTTTTGTGCCCACTAAAATTGTTGCATCTGAGATAAAGATTTACCATAACTTTACTCTGAGCAGAGGGCAAAAGCAAACCATCAGCTCTAGCTATCTGTACTATCTTTTTTCACTTCTCCTGCTGGGTTCATCTTTATGAGTAGGTATATTGTATAAACACAGATACATAAATATAGATATATTACTCTGAAATGAAATGATGAAACAAAATGGCTGATTTTAACAAACTAAAGAACACCTCCCTCTTCGCATGATCTTGAAATGAACCGACTGAGGAGCGGTGCATTCCGCAGCGTGAGGTCTTCCATGTGCAAAATTAGACCCAGGGCATGTGGCGAGCCCAATGATCTGACCGAACACGCGCCTCTAAGTGCTTCCTAATGAACACTGAGGTGTCCAGGGGGGCCGTGGTGCTCATCAATCTCTGCATTGACGATGGCGAGAAATTTCACAGGATGGTCATTTGCTGGGAATAGATGTCTACCCTGCTCCTTCTTCACCTTTGGTAACAACAAAGCGCCACGAAGAGCACACTCCGGCAAGACAGCGAGCTGCCCCAGAAAGTTAACAGCATTCAGTCACTTATTTGCAAGTATATTTGCAGCTGATAAATTGAGCAGACTTTCATTTGGACAAATGTCCATTTTCTCTTACTAATTTGAAGAAGGATTTTTAAAGACAAAGCCCATCAAACATTAGATAAGCATTTTAAGTTAATGGACCATGTAGTCCTATTTCCCCGCAAACTCAGGAGGCATCACATTATGTCCTATTTTTACAGCAACATCAATTATTAATATGTATATTTTTGCTGACGGAGGACCTTGCTATAAATGTAGGTTTCGTTATCCAGTTCTGGGTCATTAACTATGGAAAGCTTGTAAATATAATGGTTTATTCACATGGGAAGCCTTCATTAAGATGCATTATTCTACAGCTGATGTATTTCAATATATAGCATACTATCGTGTTCTCTATCTTCCTTTAATATTTGTAATTTATTTTTAAATGAGTTGCTGTTTATGCAGTGAGTTAACAAATTTGAATTCCACATGACCAAAGTTGCTAAAGAGGAAAAGATGTTTTAGCCCAAAGGAAAAGCTGCTCATTAACATAGGACCTAAATATGTTATAACCTTTAAATTCAAAAGCAACCGGAGAAAGGAGCCACAAATTACCCAAATGTATTTTTGTCAGAGAAAGTCTATATCAAGAAACATGCATGAATACACACATACTAACAGCACAGCATGGTGTAATAGGAGAAACACAGCACTAAAGGAGCCGGGAAGCCTCACTGCTGGATTCTTCATTAACATGGAATGACGGGAAAGTCACTGAGTTCTGAACCTCTGTTTCCTCATCTGTTAAGTGGGATAGTCATGTCTTCATTCTTACCTCAAATAACAGATGTGTGACCAACATGGTGAAACCCTGTCTCTACTAAAAATACAAAAATTAGCTGGGCATGGTGGTGCACTCCTATAGTCCCAGCTACTCAGGAGGCTGAGGCAGGAGAATCACTTGAACTCGGGAGATGGAGGTTGCAGTGAGCTGAGATCGCGCCACTGCACTCCAGCCTGGGCAACAGAGTGAGACTCCGTCTCAAAAACTAAATAAATAAATAAAAGTAAAATAAAAATAGATGTGGACATGAATAAAGAAACGCGGTACAGGAATATGTAAGATGGGAACCATGCCAAGGGGCTATCAGGAAAATCCAATGACAGCTGAGTGTTTTGTTGCACTCATGGATTGTGGAAGTGTTAGGAAGTTTCTTGGACACTTCGTATAGGGCTGTTGACAAGACACAAATCAAAGTCACCTGCTCATTCATTCATTTTTAGGGATGAAAGGAGAAAAGACTCAGGTAAAATATAGTTTGTCTGTAAACATCTATGAAGGAAATCTTCAAATAGCAACAGGAACAACGTAATTTGGAGAAAAGCAACATCAGATGATACATTATACAGTAGATAATTGTGACATTATTAATACAAGACTTCAAAACAATTTTACACTTTCATCAGAGGCAAAAAGAAATTTGAGTCATTTATTGCAGATATCCATTTTAACATCTCCGTGAAAACTAAATTAGCCATTGGAGAGATTAAAGTCTCTATATGAATTTATGCTTCTGTCTTACACACTTAAGATGTAAGCACGAGGAATGAAAAACATTACCTGGACGACATAAGAATTGGATATTTTTAATGATTATATAAAGGAAATTCCTACTGTTCAGTTTTGACACAAAATACATAATATAAAGAAAAGTCATGCTTTTGAGTACCTTTATTGGGGCAATTAATGATCATTTGTTTTTAACATTGTTCTTTAAAATGATTCTGTAATTCTCATTCCATATTCGCTTTTATATTACTTTAAAAAGTAATTTTTAGGGGTTTTTTTCTAGCATCATAAAAGTTGTATGTTCTCAGCCGGGCATGGTCGTTCACCCCTGTGATCCCATCACTTTAAGAGGCAGAGACAGGCGAGTTGCCTGAGTCTAGGAGTTCAAGACCAGCCTAGGCAACATGGCAAGACCCCATCTCTACAAAAAGTACAAAAAATTACCCAGGTGTGGTGGTGTGCACCTGTACTCCCGCTACTTGGGAGGCTGAGGTGGGAGGACCACTTGGGCCCGGGAGGCAGAGGTTCAGCTGAGATTGTGCCATTGTACTCCAGACTGGGTGACAGAGTGAGACCTTGTCTCCAAAAAAGAAAAGTTATATGTTCTCATTTTACTAAACTTAGAAAATTGGCTCAAATTCCTTAGGATTTTCTAATGCATATATTTACAAAGTATGATATATGTGGTTTCCTTTTCTCTTTTAACTGATTTTATGGGGTGAGTGGACACTGTATTTTAATGACATCTTCATTGTGAAATCCCTTCCACCTCCAGAGGTTCATAGGTATTTCTTAGAGAGTGTGTGTATATGTGTGTGTACATTTGTGTTACATTTAACTAATTCGTTTAAAATTTATTTTAGTTTATGACATGAATTGAATCTTTAAGATAATGTTTTTTTCCAAGTAATTGATCTAAGTTTATAGTTTTGCTAATGTCTTTTCTAAACAGGGTCTTGAATGTTGCCATATTCTTGTTTCACAGCTTTCAAAATGGACTTTAATGTTGTTCTCTTACCCTTGGACATTTCTTTACTCCAGAGCTCCCTAGTATTCCTGGATTTCACCCACTTAGCTATTGGTGCAGGCTGCCCTAATGACCAGAAGCACAACAGTGTTCGCCATAGTGACCACAAAAAATAAGGAAGGCACAAGTATAAAATAAGAAACTATTCTGGGAATATAAGAGTATGCCAAAAATTAAAACAATAACCACTGCAAAATTTAAATAATCCAAATGATACACGTAACTGAAAGTCAAATTGTTTCTGGAAGATAAAGCTAAAGAAATCTCCTATTTGCACCATACCATAGTGATTTTTTTTCTCCTATTTGCACTATCACCTAGTGCAAATAGACAAATGGAAAATATAAAAGCTCAGAGTCATGAAAGATCAATCTGGTGCTCTGGCATTTATCTAATGTTTATTGCAGACAAGGAAATGGAGAAAAAGAAATAATAGAAAGAAAACTTGAAGAGTTGAAGGCAATTCTTTATATTGTATAGACCTACCAAAGGAGAATACAATGAATGAAGAAATGCCTACACCTACATACATTTTGATGGACTTTCAAAACTCTTGAGAGTAAAGCATTATAAACACTTTCAGGGAGGAAACAGCTTATTTGCAAAGGAACAACAATTAAATTTGCAAAAAAGGAACTGGAAACTCTACATATTAGAAGTAGAATTCCTCAAGGGAACTACCAAAATGCCATTCAAGTGGGAGGGGCCAAATGAAGACATCTTTAGAAATGCTAGTCCTTATAATATTTATGGCTGTACATATTCATTCTGAAAGTTACACTCAAGGACATACTTCAGCAAAATGAAAACTGAATACAAAAAAGAAGAAAAGGGTTATATGGTTTGGATGTTTGTCCCCTCCAAATCTCATGCTGAAATGTGATTCCCAGTGTTGGAGGTGGAGCCTAGTGGGAGGTGATGGATCTTGGGGGCAGATCTCTCATGAATGGCTTAGCACCATCCCCTTGGTGATGAGTGAATTCTCTCAGTTCACACAAGATCTGGTTGTTTATACAAGTCTGGGACCTCCCCTTCTTTATCTCTTGCTCCCTTTCACCACGTGAGACACTGGCTCCCTGTCACCTTCCATCATGATTGTAAGCTTCCTGAGGCCTCGCCAGAAGCCAAGCAGATGCTGGCACCATGCTTCTCATACAGCCTGCAGAACTGTGAGCCAAAATAAACTTCTTTTCCTTATAAATTACCCACCCTCCAGTATTCTTTTACGGCAGTGCAAAAATGGACTAATGCAAAGGGTAAACAGAGAAACCAGAACATCTCATAATTAAATGTAAACATATCTTGCTTTTCAAAATTAATTGCAGTCTATGATATTATAAAACGAGAGGTTGTGGGAAGAAAAGTGAACACATGCGTAGGTCCTATACTTGTTCAAAGAAGCTCTAGATTATGATAAATTCTAGACAGATAGAAATGTAGATGTTAAGTAACATGTTAAAATTTTAAGATAACCAGTAGAAGATTAAAATAAGATGTATAATTTTTAAACCACTGCATGACAAGAATGAACAAAACTACATAAATCCAACAGAAGGTAGGAAAGGAAGAAAAAAAAAACAAGAAAGTGTGTTAGATAAAAAACTTGAGAAGATTATCTCCAAATGTTTCTTCTGTACAATGAATAAAATTTTTCTTTTCTATAATTCTCAGATTGAGTTTTTTTAATCCAGATCTATGTTGTTGACAGGAGAGAAACCTCAAACATACTGAAGCTGAAAACTTCAAAACAAAAGAACATAAAGCATTATGTCAGGGACTTTGGATTAAATACACTGAGTAAATGCACTCAGTTAGCTTTGCTTCCTCTGGATGCTTGTATTTCTTATTTGCCTTTGCTAGACACTATGGAAGATATTAACACATTTGTTCAGTTTCTGATATTTTTACCAACTCTGTAACTTTTATGACCTCAAACCTTGTTGCTTGTATATATTTTCAGAATCCACCTCCTCTCTTTAATGAAGTCAGTGCTACAGTAATCCAGGCTGAAAAGGTGGACCGCCTGCGGAATGAGGTGCAGATAAAGCATGAAGAGGACTACAGGGAAGCCCTGGTTACCATCAAGAATGACCTAAAGTTGATAGAAGGCGTGGATATCAAGGAGAACCTTCAAGACCAGATCCGGCATTGGTTCATCGAATGCAGGTGAACATGAGCTACATCGTGACATATCCAGTCTGTTCTTTAGTGGCTGAGGTTATTGTATGTTTTTAAGCACAGAAGCATATTGATATAGAGTCATGAGGTTTCTCGGCTTCGTTTTAGAAACGTGAAATGCCAAGGCTAAGAATTCAGAAATTAATTTTTTTAAATATGGAAAAACGGCCCACATAGTGCCTATGTGACCACATGGCTTGGAATATAATGGGTGCATGACATAGCCCAAGGATGGCAGGACTTCACAGGCCAGGTCTGTCCAAAAGTCAGGGGACCCAGAAATAACCTTCCCTTCTGGCATCTAGCCAGCCTCTCTACTTGTAAGAAGCTTGAGATTCTCAATCATGGTCCCTCTCGGTCATAATCCTTTGAGGCAGCTGCTGATTCCTGGGACTAGACACCTGGCCACCAGGTCTCCTTGAATGATGGTGTGTTAGGTGGTTCTTGCATTGCTATAAAGAAATATCTGAGGCTGGATAATTTCTAAGGAAAAGAAACTTAATTGGCTCAAGGCTCTACAAGCTTTACAGGAAGCATGATGCTGGTATCTGCTCCTGTTTGCCTCAGGGAGCTTTAACTCAACTCACGGCAGAAGGTGATGCAGGAGAAGGCACGTCAAATGGCAAGAGCAAGAGCCAAAGAGAGAGTGCGGGGTTGGCGGCAGGGGGTGGTGCCACATACTTTTAAACAACCAGATCTTGCAAGAACTCACTCACTATAGCAAGGACAGCACCAGGCCATGAGGGATCCACCCCCATGACCCAGACACCTCCCACCAGGCTCCACCTCCAACACTGGGGATCACATTTCAACATGAGATTTGGAGGGGGCATCCAAACTTTATCAGATGGGTAGATAGGTAGTTTTGGAGACAAGGCTCCAGGCGTATTCATATTTAAGGGTGTTCTTTAATGTTCTTAAATGAAATGTTAAATGAGTTAAAACTTGTTTACAAAAGATGGTTTGTAAAAGGTATTCATCAGAGAATTTTTCTACACAGCAGAACACTTTGATGGTAACCTAATTAGAAGAGATTTTAAATCAATTTTATTTCAAGAAGGGAAGAAAAGAGGGCAGATTGTTATGATCAGTCCCAGGAGCCATAGAAGGCAAGCTTGCCCATCTGTTTTCTTGATGGGGTATTGCATCATATCACTTCAGGTCTCAAGATGCTCTGACGCCAACTGTGGTTAGGACCAGAGAATTTAAATGTTGGCAATAGAAAAATCAAACTTTCTCTCAAAAAGATTCTATTAAAAGATATCTGTGGCAGGCAGCCTCTAAGCTGGCCTCCAGTGATCCCTCCCCTGAAGTGTGAGCTATACCTAGTAACACTTCCAAAGACAAGGATACGGCTAGAGTGATGGGATATCACTTTCATCCTGCTCACCTTTCCTGCTCTCTCATTTGCCTTCTCCCTTGCTGGCTCAGAGTCAGCGACCATTGTGTCAGCTGCCCAGTGGAGAGGCCCACAAGGCAGGGAGCTGGAGGAGGCTCCCAGGCAACAGCCAGTGAGAAGCTGAGGGCCCCCTCCAGCAGCCTGAGAACTAAGTGCTGCCCACCAACCACAGGCATAGACTTGGAAGTGGATCCCCTCGACCCAGGTGAGCCATCAGATGAGACCACAGTCTTCGCCAGCACTTTCATGGCAGCCTTGTGAGAGACCTTGAAGCAGAGGCGCCCAGCTGAGCCACATCTGGTTCCCCACCCAGAAACCATGACACAATATGTGTTTGTTGTTTCAAGCTGCTAAGGCTCGGAGTGACTTGTTATGCAGCAATAGATATCTAATACATATCAATTACTTTTACAGTGATTTACAAAAACCTAAACTACTATAAACTTCTTGTGTTAACTTTATGTGGGATCCTAATACACTATCTCCTCAATAATACTTCAATTTTATATCAAAGTTTCTTTACGAATGTTTGCTTCAATGACATGTTTTTGACTGAGAGTTCCATCTTTTCCTACAATACAATTTTAAAAGTGATGACTTTTAAAAATTCAGAATTGATTACATTTGTGAGGTTTTCTTTCCATGTCTTATTTATCAGGTATATTTTATAGCAAAATGGGATATTTTGAATGAAGGGGTATTTAAAATGAGGAATTTGATGTTGTGTAAATTCTGTACTGTTAGTGATGAATGGAGACAGAGGGCTGCTGTTAATTGAGCAGACAGTATTGATGTGCACATACCCCTCTTTCTCCATCCCTTTTCTCCTTGCTTTCTGGGGATGGTTTCATGAGAGCATACATTTGTCAAAACTTATAAAATTCTATCCTTGAAATATGATCAGTTTATTATATATCACTCAGGCCTTCATAAAGCTGTTAGAAATATATCATAGTAATGTTAGTATATCAGCAAAAATGCCAATGCTTTCGTTCTTTAAAATACCATATTCTGTTACCCAGAATACCAAAACCCAGTTTTCCCGTGCTACCATCGTTCTCAGACTCCCACTCCTGCTCGTGGTATAAGACTTGCATCTTCACCAAAAATGGCTCACAGTAAAAAAGACAATAAATAAATAATTTTAAAAAGCAGTGGGGGAGGGAAGACTTGCATTTGCCAATTATAGGTGACTCTGTCTCTTCTGATTTAAAGTAGTCTCTTTCATGTTAACTGTCTCTCATGGGGAAATTTGAAGTCAATTTAAATGTCTCTCTTTCAAGAATCTTGCCCCATTTTTCTTCTCCTTACTGCATCTGACTGTAAAAGGAAATTACACCAACAGCTGTCGGCTGGGGCAAAGAGTGCCAGGCACACCGTTTCATACCCTGGTGGTTTTTTGTTTGTTTGTTTGTTTGTTTTTGAGGCAGGGTCTCGCTGTGTCACCCAGGCTGGAGTGCAGTGATGTGATCTCGGCTCACTGCAACCTCCGCCGCCCAAGTTTAAGCGATTCTTCTGCCTCAGCCTCCCGAGTAGCTGGGATTACAGGTGCATACCACTATACCAGCCTAATTTTATATTTTTAGTAGAGACAGGGTTTCACCATGTTGGCCAGACTGGTCTCAAACTCCTGACCTCAAGTGATCCACCCGCCTCGACCTCCCAAAGTTCTGGGATTACAGGCATGAGCCACCGCACCCGGCGCCTGGTGGGTTTCTACAGCCATGTGGTATGGCTGCACTGGTACGGCCCACCTGGTCTGTTGGGGACTTCCTTTGCAGCCCATGGTTTCTGCCACGTGTCCCCAGGCACTGGCCACCCACAATCCAAGCCTCTTGGGTCTGAGCCCGGCTCTGCTGGCTGCTGGTTCTCCCCCATGAGCATAGGTGGTACCAGGCCCAGGTCTCAGGGGCCTATCCAGCAGGTCCCCTCCATTTTGCTACCATCAGCCCCACACCATGCTGCCCAGGTGGGAAGATGAGCACCGCCTCGAAGTTCTCAGCCACCCCAGGGCTTCTGCTAGGGTCTCAACATTCACCCCGCTCTTTGACCGAGGCCCTTACAGGATGGGGCCCAAGGGCTCAGGGTCCCCACCCTCACTCCTCTCTTTCCTTCCCTCACCGTGCTGCCCCACTACTTTGTTGTTCAAGTTGATAGTGCTTTGTTATGAAAGCCCCCTGACTGTTCCCTCCCAGGTTCCTTCTGTCTCCTCCTTGAGCTCTGAGAGCCCCTCCACTTTGCTCCTCCAGGCAGTTTGGCACAATGATTAGGAATGCAAACTGGAGCCATTGCTTCCCACAAAATAGCTGTGTAAGCTTGGGCAAGTCATTTAGCTTCTCTGTGCGTCAGTTTCCTCATCTGTGATATAAGGACAAGAATTGTCCCTGTTTCATGGAGTTGTGAACAGATGAAGGGTGCTGAGACCTCAAAGTGTGGGCCACTGTCATTTCTCCAGGCTGTAACCACTGCTCACTCAGATGCCCCCTCTCTCATGTAAACTGCAAGTCCCATTAAGACTGTGCCTGGTACTAGGATGAAACTGGTATATAAATTTCATGAATAAGCAGTGAATGGTGCAAGCCAATGGTATTACAGTTTTTCATTCTTATTCAATTACATAATTGGGTCTGGAGAAAATATACTTGGGATGATTTTGTGCAGTTGCAATCATGGAAATGCAGGTAGAAAGGCATTGTTTCAAAAGAATTAAATCTTCTGATTAAATCACTTTGGTTTACACCTAAAACTTTCCTTTCCATAATTAACAAGGATTATATGCTGTGTGCTCAATGTTCATGAATTTCCCTTATCCGAAACTTTCCCCATTTTCTCGTGTGTCAGAGAATAGGTATTCAAAAATATATTTTCTGTAAATGAAATGATTCTTTAGTTTCATACAGCCAGGGTAAAATCTAATTTATTATTAAGTGGCAAAACCAAGTTGAAAGCACTATGTACAACTGTAACCCCAAATATGCTAAAATATATGTATTGTATATATTCACAAACACATTTAACTTACTAAATCTATGTTTGCAGTCCAGGCACGGTGGCTGACACCTGTAATCCCTATACTTTGAGAGGCTGAGGCAGGCAGATCACCTGAGGTCAGGAGTTCGAGACCAGCCTGGGCCAACATGGTGAAACCCCGTCTCTACTAAAAATACAAAAATTAGCTTGACATGGTGGCGGACGCCTGTAATCCCAGCTACTCGGGAGGTTGAAGTGAGAGGATTGCTTGAACCTGGGAGGTGGAGGTTGCAGTGAGCCGAGAATTCACCACTGTATTCCCTCCTGGAAGACAGAGCGAGACTCTGTCTCAAAAAATAAATAAATAAAATAAATATGTATTTGCAGATGGATGGAAATTTCAGGAAGGATACACTAGAAACTGTCAGCATGGCTACTTCTAGCCGCTAGAGTGGTGGGGTTACTTTTTGTTTCATATTTTTCTGTACTGTTTAAAGTAGAAAAAATAAGTGTTATTTTTATAATAGAAACCCTCATTAAAAAATATGAGGACAAAGAAAGGCCATCTATTTGGGTTGATTTTACATTTTTAAGACACCCTGATTTTAGAAACATCAATGAGTATAATACCTTGGGCACCCGTGGCAACCATCTTTTGACAAAAGGGCAAGGAGACGGGGCTGGCCGTGGATGTGAGTTGCTTCCCCACCTGAGGTCCTGGCAGGGTCATGGGAGACAGGAGCAGCTCTGGATATCATCCTGGGAGCACGCTCTCCGTTGTCCCAGCGTTTATGGACGCCCTTTGAAGATCCAGCCCTCACCGGCCTGTCCCTTGAGAACACTTTATCTGGTGTCCTTGACCTGACAGTTTGGAGTCCAGTTAGAGTCGTCCTCGTGGGTGTGCTGTGCAGACTTCACAAAGATGTAAAAATGCCTCTTTTTGAAGTAATGGAAGGTCAAGGGTGAATTTATTTTCCTTAATTGGATTACACTTATCTGATTGACTTTGATAAAATCCGTTTCCTTGCTTTTTTAAATCAAAGGCAAATAAAAAGCAAATATTGTTTTTTGAAACATGAAACACGGTCAGTCCTCAGGATAAATTCCAATAGGACACACAATGATGGCTCAACAAATTCTTAAAAGTTGCACTTAATATGCATTCCCACGATTTGGAATCCTTATGCTTATCTCATTGAGTCAGCACTTATAGTTGTCATAAGGGGTTGTTTTTTAAGTCAATTCTTACGTTATTGTATATGAAGTTTTTTTCCCAATGTTAAAAGTAATGTTCGTTGTAGAACATTCGCAAGATAGAGCTTAAAGAGGAAAATTAAAATCATCTGTGAGGATATAGAGATAGCTACCATGAAATTTTTTGATAAATTTCCTTCCAGTCCTTTTCTCTCATATATATACGTATATATGTATATATGTATATACATATATACGTATATACGTATGTATATACATATATACGTATATACGTATATACGTATGTATATACTTATATACGTATATATGTATACGTATACGTATATACGTATGTATACACATATATACGTATACATGTATACGTATACGTATACGTATACATGTATACATGTATACGTATACGTATACATATATACGTATACATATTTTTTAATTACAGTTTTAGGAATTCTTTCTCCAATTTGTAAAAATTTAACATTGAGATTTCGCTTGTCCTTAAAATATTCATCCAAGGAGAACTATCTTTGTTTTGATGGCCTCACTTTCGATTGCATGGATGCACTAGTTAATTAATTGATTATGATCTTTTTAAATATTTTACCAAATTGATAAAAGAAAAATGGTTTCTCAGTCATCTTTTAATTTGTATGTGTTGTATTAATAGGGAGGTTAAATAATCTTTTGGTTTCTTCGTTGCAAGCATTGTAAAATGCCCAGTCATTTATGGGCTTCCCTTTTGGGTGTTTTTTTCTTTTCTTTAAGTGATCTCTAAAATGTAGTTATATATGTATTACAGATGCTAAAGCTTTTTGAATTATTGTAATAGTGACTTCTCAGTTTATCATTTGCCTTTTTTTGTTTTTTGAGCCTCAGTCTTACTCTGTCGCCCAGGCTGGAGTGCGACGGTGCGATCTCGGCTGACTACAACCTCCAACTCCTGGGTTCAAGAAATTCTCTTGCTTCAGCCTCCCGAGTAGCCAGGATTACAGGCACCCGCCACCATGCCCAGCTAATTTTTGTATTTTTAGTAGAGACAGGGTTTCACCATGTTGGCCAGCTGGTCTCAAACTCCTGACCTCAGGTAATCCATCTGCCTCGGCCTCCCAAAGTGCTGGGATTACAGGCGTAAGCCACCATGCCTGGCCTTTTTTTTTCTAACTGACTTATAGGAAAGCCAGAAAGAGAGAGAAAGAAAGCAACAGTAAGAAAAATGATACTGTCCCCAGCAGCCCATTGCCCATTTTCTGCCAGCGAATGCCCCCTTGCTGGCTGGGAGCACCTGGGCATCACTTCTCTGATGCTGTGGGGTCAAATGAGGTGATGCCAATAAAATACTTGGGCCCCACAAATTACTTATTGGGGTTATGCATTTTATATGTACATTTGCTGTTTTGAATGAGGTTTTCTTCAAATATTTTCCTTATTATTGGTTGCATACTTGTATATAGTTTGTGCATCCCTAAGTGAATTCTCACATTAGTTCTTGTAGTTTTTTAGTTAATTCACTTGGATTTTACTTCCTGCCCCCACTCTGGTGTGTTTTCTCTTGCTTCACACTTAAGCTCTACAGGCCTAGAATTTTCTAGATTGTGTGATAGTTGTGTTTATTTTTCTTTGTACTGGATGAACAATTTGAAATAGCGATTTTTGTCAAATATTGCAATTTAAGGAACATGATTTGGGTTTGGAGATGCTTTAGTTGTTCATCAAGCAAACACTGATGCCCTCTACTTAAACCTTCGGCCCTACCTCCTACTCCCAGAGTCACAACTCAAGTGTGGGCTCCTTCCCTGTACCCCGCCCCTGGCCTCCTTTGTAATTAGAACCATTTTGGTGGTTGGACATGTTAGATGTGTATTCAACAATAATAATAATAATAGAGACTCACAATTACTGAGCACTCATTCTATAATTCTATACCAGGAATTTGAAGTGCTTTATACATTAACTAATTTAACCCTATTATTGGTTTGCTATTGAATTGTAACAAATGACACCAACTTGGTGGCTTAAAACAATAGAAATTTATTTTCTCCCAGTTCACAGGTCAGGAGACTGACATCAAGGTGCTGGCAGGGCTGTACTCCCTCCAGAAGCTCCCTTCCTTGCCTCTGCCAGCTTCTGGGGGCTTCCAGCATTCCTTGGCTTGTGGCCACATCGCTCTGTTCTCTGCTTCTGTGGTCACATCACCTTGTCCTCTTCTATGTGCGTCTAATCTCCTTCTACCTCTCTCTTATAGGACACTTAGGACTGCATTTAGGACATACTTGGCTAATCCACAATCATCTCCCCCTCTCATGGATCTTAATCACGCCTACAAAACCCCTTTTTCCATATATGATACCATTTACAGACCCTGGGGATTAGCACTCAGTATCTTTAGGGATCATTATTCAGTGTCTACTACAACTCTCAACAGCTCTATGAGATGAGCGCCATAATCGCTTTCATTCATGAATAGCGTTCATAATGAAGGAAGAAATTATAGACGTTTGTATTTGTCCAGACCAGGGCTGTGCAATAGGACTTTGCAGTGGTGGAAACGTGTTTGATGTTCAGTGTCTGGTGTGGTAGCCTCTGGCCACATGTGGCAACTGAACACTTGAAAGGTGGCTGGGGTGACTGAGGATCTGAATTTTTAATTTCATTTCATCTTATTTCATTTTAGTTTAAGCTTAGATGGCCCCTTGTTGCTAGTGGCTCCCATATTGGACAAAGCAGTCATGGGTACACTTGTTGTCAGAAAACATCTTGCTCTGATTGGTATTTCTCATGGCTTGAACTGCCGTCTAGGTCTCAGGATGTATCAATAAGCTTCATGTTAAAGTATCGTAAAGGGGTCTTGGTTGTAACTTCATCCAGCCCCTTGGTGTGATAACAGAGAAGCCTGAAGCCCAGGTGGGCTGCCTGGCCCACAGCCAGCCTTGGGACTGCGGGCTCCTGCCACTGAAGATGCAGCAGCCTCTCCTCATCTCCCCACGGGCTTTGGAGCCACCTGAGTGGCTGTCATCTCTGGACCCTGGGACTGATTCTAGGCCTCAGGATCTTTCCAATTGAAAATTCCAAATTGCACCATCGTGGAGCATTGCCATTTCTCCGCCACCTACGCTTGTTACTTAATTTGTTGAAAATATGCCTGACATCCAGCTCATTCTTCAGTGCAGAGGGAGGTAAACACCCACCCTCTACCCCACTCCCATCAGGTGCCAGCTCTGGCAGTGGCCGAGGGGCATTGCTAGTCTGATTTTAGCAGACTCCTTTTAACTCACGTAAGCTTGAGGAATCTGAAAGTGATGTAAATTAGGTAGCCACATTCCATCTTTTAAGCCAACACATAATCAGTCAGAAGTGAGGTGGCCTGGGAAAACTCGGGGGCTTGAGGTTATCGGGGTCCTCAGCAGGTGAGCCTGATTGAGGGTGTAGACCAGCCACCACTTTCAGTCTTGTGATGTGATGGTGTCTTCTGCATCTCTAATCAACAAATGCATTGCAAATGCCACACACATGCAGAGGGGCAGAGGCCCTAGAGCCAGGCTGCCTGGGTTCAAATCCCGGCTCTATCACTTGCGGGCTGCGTGACCTTGAGCCAGTTTCTTAACCTCTCTGTGCCTCTGTTTCCTCATCTTAAAAATGAGGTAGGGGTAGTAATAGTACCTACCTCATAGGTAGAGTAATATAGATTTGTAAGTATAAAGCCCTTAGAACAATATGTGGCACAAGATACACCCTCAGTAATCATGTTAAACCTATAGGAAGTCCATCAGATTCTCAGATAAATGACTTGCAATTTGGATGTTTCCCATATCCATAGTACCCCATATTTTTATTCTGGAGTCTGGGGCCTTTGTATTCACAGCTGTACACAGCTTCTGTGGCTCCCACAGTCAAAATGCTGCATTGCCGACCTACAAAAGGAGAGGCTGGCTGGTGGTGGAGGCGCGGAGAGCAAGGGCTGCCAGTGGTGGGGGTGGGCATGCAGCTGAGGGGATAATAACAGGGCAGACAAACTAAAAATTAAAAAAAAACAGCACGCAATGTGCTTGAGTCTCCAGGGCAGGTGAGCACCATGCCTCCAGATTGCCAGCAAATGCACATTCTTTCTGGAGGAGGTCTTGAAATGCTTCGTTATATTTTTGTTTTCATTTTAAAAATTAAGATACAGCTTAAATGCAGTAAAATTCTCCCCTTTCAGTGTACAGTTCTGCGAGTTCAGCTTTGTCGTTCGAAGGCTTGTGGGACCTGGGGAGACCTCCAGATTCCTTGTCTGTCATCTTCCCAGTAGATGCCAGTTGAATTTGAGAGCTAATCCACAAATAGCGAGAGCGACCATACTCGCTGTCCAGAGAGCTTCGGGCAATGGACAGAATGTCGCGTCTTCACGTTCCTCCCTCCACTCCAGCCTGATACTCTCCCTGCTAGTATCTCCGAGCTCTCAGGACTGCAGCACCTCCCATCACTAGTCACGACTTTAAAAGCTGGTCCTTTCTCTCAGATGAACTTGCATTTCTCTACTGCTCCTGCCAGGCAAGGGCACAGCACCAGGGGCTGCCCCAGGAAGCTGTCATGGGAACCCAAGGCTTAGACATGCTCAGTGGCTTTCTCAGGGCTCATGGCTCATAATAGGCGAGGCTGGAATTCATATTCAGGTTTCTGATTCCCACAACACCAAGTAGGTCTCCTCCTTCCGAACATGCCAGCAGGAATGTCCTTAGCCACGTGGTGCAGAGGAGTGGTAGGTGGTCAGCGTCATTTTGTTGGAAACAGATGGTGGTTGCACAAAGTCATGCAGCTCACTATGTGCCACCTAGGAACCTGGGTCTTTCCTAACTCCTAATTGCCTCTCTCCTACTTCTTAGCATCTTCATGCAGAGCATAGTGATGGTTCTGTGTAGTTAAAAGGAAAAGAGAAAAAGATGGAGGAGGGGAGAAAGAGAGAAGGAGAAGAATTGCGGGATTTGAGAAAGCTGGCTGTGGCTTGCCCCAATTATTTTACGGATGACAAAGCAGACTCAGAAAAGTCAGGTAACTTGGCTAAAAACCTGCCTAGTTACTGGCAGATTGAGAACTACAATCTGGGTGAGTAAAGACTTTTTGAAACACGAGCATTGTGTAAAACTAGAATTGTTTCTCAAGAGAAAGTTCAGAATTGTTCTCTCTGAGGACTTCTAAGGACATCAAAGGAAACCACCTGAAGGTTCACAATAGATATCTTCTGAGGACCATGGCTGTATGTATTCTTTCCCTTTATAGTCCAAGTTTTCTGCATGGAGCATGAATTACTTTCAGCATGAAAAAAGAGGTTTTAGAAAGACAGAGGGAGACTGATGGTCACATGCAGAGAGGTGAGTTAGAGGCTCATTATTTTGAATTCCTTGTGTAATTATATTTTTAGTAAATTCTCAGAAGCAGCTGTGATCTGTGGAGATGTGAACCATGTGTAGGTTACTCATATGAGAAGGAAAATAACTTTTTCTACTGTTTGCTTTGGTGGAAAAGATATTAGGTTGAACGGAGGAAGAGGTGGGATGAGAACTTAAGGTCCAGGCATTATTCACTGAGGCCTTAGGGACAGGTGCACAGCTCGCGTGAAATTACAGGTTTTGATGTCGGTCGTCACAGTAAATCAAGTTAAGAACATCCAGCAGCTCTAGGCTCTCTTGGTTTATCCGGGCACCAAGTCATGATGAAAGACAGATTCGGGGCTCTTTGGCAAATGCGCTGAATGGATTTTCTTTTTGTGGGCCCGCAGGCTGTCCCAGGTTGCACCCTTGGGTCCAGCATACCCTCTATTGTGCTTTTCTGTCCATCCCACTGGAATGCAAGTGATAAGCGAGCTCCCCACTGCTGCTGATGGGGCATGACCTGAAGAACCCATGGGCTAAGCAGTCACTGCTGCCCTCTGCATGCCATCCAGGGCAGAGAATCACTCTAAAGAGGGGAAGGACACCACTAAAAATATTAACACTGGGCCGGGCACGGTGGCTCATGCCTGTAATCCCAGCACTTTGGGAGGCCAAGACGGGTGGATCACCTGTGGTCAGGAGTTCGAGACCAGCCTGGCCAACATGATGAAACCCCCGTCTCTACTAAAAATACAAAAAATTAGCCAGGCATGGTGGCAGGCACCTGTAATCCCAGCTACTAAGGAGGCTTTGGCAGGAGAATCACTTGAACCCAGGAGGTGGAGGTTGCAGTGAGCTGAGATTGCACCACTGCACCCCAGCCTGGGCGACAGAGTGAGACTCCATCTCAAAAAAAAAAAAATTAAAATTGGTGCTATCCTGGGAAAGTGGAGGACCTCAAATCTACTGCATCTCTGCTGCAGTCACCGTAGCTGGGGAAGTAAGAGGACTTGGGAGTCATATTCTTTACAGTACTTAACGCATCTGCGGCAGAGGACAGAGCTGTTCTTTGGATATAGAGCCATTCGGTTTGTTCTAGCACGCTCTTAATTTCTGTGTCATTTGGAGATGTATGTCAACATGTATGTGTTGCTTTGAGCAGAAACAATCAGGCCTTTGTGTTTCATAAATATGATAGATATTCATTTAGCACTTGATCAAATAAGGCTGGGAGATCTTCAGAGTTTGCCTCTAGACCCTAAACTTGTCCTTTTCTTCAACTCACTCTTGTTGCTACTTGTAAAAGATTACTTCTTTTCAAAAGTAGTACATAAGAAGTGAATTCAAATGTAAATGACTGAACATTTTGCTAACCTTTCTCCTATGTCTGTTTTCCTAAGCTTTCTGGATTCCTGAGTTAGAAAAGGGAATGACCTGCTCCTATCAATGAGGAGGGGTTGCTGGGTGAATGATGGCGCAGGTTTTGAACGATGGGTCGGTGAAGAGAAAGGGATGACAGTGCCTTTAATGGGAAAATCTTTCTATCTCTTCCTAAGGTACTCTCTTCTTCTCTGGGTATTCATTTTTCTACACAAGTAAATATTGAAGAAAGGTGAAAATAAAGCATGCATCCCATTTTCTGAGTAGAAGAGTAACCAGAACCGAAATAGCCAATTGTGTGCTGAGTAATATATTGTTCCTTTTAATAAAATTTTTTTAAAAAAGGAAGTTGGATGGGGAGGTTCCTGTAGGATTCAAGCCTGAGGAGAATTCGAGATAATACTTTCCAATCAAGAAGGACACTTCGGTCTTGAGTGATAACTGCTAAGACTATCCCAGTAATAAGTAGAAACATCAATGAATAAATCAGATTTTGTAAGGTGCCGCTAAGAGGTTGCCTTGCTTCGCATAACACTTTTTCCTCCCCTCCTTTGAGAAATAGTGAGCCCCTCAGTTTCCCAAGGAGGGCCATGGTAATTAAGTCCATGTGCAGTCAATTGCCTTTATTGAGTGTAAGTGAATTTATAGGCAGCAACTGCCACCTTTGGAGGCTTCTGTGCAGTGGCACAAGCTGCTTTCTTTAGAACGCAGGAAAAATTTATGAGCCTGCTGACATTAATGGAGGTGGCTGGATGACTTGGGGGGGACCGGCTGGAAACCCCTCCATCCACATATTTTTCATACTTGATGAAACACAGATAAATCTCTGTCCTGTGAGTCTGAAATGTGAGGCCCGTTGAAGCTCAGTGTTGGACCTCAGGGGAAAGATTGATCATTGTAGTAGCTCTGCTTTCTAAATCACTGCAAACTCCAGAGATGGTCATTTTCACATTTGTGCAAGAATTTTTGACAATATGCATAAATTTTTAATAGGCCTTAACTTGACCAAATGCTCCATACCTCACATTTGCTAACTGAAAGATAGCAGGCATACGTGTTTCTCTTATCCAGCTTTTGCAAATAAAAGAATGTAAAGGCAGATGGCTATGTTGAATGTGTTTCTATTAAGAAAGTAACATTAATCATGGAATAAATTATGTAAAAAATTAACATTGCCCTCCCCAGCATTTGACACATGTAAATCAAAGAGTTTCCAGAGCTGAAAGGAACTGGAAATTGTCTACTAGGCATACATACTTATTTTTAAATAACTAAATGAATAAAGCTAGTTCAATTGCACCATTCTGCAGAGAGGAAAACTAACCAAGTTCCCACTGTGATACGATGATTTGCCCAAATCGCACAGCTAACTAATCAATGGCAGCTGCCCTGGGCTGCTTCCTTTCCAGTAAAATACAATTTTCATTATACATCTAGCCTCCCAACTGCTTCTTTATCGGGTGTAAAGCTTTATTTTAAAGTTTCTGATTGGAGCCTTCACACCCACAGCGTGGCGTCCTTGGCCAGTGGGCTCCACTGGGTTCCCCACCTGTGAGCCTTATCATTTTAAGTTCATACATAAAAGGCATTTGATAAAATTACTCGTCTTATTTTTAAAATTTTTAAATAGAAAAGATTAATTCACAGCATAATAACATGTAAGCTCGATTAAGACAGAGATTTTTATGTCTTCTGTTCACTGCCTTTTCCCAGAACAGTATCTGGCAAAAATAGTCTACAGGGATGTTATGAAGGAATGAATGAAAAACCAAGTATTTTTTAAACAAGGCAGCTATACTCATATATATCTATATATATATATATGTAAAGTGTTTTTGTTTTATTTTAAACAAGACAGCTATACTTTTTTATATATTTTTTAAACAAGACAGCTTAATGGAGAAATACTATAGGTCTTCCCAGGAAAGGAAAGGACAATGTAGATGACCTTTGCCCCTAATATAATTAGTGCCATAATATAAATTATTGGTAATACAATGACATGAAAAGGAAATAAAAATGAATACTTTAAAGAAAGTGGCAAAATGTATTTTTAACAATCAAGGATATGCTAAATATGGAAGAAAAGTATAAGAACCTTATGAAAATTGAAGTCTATGAGTGTTAAAAGGAAGAAATGAGAAAAGACTTGAATAAATGGAGAAATGGACTATGTTTCTGGTTAAATGGAAAGATGATAAATCTGCTCTAGGTAATTTATAGAGATAACGCAATTTCAATTAAAATCCCAACAGGATTATTTATTGAACTTGAAAACATAATTGTTAAAGTCATTAGGATTAAAATAAAATGAGAACAATAAGGAAGGACAAATGGCACTGGATAGTCAACTTTATTATAAAGAAAAACAAGGTAAATGCATCACACTGATACAAAAGCATAAACATACATCAGACAAAGTGGAGAGCCAGGAGCTGACAGAAATCGATGGAAATGAGTAATGTATGATAAATGAAGGTTAAAAACGTAGTAAGAATGGAAAATAACAGAGGTGCAGTAACTAGATTGCTTTAATTGTTAAAGCCAACAAATAGTAGAAAGCTGAATAGGCCGGGCATTGTGGCTCACGCCTATAATCCCAGCACTTTGGGAGGCTGAGGCGGGTGAGTCACGAGGTCAAGAGATCTAGACCATCCTGACCAACATGGTAAAACCCCGTCTCTACTAAAAATACAAAAATTAGCTGGGTGTGGTGGTGCACACCTGTAGTCCCAGGTACTCGGGAGGCTGACCCACGAGAATCACTTGAACCCCGGAGGTGGAGGTTGCAGTGAGCCGAGATTGCGCCACTGCACTCCAGCCTGGGCAACAGAGCGAGACCCCGTCTCAAAAAAAAAAAAAAAAAAAAAAAGAAAAGAAAAGAAAAAAGAAAGCCAAATAGAGAATGTAACTCCCCTAAAGACAGGTCACAATTTCCTAACTCTAGAAACAAAAATATTTTCAAAGAAAATTGGACCCATTCCACTGTAAAAATTATAAAGTCAATAATCAAACTCTAAAACTAAGACATAAAGCCAAACATGATATTTATTTTTATTATAAACCATTCTATTGTTTTATTTAATTACATAGTTCCTATTTGCTGTAGCAAGGACAATAATACTGAAATATATGTTTTTTAAATTAGCAGTCTTCCTCCCTCCAGTCGCATGCCTCCAAGCTAATCCAGGTGGACAGCTTCTCGCCTGTCTCTGAGCACCTGCAACTGTAAATACACACATAGGGGTTTCTCCTCCTGTCCCTTTTTCTTTCAACCAAAAGCAAAGTGGCAACTCATGTCTTTTCACAGCCTGGTTTTTCCTCTTATTATTTCAGGAAGTGAGCAGGCTTTGCCCAGTGTGCTTCCATCATCTGGCAAAACACTAGCTGGGGAGGGGAGGTGGTTCACATGTAAGGCGTCTCAATTTTCCCATTTAAAATAATGAGAAATAGGCCTCCAAGAGAGTGTTGCCTGCACAGAGCACCTGATTTTCAGAACAGATTGCTGCGGGGCTAGCAGAGATGCCTGTAAAGCCATAAACTAAACTGACATGAATTGAATAGAGTAGTAGTGTGCCACAGATCTAGCCAGGCCAGCAAGGCAGGCACACAGCCTCCGACAGTGCAAAGGAGGTTTCTCTGCCCCAGGGGAGTCCCAGCCCCCGCCTCCGGACTGTGGGGCTCGGGTGGAAAACCTTCCAGGTACGATAAGGAAATGGCAGCAACACGGCCTGAGTCACTCGGCTGCCAGGCAAACACCCCGTGGACAAAATAAAGTATTGCGGAGGCGGAGGCGAGAGAGTGGGCAGGTCTGGCTGGCCCTGGCTTCGTGACAGAATGGTGCCTTGGGCAGGTGCCTCCTACAGCAGAGTGATCCTTTTAAAACAGAAGACATGTCATGCCATGTGTTGGCTCAGAGTTCCCAGTTCTCTCGCTCAGAATGAAACCAGTACCCATACGGTTAGGTTCATCTATGTCCCAGTTTCCTAGTGTCAGGCCCAGTTTATGTTTGATTAATAACAGCACCCAGTGGGTGTAGTGGCTCATGCCTGTAATCTCAGCACTTTGGGAGGCCGAGGCAGGCGGATCATCTGAGGTCAGGAGTTCGAGACCAGCTTGGCCAACATGGTGAAACCCCATCTCTACTAAAAACACAAAAATTTGCCAGGCGTGGTGGCACGCACCTATAATCCCAGCTACTCGCGAGGCTGAGGTAGGAGAATCGTTTGAACCCGGGAGGCGGAGGTTGCAGTGAGCCGAGATCACACCACTGCACTCCAGCCTGGGTGACAGAGCGAGACTCCATCTCAGAAAAAAATAAAAAATAAAAAACTAACAGCGCCCTCTGTCATTCTTAAAGGTGCCCTGGTCTAGACATGAAATTCCATGGCTCCCCCACTTACAACAGTCTGCGTGATAGTCTCTGCCCCGACCACCAGCCTTGTCCCGCTGCCTTACAGCTGCTCTGCTCTCCTGGCTGCACCTTGGGCCCTCCGGAGGCCTCCTCCTCAGAGCCTGTGTCCTTGACTGAAAAATAATAATAATAAATACAGCCAGGCATGGTGGCTCATGCCTGTAATCCCGGCAATTTGGGAGGCCAAGGCAGGCAGATCACTTGAGCTCAGGAGTTCGAGACCAGCCTGGGCAACATGGTGAGACCCCGTATCTACTAAAAATACAAAAATTAGCCAGGCATGGTGATGTGCGCCTGTAGTCCCAGCTACTCAGGAGGCTGAGGCAGGAGAATCGCCTCTGCACTCCAGCCCGGGCGACAGAGTGAGTGAGACTCTGTCTCAAAAATAAGTAAATAATTAAAAATATACTAAGTGGCACATTCCTTCACTTGCTTTAAGGTTTTGCTCAAATGCCATCATATCAGAGAGGTCCTCCCTAGTTATGTTGTATAGTATAAGTTTTTCAATCAAATAAAATAATTTCCCTCTCATCTTACAGCCAGTGGTCTTACTGAGGTGTGTATCTTTGGGGTGGAGAAAAAGGGGGATGTTAAGCTTTGAGGGGATGATTATCTCAGTTTTTCTTTGCAGTTTGTAAAGTATTTTAATAGATGCAGAGATCTTTCCTAATTAAAACAATTTTAACACAAAATCCTCTGCAAAATCATTGTGTTAAATATGCTGCTTTTTTGCATAATAATTATTTAAATTGCAGCTTTCCCTCAATTATACTTCGAATCTTAATTCCAAAGCCACTTGATTATCTGCGAACTGTTTTGCTGATTTACAAAGTTGACATGCAGCATGTGCTACAATGTCATTCCTGAATCCACCCTCCCCCACCCTCCCCTGGCCAGCTTTCATTTGCTCTCAGATTGCCGCAACAGGCAAGGTCCAAGCCGACTCCTCGATTGGGCATCCAAACCACCAAATGGAACCAGCGATGCAGAAAATGGAACTCATCACGTGGTCACATGAAAAATATAACCTGGACTATCTGTGTGAGGACTCTCTCATTTCACCCAAATCTACAGAACAAAACAGAAGAGGAGAAACAAGAAAGGCAAAGGTCACCCAGGAACACAAAGTGCGGGAAGTGGATGCTGATTTGGTAAGACCGTTGTAGGTTTCTCAGGTATTTCCGAACCATTAGTCAACATTTGGTCACCTACAAGTGAATGCTGGTGCCTTTCTTAGGAATTACACTCCTCTGTAGGAGTGATCCTCTTAAAACGTAAGTCCCATCATGTGGCTGATGCTGTCATGGAGGAGATAAGGAAATCTGTAACACAGTGGCCCCCAACCTTTCTGGCACCAGGGACCTTTCTGTCCAGGTCTCTCTCCTCGCCAGCTCCCAGCGTCTCTTCACAGCATCTTCCCTTCATTTCTTCTTCTCACGAGGACACCAGCCCTACTGGATGGGGCCCTCCTACTCCAGCATGACCGCGTCTCTGCCAGTTCCTTCTGCAGTGATTCTGTTTCCAACCTGGTCGCATCCTGAGGTATTGGCAGCTTGGACGTCTGCATGTGACTATGAGGGGGCAGGGGATGCAGCACAGCCCATCATCCCTTGTGAGAGCTACTTTAATGGAGACAGGTCCCATGAAGAGTTCTTGAAGAGCCAGGCTGGGAAGGAGACAGAGATGAGAGAGTCACTGGAGGAGGCTGGGAGCTCAGGAAGCTGCGTGTTTGTTAAATGAGTGAGACCTGAGCATCCTGCAGATCTACGGGGGAGTGTCTGATTGGGATGAGGCACAGAAGGAGGAGAGGGTCCCCAGGAGCATGAGGTGGGAGATGCCAAGGGCCCAAGAGACCCCACGCCCAGCAGCCGCAGTCAGGGGAAGTGGCAAGACAGGTCCGAGGTGGACGAATCAGCTCTTGAAGGTGGTGGCTCCCCTCTGCCCTCTCCCTGGGACACATGGGCAGACAGTGCCTGAGGCCTGAGGAGTGTGTGGCTGGCAGTGCCTGTCCAGGGCCTGGAGCCCAGCATTTTGCGATTCCAGTTGTTTGAATGCTGTGGGTGCCCACACCGTGTGGCAGCCCTAAGCACAGAAGAGGGTTTTCCAGGCATTCGGCCTGTGGGTCCCAGGCACCACGGTTGGTGAACATGTGTGTCCAAGCATCCAAAGGACAGCCTGTGCCTCTCCAGGGGCCTGAGACCCTGAGAAAACAAAGACAGGGTAAGTGCCCATTAGGGCAAGAGGGCGGCTCAGAGGAATCAGGTTCCACAAAAAGCAGAGACTTTGGTTTCCACTTTTAACCAAGAGAACCGTCTTCCTGACGCCCTGTAATTTGGGGTCCTGAGTTACTCCTGGGGAAGTCCCCAGATGGGCTGTCACCTGCAGTCAGTGCCTCGGACCCCATCTGTTTGCACCAGAAACATCATGGGAGCCAAATATTTTCCATTCACTGGTCTGTGATCATCTGCCCTCTCCCCTCTGAAGGTTTTACACCTCGTGTAGCGTGCTGAGCCCAAAGCATAAAGCACTCATCACCTCGCAGCTTCCTTACGATTAACAACAGGAGCGGGACCGACTGTGCCTTGATTCTGAGGAGGCTCAGTCGGGATGTGTCAGGATGAGTTCCTGTTTGTGCCCCAGGACACAGCTGAAAATCGAGGGAGGGAGAAATCCAACAGCCAAGGTGGTAAAGTCTCAGGAATATAAAATAGAACTCATAACTGTCTCTCTTAACATGCTCTAAGTGGCCAAGTCACAGGGAAGGGGCCAAGAAGAGACAGTCAGTGCAAAGCCAGGGGACCCTGGGAGTATCGCACAGCAGGGGTCCAAGCTCTGTGGGAACAGAGGCCTTCTAGCCACCCACGGGAGGGACAGATGGAGTGCAGTGAGCAAGAAAGGGATAGTGCACACCCATCTGTTTGCACAAGCATGTGTGGGTGTGTCTGTGTATGTGTGATAAGAGCTATCAGGCACATTGTCACTTTCTAGATACAAATTTTATATTTTTAATGTGTACCCTACAACAGTTTTTTTTTCATTCTTTAAGGATAAGACTAATTAAATTTCAGATTATGACTAATTATATAAACTAACATGACAAAGGAAAACTAAATATGTTCATCTATTAAAAATAGCCCAGGCGGAGTGGCTCACACCCATAATCCGAGCACTTTGGGAGGCTGGGGTAGGCGGATCACCTGAGGTCGGGAGTTTGAGACCAGCCTGGCCAGCATGGTGAAGCCCTATCTCTACAAAAAATACAAAAAAAAAAAAGTAGTCAAGCATGGTGGTGCATACCTGTAGTCCCAGCTACTCGGGAGGCTGAGGCATGAGAATCATTTGAACCCAGAAGGCAGAGGTTGCAGTGAGCCAATATTGCGCCACTGCACTCCAGCCTGGGCGACAGAGCAAGACTCTGTCTAAAATTAAATAAATAAATAATATATTTAATATTATCTTTGCCAAAAGCACCATGATAATGTAATATTATTAAATCTTAGTATGACAGTCGATGTGTTCCATAATTAAGAATTCCACGTTAGAAATGATGTATGTAAATTCTTTTTGCTTTTTCATATGTCACTAAGTTTGTTTTGAGTCCTCAAAAACACTCAAGCTTTACAATACGAAAATAAAATTATGCAATGAGGTTCCTTGTAAAAGTGGTTATTGAAGGAATAACGTGAGTGGGACTGAAGAAAACAGTGCTGTCATTTTGACTCCTAATGTATTCATGGTTTCTCTCTAAGCCCCGTCCAGGCTGGGCGATGCACGGGTCTGTGGCGGAGCGTGGTCAGTTTAACAAGGTTTCAGACATGAGTCTTGTGGACAGGCACCACCTGGGGCCCAATATCCACACTGGCCATATGATTGTGGAATGTGAGCTGCGTGAGGGCAACCTCTGCCATCTTTGAATGTCAGATCTCTGTCTCCCATCACTGCATCTAGAATCCAGTTGGGACTAGACAGATATTTGTTGGTTGACTATATGAATGAAAGGTTTGATGGATGGAGGAGTGAATAAGTGAGTGATCCCACCAAAGTAACTCCTGTGTAGAGAAAGAGAATCAGGTTCTGTTTGGCCCCAGAGGGCAGCTCAGTGGTCCAGGGAGTGAGATGACAGTTCAGTGTCAGAAAGTATCCGGAAGTGGATGGGCTACCTTGGGGGAGTGAGCTCACCATCATGGGAAACATTTCAGCAGTGGCCAAGGGAATGGCTCTCAAAGTGTGTCCCAGGTCCCCAGGGTGCCTGGCTCTCAAAGTGTGTCCCAGGACCCCTGGGGGCCTTCAAGATCTGTTCAGGGAATCCAAAAGCCAAACTGCTTTCAAATGAATACCAAGACATTGCGTGCTATTTTTGCTTTGTTGACATTGGCACCAATGGTACAATAGTAGCAGAGAATCAAGCCAGCAGCTCCAGCAGTAAACACTGTAGTCTTCACTGCCATACACCTGCCTTTAAAAATAATTTTATTTAATCTAGGCAATACCATTCAAGACATAGGCATAGGCAAAGATTTCATGATGAAAACGCCAAAGGCGATTGCAACAAAAGCAAAAATTGACAAATGGGATCTAATTAAACTAAAGAGTTTCTGCACAGCAGAAGAAACTATCATCAGAGTGAACAGACAACCTACAGAATGGGAGAAAATTTTTGCAATCTATATATCTGACAAAGGTCTAATATCCAGAGTCTACAAGGAACTTAAACAAATATACATGAAAAAAAACAACCCCATTAAAAAGTGGGCAAAAGACATGAACAGACACTTCTCAAAAAAAAAAAAAAATTCATGTGGCCAACAAATATGTCAAAACAAGCTCAACATCACTGATCATTGGAGAAATGCAAATCAAAATCACGAGATACCATCTCACGCCAGTCAGAATGGTGATTATAAAAGAGTCTGGAAACAACAGGTGCTGGCAAGGTTGCAGAGAAAAGGGAATGTGGAAGGAAATTATGGAAGACTGTGACGATTCCTCAAAGATCTAGAGGCAGAAATACCATTTGACCTAGCAATCCCATTACTGGGTATATAGCCAAAGGAGTAAAAATAATTCTATTATACAGATATCTGCACGCATATGTTCATTGCAGCACCATTCACAATAGCAAAGACATGGAATCAACTCAAATGCCCATCAATAATAGACTGGATAAAGAAAATGTGGTACATATACACCATGGAATATTAAAGGAATGAGATCATGTCCTTTGCAGGGACATGGATGGAGCTGGAAGCCGTTATCCTCAGTAAACTAATGCAGGAACAGAAAACCAAACACTGCATGTTCTCACTTATATGTGGGAGCTGAACAGTGAGAACAGTGAGAACCCTGTGTCCCCCACAGACACATGGAGGGGAACAACACACATGGGATCAACATACGTGGACACATGGGGAGGGCCTGTTGGGGCAGGGGTGTTGCGGGGAGGGAGAGCATCAGGAAGAATAGCTAATGGACTCTGGGCTTAATACTAAGGTGATGGGTGGATCTGTGCAGCAAACCACCAAGGCACACATCTACCTACGTAACAAACCTGCACATCCTGCTCATGTACCCCACAACTTAAAATTATTATTTTTCCTTCGACTTTTATTTTATTTGACAATGTTCTTGAGGATGCAGTAAAAAATAATATTATTCAGACTTGACCCTTGAAACACATAGCTTTTTAACGTTCTATGTGACAAAATCAGCAGTGCTTATAAATCCCTTCTGCTGCATACCAAAACGTGAAGATTGTCTCCAAGAAACACCTGTGAGGGGGTTAAGGCTCAGACTGAACCAGCCATTTCTTAATGGAACATCATCTTTCCCTTGAGAAAACAACTGACAAACTCTGGACTTTGGGTTTTGGGGAGACTTTTCCTCAAAAGTGAATCAGATGAACCTGAAGAAGAACAAACCGTCAACAACAGTTGTTGCCAATGGTAAAATTTGAACCTTCCAGAAAAAAATATGATTTTGGAAAATTTGTATTCACTCCTATGAGTTGGAGAGGTTCCCATGACTTAGACCTTCCATTATAAGATCTGTAGTGTTATTAATTAATGTGCTTTTCAATATGATGAAATGTATCAACTGTGGGAACACCCACATAATTCTGCAAAGCATCGTTTTCCAGTGACCGAGACCTGAGGACAAAAAATCATGCATGGATAAAAGGTCTATTCCAGGCACGAGACAAATCCATGGATTTTCATGTGACAGATAGGGGGAAAGTTCATTGATATGGGTTCAGATTCCACATCACAGCTAGCCTGTAGGAAGCTACCAGTTGTCTAGCTGTGGTGTAGTATCAAAGCAGAATATTCACAGTTAGCTAAAAGGGCTATTAAAATACTTCTTGTTCTATGTACTCTTCCATTTGAGGCCAGATTTTCTTCCTATACTTCAACCAAAACAAAAGATTTCCACAGACTGAGTGCAGAAACAGATATAAGCATCCGGTTAATTGCCATTCAGCCAGACACAAAAGAGACTTGAAAAGATGCAAAGCTGTGACACTCTTCTCGCTAGTTTTTTCTTTTAGTTTTGGAAAATATATTTATTATCCATAAAATGTTATTTATGTTAACATATAATGAGCTTACTTTATTTTTAAATTAACTAAAATATATATTTTATACATTTCTAAGCTTTAATTATTTGTTTATTTTGGAGATAGGATCTTGTTCTATCACCCAGTCTGGAGTGCACTGGTGTAGTCATGGCTCACTTCAGCCTCAAATTCCTGGACTCAAGTGATCCTCCCACCTCAGCCTTCCAAAGTGTTGGGATTATAGGCGTGAAACACTGCGCCCAGCCAGATTTAATATTTAACACAGTAAATTATTGATAGCTGTAAGTCATCTAGCAAAAACTCTTTGGGATCCTCAAAAATTAATAAGAATATAAAGGGCTTCTGAGGCCAAAAGTTTGGGAACCAGTTTTTTAAGGGCCATTTTAAACATGGTGGTCACCTCTAAACCTCAGATTCTGTACTTCTGTGAATTAATGGAACTAACTTGGCAGATAGTCTTACGTACAATAAATATAACATTCATGTCAAAGTCAACTTCTTTTAAGAATACTATCTGTCTACCCCTTCTGAAATTCTCAACATTAAATTTCAAAGTCTGCTTTATTAAAATGTAGAAATTATGTGATTATGGAAAAATAATACTATTTGCAACCCATAAAACATAGGGCCTCAGATTTAACTAAAACCTAAAGCATGGGTGTATATTTCACAATTATTACTAACTGTGTAATTTCCACAACTCCATCCTTCGTTTAGTTTGAAATCCTGTGTTTATCCTCAATTTTAAACAGGAAGAAATTATTTGTGCTTCTGTCTTCATTCTTAAACACAGAGCATCTCAACATTAAAAAAAAAAAGGAGGAAAAAAAGTACAATATGTTTTAAAGAGAGATGTTTGCATCAGACTAACAATTCTCTAGAGGAAGGAAACCTGCTACTGAATGTAATCAGTACCTTCAGTTTCTTCAAGACACCATGCCCAGCCCTTGATCTACAGGGAACCCTCCACCCTTAATGACCATCACTCATTTAAATGAACATAAGCAAATAAATGGGGTATATAACAAGAGAGGACTTCATTTCCATTTTAATTTGCTATTTTTTTTCCTGCAGAAATTTAACCGGGACATTTCCTGACTACCCTGACGTTGAAGAAGGAGGGTCAGCTATTATTTTTTCTGACAAGACCATACAACAGGTACAAATATGCTTGAGAAATAAAATGTAAATATATCAAATGACATTTCTTTAAACTTTAAAATTAATGAGTTTATAGCGTTATTAGGTCTTGGTTATTTTCCTACAAATATTTACATGGAAATACTTTTGGGTGTTCATCATTGTACACACTTTCATATTTATTCAAAATGAGTTCATTTTTTTTTCCCGTCTTACCTTTGAAAGAGATGTGATGATGTGTGAAGGTCGTTTTCTTAGTAAATTCTGAGTAGCTTGGCTGCAGGAGCCCTTTGTGTTCTGGTCCCAGCTTCCCTCTCCCCTCATCTCCAAGCCCCACCTCCTCAGCAGGCCCTTGGCTCCAGCAGCCTACTCACCTGTGCTTCTGGCTCATGCCACTGCTCCTTTGGGTGTGCCATGCTCTTCCTGAGTTCTGGGTGCCTTTCTGCTTAGCTCCTGCTCCGCTGTCAAGACCCAGCTCCTTGCCTTTTTTCGAGTGAAACACCTTTGATCATCTCTATAGATGCTTCAGTGGCATTTGATGAAATTGACATTTAAAACTATTTTTTTAATGTCTTCATAAACTAGGAATAGGAAAACTCTTCTTAGCTTCACAGTATTTAGCATAGAAACCAAGAGAAGATTTGCATTATACTCAATGATGAGGCATTAGAGGCATTGTCAAAATGAAAATCAATAAGGGCAATTTGTCTTATCTCCTGAGTAAAATTTTCCCCAACTGCCCACAACCTGGGTGACTAACCCTTCCTCTAAAGCCCTGCGCTATTAACATCATTCATTTGACATTTACCCTACGCTACTTCACATGGACACCTTTCTTTTAATGTAGGGGGCCTTCAAACATACAGCATTTTATTTGAATTTCTATTAAACTGGTTCACCATTTACAAGCTTGTATCATAACATTCATGTGCATGCTTTATCTCTTCCTTAGCCTGTCAACTTCTCAAGAGGAAGGACTTTTAATTTGCATATATAAACATTCAACAAATATTTGCTGAACAAAAGAACAGAAGGCTTATCTTCTCCATGAGATTATAAACCTTCTGAGGGCAAGAACCATATTTTACGATTCTTTAAAATCACAGAATTGAGTGCATAGTAAGTGCTCAATATTTATTTAGTTTTTCTTAATAATGATAATACTAGTTTTACAGCCATGAGAACATAGTCTCTAATTTTTTAAATTAAATTAAAAACGTTTTCTTTTTTAAGGAAATAAAATTGTTAGGTTAAATCTGTTGGAAAAAAATGTCAAGATCAAGAAAGAATAGTTGCTATCAGAACGATTGGTGAATATTTCCCTGGACATTATAAAAAATGCCAAACAAATAAGAAAAAGGAAAGAAGTGATAAATATTTTAAAGTGATAATTTTATCATTGTTTTAAGATCATGATGTAATTATCTCCCTAGGAAACCCAATACATTTAACAAGAAATTATATTGACAAATTATACAGGATTGTACAGAATTACACTGACAAAATCTCACTGAAGAAAATGAAAGAAGACTTGAATGATAGACTGAACAATTATTTATCTGGATAAAAAGACTCAATAAAGTACAAATACACACTATCTTTTTATTATTCTATGAAGTTAATGCAATTCCAATTAAAATCAAAACAAGTTTTTATTGACATAATTATTTTCAAGTATCTGAAGAATGAATGCATGGAAATATCCCAAAAGTTTTTTTAAAAAACTATAATAGTCTGCTAGAGGTCTATCAATTTTGTTGATCCTTTCAAAAAAACAGCTCCTGGATTCATTAATGTTTTGAAGGGTTTTTTGTGTCTCTATTTCCTTCAGTTCTGCTCTGATTTTAGTTATTTCTTGCCTTCTGCTAGCTTTTGAATGTGTTTGCTCTTGCTTTTCTAGTTCTTTTAATTGTGATGTTAGGGTGTCAATTTTGGATCTTTCCTGCTTTCTCTTGTGGGCATTTACTGCTATAAATTTCCCTCTACACACTGCTTTGAATGCGTCCCAGAGATTCTGGTATGTTGTGTCTTTGTTCTCGTTGGTTTCAAAGAACATCTTTATTTCTGCCTTCATTTCGTTATGTACCCAGTAGTCATTCAGGAGCAGGTTGTTCAGTTTCCATGTAGTTGAGCGGTTTTGAGTGAGATTCTTAATCCTGAGTTCTAGTTTGATTGCACTGTGGTCTGAGAGATAGTTTGTTATAATTTCTGTTCTTTTACGTTCGCTGAGGAGAGCTTTACTTCCCAGTATGTGGTCAATTTTGGAATAGGTGTGGTGTGGTGCTGAAAAAAATGTATATTCTGTTGATTTGGGGTGGAGAGTTCTGTAGATGTCTATTAGGTCCGCTTGGTGCAGAGCTGAGTTCAATTCCTGGGTATCCTTGTTAACTTACAAGGGATGTGAAGGACCTCTTCAAGGAGAACTATAAACCACTGCTCAAGGAAATAAAAGAGGATACAAACAAATGGAAGAACATTCCATGCTCATGGGTAGGAAGAATCAATATCGTGAAAATGGCCATACTGCCCAAAGTAATTTACAGATTCAATGCCATCCCCATCAAGCTACCAATGACTTTCTTCACAGAATTGGAAAAAACTACTTTAAAGTTCATATGGAACCAAAAAAGAGCCCACATCGCCAAGTCAATCCTAAGCCAAAAGAACAAAGCTGGAGGCATCACGCTACCTGACTTCAAACTATACTACAAGGCTACAGTAACCAAAACAGCATGGTACTGGTACCAAAACAGAGATATAGATCAATGGAACAGAACAGAGCCCTCAGAAATAACGCCGCATATCTACAACTATCTGATCTTTGACAAACCTGAGAAAAACAAGCAATGGGGAAAGGATTCCCTTTTTAATAAATGGTGCTGGGAAAACTGGCTAGCCATATGTAGAAAGCTGAAACTGGATCCCTTCCTTACACCTTATACAAAAATCAATTCAAGATGGATTAAAGACTTAAACGTTAGATCTAAAACCATAAAAACCCTAGAAGAAAACCTAGGCATTACCATTCAGGACATAGGCATGGGCAAGGACTTCATGTCTAAAACACCAAAAGCAATGGCAACCAAAGCCAAAATTGACAAATGGGATCTAATTAAACTAAAGAGCTTCTGCACAGCAAAAGAAACTACCACCAGAGTGAACAGGCAACCTACAAAATGGGAGAAAATTTTCGCAACCTACTCATCTGACAAAGGGCTAATATCCAGAATCTACAATGAACTCAAACAAATTTACAAGAAAAAAACAAACGACCCCATCAAAAAGTGGGCAAAGGATATGAACAGACACTTCTCAAAAGAAGACATTTATGCAGCCAAAAAACACATGAAAAAATGCTCAGCATCACTGGCCATCAGAGAAATGCAAATCAAAACCACAATGAGATACCATCTCACACCAGTTAGAATGGCAATCATTAAAAAGTCAGGCAACAACAGGTGCTGGAGAGGATGTGGAGAAATAGGAACACTTTTACACTGTTGGTGGGACTGTAAACTAGTTCAACCATTGTGGAAGTCAGTGTGGCGATGCCTCAGGGATCTAGAACTAGAAATACCATTTGACCCAGCCATCCCATTACTGGGTATATACCCAAAGGACTATAAATCATGCTGCTATAAAGATACATGCACACGTATGTTTATTGTGGCATTATTCACAATAGCAAAGACTTGGAACCAACCCAAATGTCCAACAATGATAGACTGGATTAAGAAAATGTGGCACATATACACCATGGAATACTATGCAGCCATAAAAAATGATGAGTTCATGTCCTTTGTAGGGACATGGATGAAATTGGAAATCATCATTCTCAGTAAACTATCGCAAGAACAAAAAACCAAACACCGCATATTCTCACTCATAGGTGGGAATTGAACAATGAGAACACATGGACAGAGGAAGGGGAACATCACACTCTGGGGACTGTTGTGGGGTGGGGGGAGGGGGGAGGGATAGCATTGGGAGATATACCTAATGCTAGATGATGAGTTAGTGGGTGCAGCACACCAGCATGGCACATGTATACATATGTAACTAACCTGCACATTGTGCACATGTCCCCTAAAATTTAAAGTATAATAATAATAAATTTTTAAAAAAGCTATAATAGGGAACTTTCCATATTGATATAAAACAAATTATAAAGATATAAAGTAGCCAAAATACCACAATGTTGGAAAATGAATAGACAGATAACAACAAAAATAACAGATAACATTTGTTGGACAAATATTCTGTGCCAGGTACCATGCAAGCACTTTATATAAGTCAACTCATTTAATTCTTCCAAACTATGAAGATCAAAAATTTGGCCAAATTAGTTGTGGAGCTGAGGTTCATACTCAAGGAGTCTGACTTTAAAATAGTGTGCTCAGAAACTTAGTCAGGTACATATATCAGAATTCAGTAGTATACTGATGACATTCCAAATAAATGGGGAAGGACAGACTAATAAATAATATTATTTAATAAATAATAACTGGCTCACCATTTGGCAAAATCAAGTAGAGCCTTCCTTATTATACAAAACAAATTTCAGATGAATTAAATATTTACATGTAAAAATGTTAAACCACAAATTACTAAAGAAATTGTTTGAATTGGAGAAAAATTTCATAAACATGTCACCATAGGCAAATAACATGAAGAGAATCTGCTCATATACTTAACTACACAAAACTCAAATAGCAAAATGGCCAAAAAAAATCACAAATGAAGTTCAAGGTATATGATAACTGAGGAAAAACATTTGCAACATGTATGACAATGGGTATTTTTCATATATAAATATTTCTCGGAAAATAATAACAAAAATTGGAACACCCTGATAAAAAAGCAAAGAATATAAACAGGAATTTAACACAAGAAAAATTTTTAAAACTCACTGGCAATTACATGTATAAAGTAATGTTGCCATATCTGTTTTCACCTATAGGACTGGTAAAAATTTTAAGTCATTGTAATGACTGGAGTTGGTGTGCATGTGGGAAAAAGTCACTCTCATACATTGCTACTGGATATGTAAATTAGCATGACATTTTTAAGTGACGTGGATCAAACAAATATCAAAACTTTTCATGTGTATGTGCTTTGGCTCATAAATGCTCTTTGAGGAATTTATACTAAATAAATAATAATAACAGAAGTTGTCATAGGCCAGAGGTCAACATCCTTTTTTTGTAAAAGGACAAACAGTAAATATTTTAGGCTGTGGCACATACATTCTCTGCTGGCACTACTCAACTCTACCAATATGGCATTAATATGCTTTGTCTGTATCCCCACCCAAATCTCATCTCAAATCCCCACATGTCAAGGGAGAGACCTGATTGGGGTGGTTTCCCCCAGACTGTTCTTGTGATCCTGAGTTCTCACAAGATCTGATGGTTTTGTAAGGGGGCATTTTCCCCTTTGTGCTCTCTCTTTTTCTCTCTCCTACCACCATGTAAGACATGCTTGCTTTCCCTTCCACCATGATTGTAAGTTTCCCGATGCCTCCCCAGCCATGTGGAACTGTGAGTCAATTAAACCCTTTTTCTTTATAAATTACCCAGTCTCAGGCAGTTCTTTATAGCAATGTGAGAATGGACTAATACCGGCATCAGAGAAGCCATAGACAACATGTAAATGATGGGCATGGCTGTGTTCCAATCACACTTCATTTCAAAAATGGGCAGGCGGCCGGCCAGAGCCGGCCCATGTGCCATAATTTGCTGACCCCTGCCATGGATGCTGTTCACGTCTGCCTTGTTTATTGCATTGACAAAGAAGAAAACAGCCTGATGTTCTTTAACAGGAAATTCGTTAAGTAACATGAAGTTCTCTGCAGCAGTAAAATACAGGCTTTAGCTCGGGGTTTCAGGACTTCAGCATGACTGACCCTGCTGTCAGCCTCCCTGTGTCCCTGTGCTCCCCTCCAAGAGCCCTCAGAGTTAAGCACACAGGAATTGCTCTTTCTTCACTTCTCCATCAGAAACCAGCCTCTGCTCCCAAAGGCTGCCTCAGCCCTCTAGAGGACTCCTCCCTCCTTCACTGAATTCCATGAGCACCAAATATTGACCCTATTATTTGGCAGTTTGTCAAGCCCTGCCTTGAGTGATTGTCATTTTGATTTGGGGTTGTTTCACTTTTTTTATGTGTTTAGGTGTTGTCCCGCCAGCTAAATTGCCAGGCACAAGTTGTGTCTTGAAAGTCCATGGCAAGCATCCAGACACATTTTATGTTCAGTTAGAAAGGTAGCGATTATAGGATTAAGAATGTTGGTAGAACATCTAAATTGCCATGAGAAACATTAAAAAATACTAGTCAAAAGAAAATTGAGAATGTCTGGTTAACACATTGAAAGAGAACAGAGGAGACCACAAAGCAGCTTAGCCTTGAAAGACAGATGATTGAAGAGTCAGAACGGCATGGTGATTACAAATCACAGTTCCCCCACACACTAGACCTGCAACCTTAGACAAGCTTCATCCCCCCACACTCCGATTCAGTTTTCTCATCTATAAATGGAGATTACTAGCAACGTCTACCTCCCTGCACTGAGGTAATAATTAGATGAGACAATACACGTGAGGTACTTAGAACAGAGCTTGGCATATTGAAACCCTTCAGAAAATCGTAGCAGTTGTTACTAACGTTGACAGTAGCAGTAATAGTAGTCATTGTAGTCATAGTATGAATAGAGAATAGGCCAAGCATTGTCATTATAACAATATACATACAAGGTGAAATATATATTAATAAAACAAAAATAATACAAATACTTTTTATGAAACGAGCATAACATTGAATCAAAACCCCCAAAAAAGATTGAACACAAAAAAAGACACAGATCAGTCTCCCTTATGAGTATTAACACAAACATTTTAACTAACGTGTTAGCACACTAAAACCAGCACCACATTAAATTAGTAAAACACCACAAGTGGTGATTATTCCAGGATGCAAGAATGGTTTGGGTTAAGGATGTCTATGAATGCACCGCATCGTATTAAAAAATCCAAAAGGGAAAACCATAAGCTCCTCACTATGGAGGCTGCAAAGGCATTTTACAAATTTAACATCCATTTTTGATATTTAAAAATAGAACTCTACAAAATTGGAATAGATGGATACTTGTTGAACATTATAAAATATTTCTTAATTCAAAACCCAGTGTCATGCTTAAAGAAATTCACTAGAAACATTTCCACTAGTGAGTGTCAGGAAAAATTCAAGAATGGCCATCATCACCACTATTATTTACCATTGTCCTGTAGGAACTACTAAATAATATATCCCCTTTCTAGTGTTCTAAAGGGGAACAGAAGAGGCAAATGATCACCTTTTGCACATATGTTCAATACTTAGAAAAGCAAAGAGAATAAACTAAAGAGCAAAAAAGCAAAGAGAATAAACTAAAAAACTACTTTAAATAATATGAGAAGCAAGATGGGGGGATTACAAAATTAACATGCAGAAAGCAATCGCTGTTGTGCATGCAAACAGTAGCTAGCTAGAAAATGTAATGTAAGAGACCATTTACAACAGCAACAATGCAAAGGTCAAATGCCCAGGAATAAGCTTAATGATAAATGTACATTCTACGTGAAGAAAAGCTTACAACACTCCTGAGGGATGCGAAGAAATGGAAAAGCATATCATGCTCGTAGGTAGGAATGCTCACACCATACATACCTTGACTCCTAAACATCATCTATAGACATAATATGATCCAAATGAAAATACCAATAGCATTATATTGGGGCATTGGCGGGGAGGAGGCAGGGAGGATGACCAAACTAAACTTTAAGTAGAAAGCAAATAACCAAGAATAACCAGTGGAATTCTGAAAATGAAGCATAGTGAGGAGGAACTAGCTTTGCCAGGTATGAAAACATATTCTTAGGAGCCCACTGGCACAGACAAAAGACTAAAAAGGCACATCAATGGAAAAGAACAGAAAATCAAGAAATAGACCCAAATACATACGGAAATTTATAATAAAGACAGCATCTCAAATGTGAAAGGAAAAAAGGAAATAAATGGTATAAGAAGAGCCAGGTTGTCATCTAAGAAAAAAGAAAATTAAATTCCCAAGTCTTTATACTTTACTTTGGAATGATTCCAAAAGGATCAAACACTTACGTATAAAACAAAACAAAACACAAAAGGACTAGAAGAAGCTAAGAAAGAAATATGTCATAACCTCAGAATGGGAAAGATCTTTCTAATTATGATACAAACCCAGAAATCATAGCAGAAAAAAAAATTGATAAATTCAACCACACACACAAAATTGTTTTAATCCTACATGGAAACAATGACCCCTGAGTAAGGGAAATGACAGATGACACCCTGAGAGAATTATTTGTGATGGGTATCACAGACAAGAGTCCTTTCTTCTAATATGTAAGGAACTCCTACAGCTCTACAAGAAAAAGAATAATAACCCAATACAAAAAACAGCAAAAGGATATGAATAGACAGTGCTCAGAAAAGAAAACTCAAATGAATTCGAAACATAATAAAAGATGTTCAACATATGAAAAGATGATCAACCTCACACATATAAGAGAAATGCAAATTAAAACTACACTGACAAACAAAATTGATCAACTGAACCTCAACAAAATGCAAAACTTTTGCACTTCAAAAGATACCATTAAGAAAATGAAGATACAAGTAACAGACTGGGAGAAAATATTTACAGAATACCTACCTGTTAAAGGACTTACAGCCAGAAAATACAGAGTACTCTTACACCTCAATAAGAAGACAAACAATTCAGTCAAAAAACAGGCAAAAGATTTGAACAGACAATTCACAAAGGAAGATGTATGGATGGCTAGTAAGAACATGAAAAGATGTTCAACATTATTCATCATTAGGGTAATGAAAATTAAAATGGAAATGTAATGCTATTTCACACCCATGAGGATGGATACAAAAAAAAAGACAATTACAAATGCTGAAGATGTGGAGAAAAGGGAACCCACATACATTGCTAGTGGGAATGTAAAATGTTGCCACTTTGGAAAACATCATGCCAATTTCTTAAAAAGTTAAACATAAATTTACCAAAGGACCTAGCAATTCTTCTCTTAGGACTCTATCCAACAGAAATGAAAACATATATCCACACAAAAACATTTGTACATGAATGTTCATAGCAGCATTACTCATAATTGCCAAAAATTTGAAACAGCTTAAATACATATCAACTGGGGAATAGATAGGTAAAATATGGTATATCCATGCAACTTTATATTATTTGGCAATTAAAAAGGAACACACAACTGATACATGCTACAACATGGATGAACTTAAAGTGTTATGCCATACTGAAACATTATGCAACATGAAAGAAGCCAGACACTATGGACAATGTATTTTGTTATTCCATTTATATGAAATGTCTAGAAAAAGTAAACCTGTAGACACAGAAAGTAGATTAGTGCTTGCTTGGTGATGTGCTTTGGTTGTGTTCCCACCCAAATCTCAACTTGAATACCAGTTCCCATGTTGCCCATTTGTTGTGGGATGGACCTGTTAGGAGGTAATTGAACCATGCAGGCAGTGACCCTCAGGCTGTTCTCATGACAGTGAGTGAGTTCTCACAAGATTTGATGACTTTATAAGGGGCTTTTCCTCCTTTGCTCGGCACTTCTCTCTCCTGTTGCCATGTGAAGAAGGACGTGTTTGCTTCCCCTTCCACCATGATTGTAAGTTTCCTGAGGCCTTCCCAGCCATGTGGAACTGTGAGTCAAGTAAACCTCTTTACTTTATAAATTACTCAGTGTTGGATATTTCTTCATACCAGCATGAGAATGGACTAATACACCTGGGAAGGAGAGAGAAAAGGGATTAGCAGTTAATGGAAATGAGAGAATCTTATTGGGGTGATAGAAATGTTCTAAAACTGATTTGTGGTAGTGGAACACAACTTGATATACTTGCTGAAAAATTATTGAATTGCACACTTGAAATGGGTGAGTATATGATATGCTTCAATAAAATTATATTTTGAAAAGAGAAAACAGGCACCAGGCCAGATTTGGCCCTGAGCCCAAAAAAATGATGGCTGACTTAATAGCCAGTAAAGTGCACTTTTAACTTCGGAAGATTTTGCTCAAGTTGATGAGCAGGAGCAAAATAAATTCAATATTGGCTTCTTGAAAAAACAAAAGCGACTACATTTTCCACCCATGCAACTGGCAAACAAGATGCACTGTGACAACAAGCATATGGGGAAACAGGCCACTCCTACACTGCTGGCAGAAGGGTAAATTGACACAACCCATGGTGGGAAGTTTAACAGTATTACAAATGTGCATACACTTGATCCAGCATTTCCACTTTAAGGAATTTATCCTGCAGATATGTTCACCACCTGCAAAATGATATTTGCATGCATTTATTCATGGCAACAATGTTAGTAGTAGCAGATTACTATTAGAAATAACCTCAATCTTATTTGGTAGGGGAATGGCCAAATAAATTGTTACAATACACCTGTGAAAAATGAACCGTGAAGTTCTGTATGTACCACTAAGGAAAGATGGCCAAGATATATTATTAGGTGAAAAACGCAGAACAAGAACAGTATGTATAATACGCTAACATTTGTATAAAATGACAAGTTGATGTTTATAATGTGCATTTGTGTGTATACCTGTGTACATCTCTGTGCACTTGGAAGATTTTGCTATAACTGAAGAGTGCAGGTAAAATAAATTTTGTATTGGTTTAAAAAAGAGACAACTTCAATGACATATTACTTTTCACCTATACAATTGGCAAACATAACACAACAATGCCAGTGTGCTCTGTGTGTGTGTGTGTGTGTGTGTGTGTTATATGTATATTCGCATATATGTATATAAAATGTCTTTAGAAGCATATCCAAAGTATTTGGGTTGACTTTTTAGCAAGTGTATTATGATCAGCCACACACTGGAAGTCACCACAAACCCCAGTGGCCTGCTTAGCCCAGGACTCCAGCAGACCCCTGCTGAGGAACTCAACAGCCCTGCTGAGGAACTCAAGACCACCACACAACCACCTGCAGCTTTCACCACAGAGGACCCCTCAGGGTTTGTTATCATGAACCCCAACAGCATATTCTGCAGAGGATCCTACAGTTTTCATAGCTGAGGAAACCAACTGCCTGCACAGAAGCAGGGGACCCCCTTCAGCTTTCACCACTGAGGACACTGCATTTCTTTTCACCTTCACAGTCTCCAGGTGCCTGAGTCTCCTACCTGTCCCCCACTGGAGCCACCCAGAGCCACATGACTGCTCCTGCCACAGTGAGCACAGCCCACCGACCCACCCAAGTGGCCCTCGTGTTCCCTAGGTGCCTAAATCACCACATCTCCTTGAAACCACCCCAGCTACTGCCTCCACAGGTTCTCTGGGCCAGGGACCCAGAGCACCTACTGCATGCATGCCAGAAAACAGCCTTGGAGCCCCCTACCACAGACTCCAACCCCACCACTGCATGCACCCAAGGCTGACTCCTGTAGCCAGGCTATTGCAGTAGCTGCTAGCCTGGCCCCCACAACTAGATGAGCATAACCAGTTGGCCATGCCCTCCAGCAACTATCCCCACACTGTGCTTGTTCCCAGAGCTGGTCCCTGTAGCTACATGTGCATGCACCCCTCCAGCTCAGCCTAAAGATGCCCATGCATGCAGATGGTGTTGATGACCTGCAGCTGGCCTCTGCAATTATGCATATGCAAGCTGCTGGCCCCCAGTGCCACATGTGCACCTGCAGCTGACCCCAGCCACAAAGGACTAAGCAGGTGCCAACATCACAGACTCCAGCTGCCTGAAATGGCAAGACTGAACGCTCCCCCAGATTCGGAGCCACCACATACCCCAACACTTGGTACCTCACAACACCAGACCTGATGCTACAGTGCCCCCAGCATGCCTCTGTCCCCCCACCCTGCTGCCCACAGGTGAAGGTCTTTCCTTACCAAAGCCAGTCCATAAAGTCTGGAAGAGGTGACTACTTCTTGAAATTTGCAGACTCATTTATAAGACTATATGAAGAATCAGGGAAACATGATACCACCAACGGAACACAATAAACTTTCAGTAACTGACCCTAAAGAATTGGAGATCCATGAATTACATGACAGAGAATTCAAAATAAGTATTCTAAAGAAGCTCAGCAAATTACAAGACAATACAAATAAACTAGTTAATGAAATCAGGAAAATAATAGCAGAACAAAATGAAAGAAGGATTTACAAGACAATCAGAAAGTAATAAAGTGGCAGCAATAAGTTCTTCCTATCAATAATTATCTCAAATGTAAATGAATTAAATTCTCCAATCAAAAGACATAGCATGGCTGAATGGATTTTTTTTAAATTACCCAACTATATGCTGCATACAAGAGATTAACTTTACCTTTAAGGACACATATAGAATGAAGGTGAAGGGATAGAAAAAGATATTCCATGTAAATTGAATCCAAAAGAAAGCAGGGGTAACTATAATCATGTCAGACAAAATATACTTTAAGTCAAAAACTGTAAAAAGGGCAAATAAGATCATTATATAATTATAAAGAGATCAGTTCATCAATAGGATATAACAATTGCAAATATATATGTACCAAACATCAGAGCATATAAATATGAAAAGCAAATATTAATAGATCTGAAGGGAGAGACAGATTATAATACAATAATAGTAGGGAATTTCAGTACCTTACTTTCAACAATGAACAGATCATTCAAACATAAAATCAATAAGGAAACAATGAACTTGAACTACACTTTAGACCAAATGGACCTAATAGACATATACAGAACATTTGATCCAACAGCAGCAGAATATACATTCCTTTCAAATGCACATAGAACATTCCCCAGGACAAATCATATATTCAGCCACAAAACAAGCCTTAACAAATTTAGGAAGATCAAAATCATATGAAGTATATCTTTTCAGACTGCAATGGTGTGAAACCAGGAACAATAAAAGGAAAAATCTTTGAAATTTCACAAATAGATAGAAATTAACAACATGCTCCTAAACAACCAATGGATCAAAGAAGAAATTTAAAGGCAAATTTTAAAATGTCTTGAAACCAATAAAAATGGAAACACAACATACTAAAACCTATGAGATACAACAAAAGCAGTACTAAGAGGGAAATTTCTAGCAATAAATGCCTACACCATAAAAGAAGAAAGATCTCAAACAACCTAACATTATGCCTCAAGGAACTAGAAAAAGAAAAACAAACTATTATTAAGTACAAAATTAGCAGAGGAAAGAAATAAAGATAAGAACAAAAATAAATGAAATGGAGCCTCAAAAAAACAACAGAAAAAGTAAACTAAGAGTTGGTTTTGTGAAAGATAAAATTGACAGGCTGTTAACTAGACTAGGAGAGAAAAGAGTCACACAAATAAAATTAAAAATGAAAGAGGATACATTACAACTGATACCATAGAAATACAAAAGATCGTGAGACTATTATGAATAATTATATACCAGCAAATTCATTAGCCTAGAAGAAATGGATAAATTATTATACAACAACAGGACTAATCATGAAAAAATAGAAAATCATAGTGAGTAGAGAAATTGAATCAGTAATCAAAACCCTTCCAATAAAGAAAGGCCCAGGATAAAATGGCTTCTTGTGTGAATTCTACCAAACATGTAAAGAACTAATACCAATGCTTCTTAAATTCTTCCCAAAAATTGAAGAGAAATAAATACTTCCAAATTCATTTATGAGGCCAGCATAAACCTAATACCAAAACCAGGCAAGATACTGAGAGAAAAGAAAATTATAAGCCAATGTTCATGATGAACATAGATGCAGAAACCCTCAACAAAATACTAGCAAACCAAATTCAAGAGCACATTAAAAGAATCATTCACCATGACCAAACAGGATTTATCCTTGGGACGCAAGAGTGGTTCAGCCTATCCAAATCAATCAGTATAATATACCACATTAACAGAATGAGGGATAAAAATCATATGATCATTTTAATAGATGCAGAAAAAGTATTTGGCAAAATTCAAAACTCTTTCATAATAAAAACTCAACAAATTATGCAGAGAAGGAACTTAACACGATAAAGACTATATACGAAAAGCCCACAGCTAAAATCATACTCAATAGTGAAAATCTGAGTTTTTCCTCTAAGATCTGCACAAGATAAGGATGCCCACTCTTGCCAGTTTTATTCAACCTAGTACAGAAGTCCTAGCCAGAGCAATTAGGCAAGAATAAGAAATAGAAGGCATCCAAATAGGAAGGGAAGAAGTGAAATTTCCTGTCTTTGATCTTGCATATAGAAAAATCCAGAGGCCGGGCACGGTGGCTCACGCCTGTAATCCCAGCACTTTGGGAGGCTGAAGTGGGAGGATCACTTTAGCACAGGTTTTCGAGAAGAGCCTGGGCAACATAGCAAGACCCTGTCTGTATTGAATTTTTAAAAATTTTGAAAAAGAAAAAGGAAAACCCCAGAGACTCCACTAAAAATACTATTAGAACTGACGAACAAATTTAGTAAAGTTGCAAGATACAAAATCAGCATACAAAAGATCAGTAGCATTTCTATACACTAACAGTGAACTCTCTGAAAAAGAAATCAAGAAAACAATCCCATTTATAGTAACATTCTTTTAATTTAGGTATAAATTTAACCAAGGAGGTGAAGGATCTGTGTATTGAAACCTACAAAACATGCAAAACATTGGTGAAAGAATTTTAAGAGGACACAAATAAATAGAAAGATATCCTGTACTCATGAATTGGAAGAATTAATGTTGTAAAAATGAACATATTACCCAAAGTGATCTATAGATTCAGTGTAATGACTATCAAAATTTCAGTGACACTTTTTCACAGAAATAGAAAAAGCAATTCTAAAATTTATATGGAACCACAAAACACCTCAAATATCCAATGAAATCTTGAGCTAAAAGAACAAAGCTAAAGACATCACACTTCCTGATTTCCAAATATATTACAAAGCTACAGAAAGCAAAACAGCGTGATACTGGCATAAAAACAGACATAAAGATCAGTGGAACAGAAGAGAGAGCCCAGAAATAAATCCACACACTACAGCAAATTGATTTTCAACAAAGGTGTCAAGAACACACAATGGAAGAAGGATAAGTCTCTTTGATAAATGGTTTGAGAAAACTATATATCCACATGCAGAACAAGGAAATTGAACCCTTATCTCACACCATATACACAAATCAACTCAAAATGAGTGAAAGCCATGAACAAAAGACCAGAAGCTATAAAACTACTGTAAGAAAACATAGGGGAAATCTCCATGACATTGATCTGGGCAGTGATTTTCTGGATATGACCCCAAAAGCACAGGCAACAAAAGTAAAAACAGGTAAATGGGATTGCACCAAACTAAAAAACTTCTGCACAGCAAGGAAACAAAAGAGAAGAGTCAACCTATGAATTGGGAGAAAATATTTGCAAACCATACATCTGATAAGGCGTTAATTTCCAAAATATATAAAGAATTTAAAGACTGCTATAGCAAGAAAACAACCTAATTTAAAATTGGGCAAAGGACATGAATAGACATTTCTCAAAAGAAGACATACAAATGGTCAACATGTATATGGAAAAATGCTGAACGCAACAGACATACGCAAATTAAACAATGAGATATTACTTCACACTTAGGATGGCTGTTATCAAAAAGACAAAAGACAACAAATGTTGGCAAGGATGTGAGAGAAGGGGACCCTTGTACACTGTTGGTGGGAATGTAAATTAACACAGCCATTATGGAAAACAGTGTGGAAGTTCCTCAAAAAATGAAAAATAGAACTATATGATCCAGCAATCCCACTACTGAGTATGTATCCAAAGGAAATGAAATCAGTGTGTCAAAGAGATGTCTGCACTACCATGTTCATTGCAGCATTGCTCACAAAAGCCAAGATGTGGAAGCAACCTCAGTGTTCTTCAGTAGATGAACGGATAAACATAATGTATTGTATATACCCAGTGGAACACTATTCAGCTTTAAAAAAGAAGGAAATTTCTGTCATTTGTGACAACATGCATGAACCCAGAGGACGTTATGCTAAGTGAAATAAGCCAGGCACAGAAAGACAAATACTGCATGATCTCACTTATAAATAAAATCTAAAAAAACAATTTAACTTACAGAAGCAGAGAGTAGAATAGTGATTACCAAGGGTGGGAGGGGAAGATCAGGGAATGGAGAGATGTTGGTCAAAGGGTACAGAGTTTCCATTAGACAGGAGGAAAAAGTTCTGGAGATGTATTGTCCAGCATGATGACCATAATTAACAATATTATATTGTATATTTTTAATTGCTAAGAGAATAGATTGTAAATGTTCTCATCACACACAAAAAATGCTAAGCATGTAAGGTGATGGACATGTTAGTTAGCTTGACTTAATCATTCCACAATGTGTACATGTATCAAAACATCATGTTGTATACTGTATATATATTAAATTTTTGTCAATTATGCCCTAATAAAAAATAAAAAGAGAAAGTGGATCTTCTTGGCTAGTTAACAGTATGGGGAGGAAACCTTTCACTGTATTTATGTATAATTACTCTTTCATAACTTTTGAATTGTGAACCATGAAAATGTAATACTCAAAAATTTAAACTAATAAACTATAAAAGGAGAGAGATGAAATAAACCATATAATTGGTAAGACTTTAAAAGGCTTAACTGATAAGGCCACAGTGAAATTTATACTCCACAAATAAGGATTTCATCTTTTCAGCTGCTCATAATTATATATCCGACTATTTTTTTTAAGTCTTTACATTTCTGAAAGTTTTTTTTTACACTTTAAGTTTTAGGGTACATGTGCACAACGTGCAGGTTAGTTACATATGTATACATGTGCCGTGCTGGTGTGCTGCACCCACTAACTCGTCATCTAGCATTAGGTATATCTCCCAATGCTATCCCTCCCCCCTCCCCCCACCCCACAACAGGCCCCAGAGTGTGATGTTCCCCTTCCTGTGTCCATGTGTTCTCATTGTTCAATTCCCACCTATGAGTGAGAACATGCGGTGTTTGGTTTTTTCTCCTTGCGATAGTTTGCGCAGAATGATGGTTTCCAGCTTCATCCATGTCCCTTCAAAGGACATGAACTCATCGTTTTTTATGGCTGCATAGTATTCCATGGTGTATATGTGCCACATTTTCTTAATACAGTCTATCGTTGTTGGACATTTGGGTTGGTTCCAAGTCTTTGCTATAGTGAATAGTGCCACAATAAACATACATGTGCATGTGTCTTTATAGCAGCATGATTTATAACCCTTTGGGTATATACCCAGTAATGGGATGGCTGGGTCAAATAGTATTTCTAGTTCTAGATCCCTGAGGCATCGCCACACTGACTTCCACAATGGTTGAACTAGTTTACAGTCCCACCAACAGTGTAAAAGTGTTCCTATTTCTCCACATCCTCTCCAGCACCTGTTGTTGCCTGACTTTTTAGTGATCGCCATTCTAACTGGTGTGAGATGGTATCTCATTGTGGTTTTGATTTGCATTTCTCAGATGGCCAGTGATGATGAGCATGTTTTCATGTGTCGTTTGGCTGCATAAATGTCTTCTTTTGAGAAGTGTCTGTTCATATCCTTTGCCCACTTGTTGATGGCGTTGTTTTTTTTTTCTTGTAAATTTGTTTGAGTTCATTGTAGATTCTGGATATTAGCCCTTTGTCAGATGAGTAGATTGCAAAAATTTTCTCCCATTCTGTAGGTTGCCTGTTCACTCTGATGGTAGTTTCTTTTGCTGTGCAGAAGCTCTTTAGTTTAATTAGATCCCATTTGTCAATTTTGGCTTTGGTTGCCATTGCTTTTGGTGTTTTAGACATGAAGTCCTTGCCCATGCCTATGTCCTGAATGGTAATGCCTAGGTTTTCTTCTAGGGTTTTTATGGTTTTAGGTCTAACGTTTAAGTCTTTAATCCATCTTGAATTGATTTTTGTATAAGGTGTAAGGAAGGGATCCAGTTTCAGCTTTCTACATATGGCTAGCCAGTTTTCCCAGCACCATTTATTAAATAGGGAATCCTTTCCCCATTTCTTGTTTTTTCAGGTTTGTCAAAGATCAGATAGTTGTAGATATGCGGCATTATTTCTGAGGGCTCTGTTCTGTTCCATTGATCTATATCTCTGTTTTGGTACCAGTACCATGCTGTTTTGGTTACTGTAGCCTTGTAGTATAGTTTGAAGTCAGGTAGTGTGGTGCCTCCAGCTTTGTTCTTTTGGCTTAGGATTGACTTGGCAATGCGGGCTCCTTTTTGGTTCCATATGAACTTTAAAGTAGTTTTTTCTAATTCTGTCAAGAAAGTCATTGGTAGCTTGATGGGGATGACATTGAATCTATAAATTACCTTGGGCAGTATGGCCATTTTCACGATATTGATTCTTCCTACCCATGAGCATGGAATGTTCTTCCATTTGTTTGTATTCTCTTTTATTTCATTGAGCAGTGGTTTGTAGTTCTCCTTGAAGAGGTCCTTCACGTCCCTTGTAAGTTGGATTCCTAGATATTTTATTCTCTTTGAAGCAATTGTGAATGGGAGTTCACTCATGATTTGGCTCTCTGTTTGTTATTGGTGTATAAGAATGCTTGTGATTTTTGCACATTGATTTTGTATCCTGAGACTGCTGAAGTTGCCTATCAGCTTAAGGAGATTTTGGGCTGAGACGATGGGGTTTTCTAGATATACAATCATGTCATCTGCAAACAGGGACAATTTGACTTCCTCTTTTCCTAATTGAATACCCTTTATTTCCTTCTCCTGCCTAATTGCCCTGGCCAGAACTTCCAATACTATGTTGAATATGAGTGGTGAGAGAGGGCATCCCTGTCTTGTGCCCGTTTTCAAAGGGAATGCTTCCAGTTTTTGCTCATTCAGTATGATATTGGCTGTGGGTTTGTCATAGATAGCTCTTATTATTTTGAAATACGTCCCATCGATACCTAATTTATTGAGAGTTTTTAGCATGAGTGTTATTGAATTTTGTCAAAGGCCTTTTCTGCATCTATTGAGATAATCATATGGTTTTTGTCATTGGTTCTGTTTATATGCTGGATTATGTTTATTGATTTACATATGTTGAACCAGCCTTGCATCCCAGGGATGAAGCCCACTTGATCATGGTGGATAAGCTTTTTGATGTGCTGCTGGATTTGTTTTGCCAGTATTTTATTGAGGATTTTTACATCAATGTTCAAGGATATTGGTCTAAAATTCTCTTTTTTTGTTGTGTCTCTGCCAGGCTTTGGTATCAAGATAACGCTGGCCTCATAAAATGAGTTAGGGAGGATTCCCTCTTTTTCTATTGATTAGAATAGTTTCAGAAGGAATGGTACCAGCTCCTCCTTGTACCTCTGGTAGAATTCAGCTGTGAATCCATCTGGGCCTGGACTTTTTTTGGTTGGTAAGCTATTAATTATTGCCTCAATTTCAGAGCCTGTTATTGGTCTATTCAGAGATTCAACTTCTCCCTGGTTTGGTCTTGGGAGGGTGTATGTATCGAGGAATTTATCCATTTCTTCTAGATTTTCTAGTTTATTTGCATAAAGGTGTTTATAGTATTCTCTGATGGTAGTTTGTATTTCTGTGGGGTCGGTGGTGATATCCCCTTTAACATTTTTTATTGCATCTATTTGATTCTTCTCTCTTTTCTTCTTTATTAGTCTTGCTAGCAGTCTATCAATTTAGTTGATCTTTTCAAAAAACCAGCTCGTGGATTCATTGATTTTTTGAAGGGTTTTTTGTGTCTCTATTTCCTTCAGTTCTGCTCTGATCTCAGTTATTTTTTGCCTGCTGCTAGCTTTTGAATGTGTTTGCTCTTGCTTCTCTAGTTCTTTTAATTGTGATGTTAGGGTGTCAATTTTAACTGAACAACCTGCTCCTGAATTACTACTGGGTACATAACAAAATGAAGGCAGAAATAAAGATGTTCTTTGCAACCAACAAGAACAAAGACACAACATACCAGAATCTCTGGGACACATTCAAAGCAATGTGTAGAGGGAAATTTATAGCACTAAATGCCCACAAGAGAAAGCAGAAAAGTTTTACAGTTTCTAAGGTCCAAACAATGTCTGTGTTACAAGTGCTCCAGTACAATGAAGACCTGGGCAGCCACACCTTGATTCTGTGAGTCAAGGTGAGCCTTTGTCTGTTTTGTTTTGTTTTTTTGAGGCAGGATCTCACTCTGTCACCCAGGCTGGAGGGCAGTGGCTGGATCATAGCTCACAGCAGCCTCTACCTTCCAGGCTCAGGTAATCCTCCCACCTCAGCCTCCCAGATAGCTGGGAATACAGGTGTGCACCACCATGCCTGGCTAATGTTTTGTGTTTTTTTTTGTAGACATGGGGTTTCATCATGTTGCCTAGGCTGGGAAAAGATCATTTTTGCATGGCCAAATATGTTCACAACACATGCTTCACCTCTCGCCTTTCTCCACACTAGGATAAAACGATATTAGCCCTTGTCTCCCCACCCCCAATTTTTTAATTGCTCCATCTTCAAAGGCAACTGCTGTACTTAATTTGGAGTTTGTCATTCCCTTACATTCCTTTGTACTTGGACTACATGTGTATGTACCTGAGACTGGAGTATGGATTGTTGGTTTCACTCTGTGCATTTTGTACGATGGAGTAAGTTGACATGTGTTCTTATACATTATGCCTCTTTTCTCCCTACATTATGAAATTCATCCTGGTTAAGCACGTGCTGAATCCCAGCTCAGCTACTCACTAGCTGTGTGTCCCTGGCTGGGATACTGCACTGTATGTGTCCCAGTTCCCTCATCCATAAAACAGGGCAACAACAGCAACCCCCATGCGTCTGGTGTAGCAGCAAAGGAGTCTGTCTCTGTGAGGCTCTCAGAAGCATGCCTGGCGGATCCTAAGTGCTATGTACGGAGATGCTGGCTCCCTTTTAGAGCTGAGGAAACTGAGTCTCAGAGAGCTTATGCAGCTTGTCTTGGCCACATGACAAGTCATGAGCAGAGCCCTGGGGGCCAAACAGGAAGCGTGTCCTGTCATTGTCACCTTTATATCTCCTGGAATTCACAGCTCTCTATGGCAGTGAGTGAGTGCTCAGTGAACACTGTTGTATTGAACTGAATTATATGTTTTTTTAACAAATCTATAATAATTCTCCAGTAGTGCTAATCCTATGTGAACTGGATACTTTTTAACAAATATTTTATAATTTAGGAGGATAAAAGGTCTTTTGTCACTGTAGGGGATATAAATTAAATCACTGGTGAAAGAAACCAACTCATGAAAATGAAAGTTATTGCAAGAGTGGCTGTTGCCATTGGAGCCTAGCAGGAAGCAGTGGCATCCTCCCCCTGGATTTTGACGAGCTGTGGGCAGGGCTGGCACATCCAGCTGTTGCTGAGACGTTGAGGAAGCTATGACCTCCCCTAGAGTTTGTGGAACCTCCAGGAGCTGGAGTGGGTGGAATTAGGGAAGGAACTGGGCTCAGAAACGTCGAGACTCTCTCTCCATCTACACTGAGGCTGCTGCCCCCTGTTCATGAATCCAGCTAAGGGTAGATGGTAGGCAGGAGCCCCACCATGCCCCAGAAGGGGTCGGCCTGCAGGGTCCAGGGCCAGGCAGAGAGATGACACTGACCAGCACAAAAACTTCCTTTCAGACAGGGAAAACAGTCCTTCTCTTGATAGGGATCTATGAAAATGGTATGATTATTTTGGTTTTCACTAGGTTATTGAGGATATCATAGCAAACCAAGAGGAAGAAGAAAAAAACAAAAAGAAGAAGAAGAAAAAGGAAAAACAACCCAAGAAAGCCAAAAAACAAAAGAAAGGAACAAAGGAGAAAAATAAGGTAAAATATTTGTATGAAATTTTAGAAATTTGATTTCATTTTCTTTTTATTGACTTCTTTGCTTTGAGTCAATGAGATATTTACAAATCTGTTGGGAGTGCAGCCGTTTGTTTCCTAGAGAAACCATGTTATCTACCAACAGGTTTTCAGTTTTTAAATATTGATTGGCAATCCATTGCCACATTTTCTATAACTTGTAAGTATCAATTAGGATCAATCGTGATTTCAACAACTCAGATACCTCACATGTTTTTTCACATACGTGATAGCTTTGAGTTTTCCTTCCTCAAAATAAATTATCCCACTTGTCTTTCCTCAATGGTAGAGAGAAGTAAAAATGCTTAACAAACCAAGTAAACACTGGAAAGTCAAAATAATCATACTAATTTAACCAAAATGTGTTTGTTCAAATTTATCATCTAGCGCTGACATCTGGATATATTTTAACAGAAGTATTTGTTACCAAAGGAAATCAGAGTTCACACAGTGTCACATTGGGCCCGTCCTTCCGTCGTGTAGGGGGGTTGGAAGCGGAGGTGGAATGAACTTGCCAATAACTGGGGGGGTCTTCATGGTGAAGCCTGCAGGAGAAGTGAACTCTTAGGGCCCATATGCTTTCAGCATAAACACTTTCTATGAGAAACGGATCTCAGGCTTGAAGATGGCCTCATCCTAAAACATGACTATGTTTGAAGTAGAGTGTGTTGCAGTCAGATACCACTTCATGGCTGACCAAAATCCAGTCGGAATCAGCTCTGAAGAGTGGATTCTTAAAGACATTTATGCAGCAGCCAACAAACATATGAAAAGAAGCTCATTATCACTGGTCATTAGAGAAATGCAAATCAAAACCACAATGAGATACTATCTCACGCCAATTAGAATGGTGATTATTAAAAAGTGTGGAAACAACAGAAGCTGGCAAGGCTGTGGAGAAATAGGAACACTTTTACACTGTTGGTGAGAGTGTAAATTAGTTCAACCATTGTGGAAGACAGTGTGGCGATTCCTCAAGGACCTAGAACCAGAAATACCATTTGACCCAGCAATCCCATTACTGGTATATACCCAAAGGATTATAAATCATTCTGTAAAGACACATGCACACGTGTGTTTACTGCAGCACTATTTACAATAGCAAAGACTTGGAACCAACCCAAATGCCCATCAATGATAGACTGGATAAAGAAAATGTGGCACATATACACCATGGAATACTATGCAGCCATAAGAAAGAATGAGTTCATGTCTTTTGCAGATACATGAATGAAGCTGAAAACTATCATCCTCAGCAAACTAACACAGGAACAGAAAACCAAACACCACATGTTCTCACTCATAAGTGGGAGTTGAACAATGAGAACACATGGGCACAGGGAGGGGAACATCACACACAGGGGCCTGTTAGGGGATGGGGGGCAAGGGGAGAGAGAGCATTAGGACAAATACCTAATGCATTCGGGGCTTAAAACCTAGATGACGGGTTGATAGGTGCAGTAAACCACCATGGCACATGTATACCTATGTAACAAACCTGTACGTTCTGCACATGTATCCCAGAACTTAAAGTAATATAAAAAAAAAAAAAAGATCATGATCCTGCTGTGACTCCAGTCTGCATCAGCTCTTCAGAGTGGATTGATAGAGGTTATGATCCACAGTGACTGTTGAGAGGCAGTGACCCAGCTCCAGCTCAGACAGCCACAGTCGTGCTCCTCATGTTACAAGGATGTTCTGACCAGCACACAGACTCGCAAACTTCTGTGTGGGAGGAGCAGCTCCGAGGGTCTGGCAGACTGTGTCTGGGAACCCTGGTGCCAGGTCACAGTGAGAGAGAAAAGGGATAGCCTGTGCAGTCAAGCAAGACGAGCTACTTGAGTTAGAAGTTACGAGCAAGGGAGAGAGGGTAATGGTAAACATAAAATCACAGCACCCAAATCTGGCACGATGTAGGCAATGGTAACAAAAGCCAACATTTTGGCTGGGCATGGTGGCTCACGCCTGTAATCCCAGCACTTTGGGAGGCCGAGGCAGGCAGATCACCTGAGGTCAGGAGTTCGAGACCAGCCTGGCCAACATGGTGAAACCCCATCTCTACTAAAAATACATACCTGCAATCCCAGCACTTTGGGAGGCCAAGGCAGGCAGATCACCTGAGGTCAGGAGTTCAAGACCAGCTTGACCAATATGGTGAAACCCCATCTCTACAAAAATACAAAAATGAGCCAGGCATTGTTTTGGGTGCCTGTAATCCCAGCAACTCAGGAGGCTGAGGCAGGAGAATTGCTTGAACCCAGGAGGCGGAGGTTGCAGTGAGCCAATAATGTGCCACTGCACTCCAGCCTGAGTGACAGAGTAAGACTCTGTCGCAAAATTATTTATATATATATATATATATATATATATATATATATATATATATATATAAATATATATATATGTAAATAAATAAATAAAAGCCAACATTGTGTTCAAAGCTCCGGGCATGACTGCGGCTGGCCGACTGAAGGCAGTGGTTCCTTTCACATGCTCGGCTCCTGCACTGTGACCCGCAGTGGTTCTTCCGTCTGCCTCCATTTGTCTTCATCCCTTTCTTTAACCACGTTCCACTGATGTTCACTGAATGAACAAAAGAAGAGACCCCTTACTGCTCATTTGGGGCACAACCCAATTCACTGGCAGTAGATGCTGAGTTGGGCCCCTTGGATACCCCTTTCAGGACCAAGGCACTCAAGCACCTGGCTCCCCACATGACAGTGCTGACACTCACAGCTAAATCCCACCCCAGGAATTGCTCCAGTCTAAGGGAGCCACTACAGGCGAGGTTACACCACTTCTGGGGCAGCTGCATCCAAGGACAGTCACGTGATAGTACCAAAGCCCAGCCCCCTCACCTTGCCTGGACAACTCCAAGGGTTCTCCCAGCTTCTGTTGCTCCCTTTGGGATTAGCTGATAGCTCTCTTGCAATTGCATCATAACTTAGCTTCTCCCTCTGCCCAGGGCTGCTTCCCTCCCTCTCTTCCTTCTGGGTGGTGTTCCCAGTAGACCACCTACATCCATCTCCATCTGAGTGTTTCCAGGGAACCCGATCTGGGAGACCACCTAGGGCCCTATTGTTCTGCCTATACCCCAGAAGTTCTAGCTTGTTCTGGAAAAAAAAAGCCCCCTGAATACAGTTAATTTTAAAAATCATACTCTTACTCTGCGAGACAATTTTGAAGAAGTGCCTAAGAATAAAGAGAATTGGAAGCATTCCAATTTTATTCTAAGAATCTCTTCCTCTAAATATGCACAAGGGAGTTTTATACTTGCAAATTAAAAATTCGCTGTTAGTGAAGCTTGTTCCGTGTAAATCTGAAATTACCAGCTACACAATCTGGTCTTTGTTGGGTGAAAGTATTTTATTAACTAGCTATTAAAGAGTCACTTAACGATGAACAGTTTTGAACAAAAAGCAAAGTTTAAGAACATCAGCATTTATGAAATGCTTGCAAATGAAGGGGAAACGCCTTCAGAATCAGAAATGAAGTTTTTCATGAAAAATGCAGATCTGCATAGTGACAATGTGATTATTAAAAGAAGAAATGGTCATCTCTAATAAAAATTGATATATTTAAGTTATGCTGCTACCCTTTCCAGAGACTTTTAAAAGTCTTACTCTGGTATCAACCCTAGAGTACCTCAAACCATTCCTGAGACCAGTTATTCAAATCCTTTTGTGAGAACTGACATTTTGACTTATAGCAAAAGGCACTATAATTCCTCATGGTTAGAGGGCAAGGGAGAAGAGAGAGGAAAATAGTTGTGTCTAACTTGTCTGGACGCTGGCTTATCCCAGCCCTCACAGGGCCCAGCTGCATGATTGTTCTTTCACTATTTTGACAAGACCACATATCAATTGCCAGTTCTATATGCATAATTGGAAAACTTGAAAAGACCTCATGTTTTAATTGAAATATTAATATGTTAGTTGAAATATTCAGATAGGATTAGATAGGATAATCCTATCTGAATATTTCAACTAACCTCTTTAAATGGAAAATAGGTTATTTTCTGAATGTCACACAGGTAGAGAGCTAAAAGCTTTACATGTCCATGAGATCGTTACAAATTAACATAAATATGAAAAAATCTATTATAAGTGCAAAAAAAGTCATGAGAACTGCTGAATGTTTCGGTTGAATTTCACAATGAATCAGTGTTTCTGTGTGAATTTCCAATTTATTGCAGGGCTAGTGGAGTGAGAAAGAGCAGGATTGTCATGGTGGATCTCTGTAATTGTACACAAGACCATTTTAGAATAAAATATCTTGTGATTAATAATCTTGCCTGCATTTGATCTTTTCATCAAGAAACTTGGTGAAACAGTTTAATGTTTAAAATATGAACGTTCGCAGTTCCTTATTTGGATCCATCTGGAGCCCCTCCATACTGAGATACTGAAAGACAGAAGAAAACAGAACATTCTGGGATGTTCGTCTTCAGCTCAGGGCTAGTGGAAGAGAAAACACAAAAGCACAGTAGTCCTGCCCAGTGGCTCACACCTGTAATCCCAGCACTTTGGGAGGCTTGGTCAGGAGGATCACTTGAGGCCAGGAGTTGGCACCCAGCCTGGGCAACACAGCGAGACCCCATCTGTACTAAAAACAAAAAAAGAAGCGCAATAAATACATTCAAATAAGAGGTTCTAAAAATTAGTCTCTCATTCATAGGCAACAAAATGAATCTCTAGGTAAACTTCACACCTTACACAAGTATTAAACTCAAAATCGGTCATGGACTTAAACATAAAACTATGAAGCTTTGAGATTAAAACATAGGAAAAACATCCTCAGAATCTAGAGCTAGGCAAAGAGGTCTTAGACTGGACACCAGAAGCAGGATCCATAAAAGGGAAAATGTATAAATTGGGCCTCATCAAAATCAGAAACTGTTGCTCTCTGAAAGACCCAGTGAAGAGGATGAAAAAAAAGCTATGGATGGGAGAAAATATTTGCAAACTATCTATCTGAAAAGGATTAGCACCTAGAATATATACAGAACTCTCAAAAAAAATAGTCTTTCTTTTGAGTTCTCAGTTTTAAATCCAGAATTGTTGTGGACTGCAGTTAAGGAATGCTCTGTGGAAAGCACTTTAACAGAAGACAATGCTAGTGCCAGGAGGACATTTTCTGCTAACTGATAGCAGTCCTGCAAAGGTGCTTTCAATACCAAAGTAATCGCCTTTGTCTCACAGTTGTGTGGCCCTCACATTGGCTTTAGAAACAAAAGTCGCAGTAATAGAGCACTATGCAATCATCCTTACAACTGTTTCCTCTGTTATTTTTCAAGCCACATGTTAGACCATTTGGAATGATTTAAAGTGGTATTGACCTGTCATAACATGATCACATGAACATTAATGAGTCTTCTCTAAATGCACTCCAGCCTCAAAATGCTTTAACTTAGTGCTAACTTCTTCTGGAAAGACCCTTGGACCTTTATACAGCACAATTCACATTGAAAACATTTGTTTATCTGCAGTGCCAGCAGACCTAACTCTGACCACAGCTCCTCCTCTCCAATCCCTTGGCCCAAAGAGGTGCTCCAAATTGAACCATTAAGCCAACCACATTCTTAGGTTATTTTAGAACATTTCAAACCAAATTTTGCATGACTTTACAAAAATGGACAAGTGAATGTCATGCATTTCCAAAGGAAGTTATCAGGAATGAGGGTGCCATCAAGGAAATGTATGTCTGGAGCATCTTCTGTGCCCACTGAAATACAATAAGAGAAGAAGATGGAAAGAAGTGAGAGGTTGGCTTGTGGGTGACAGAGATAATAGAGTCCTTAGCCTAGGGAACAGGGACCCCATGGTTAAACACCCTGCAGTTGTTTGTAAACTTTCATGGGAAGGAACATTCTCTGGGGAAAAGGTGTGTGGACTTTCTTCATGTTTTCAAGAGGTCCCTTTTATAAAAAGCTCAAAAATCACTGCTTAGAGAAAGGATATATTTGGTTACACAGGCAAAGGGCCAATGGAGGCACTGCAGACTCAAAGGAGAGTGATGATCTTAGGCACCAGAGTGGCAGGGGAGGCTTCATGAGGGATATGGAATGGCAGGAGACTCTTTCAGGAGCCTACGCTCACAGCCCAAGTCTGCCCACATCTCCCCATCTCCACGGCAACCACCTGACCAAGAGGCATCATTGCCTCTCACAGCTGCAACTATACCAGCCTCCCAGCCAGTGCCCCCACCTCCTCTCCTGCCATTCTACAGCCTATTCCCCTACAGCAGCTAGAGTGACCCAAACTCTGATCGGCATCTCTGACAGCTCTTGGAACTCAAGAGCTATGCAGTAATTATTTTTGAAGACATGAATAAATGCTCAGATGAAGATCTGCCCTTGGGTGAAAGTACTGGATATAAAAAGATGAAATAGACGCAAGAGACATCTCGAAGGATGCAAGAGATACCACAAAGGATGACTTGCCTGGCTGACAGCGTGTGGAAGAAACAGGAGACCAAGGAATTGAAGTGAACTCCAGGTATCTTGAGTGGAACAGAGGTAAGATTAAGAACAGATGGACCGGCTGGCTTTAGAGCTATTGAGTCAAACCATTGTCTATGGTTCAACAGCTGGAAGTTCAGGACAAACTCAGGAGAGATAAAGACCAGTGGTGCGGATCAGGACATATCCCTGCACAGGAAAACTCTAGTTGAAGGTGGGGCACGGATGAGGTATAGGAAAATTCATGTGAATGGAGGCTGGAGAATCTGGATTACAGCCACATATTGAGGCAGCAGGAAGAGCTAAAACCAACTGGGGGATGGGAACAGCATGGAAGGCAGGAAGAAATCCAGCACCATGAACTTCCTATATAGTCTTCCAACTGGGAATTTCTGGAAGGATAAAAGGAAGGTTTTCTTTCTGCCTCCTGAGTCCCTCTGCCATGAGAAGTGAGAATTGGCTGGGCGCAGTGGCCCACGCCTATAATCCAGCACTTGGGGAGGCCATGATGGAAGGATCACTTGAATCCAGAAGTTCGAGACCAGCCTGGGCAACATAGGGAGACCCCCATCCCTACAAACAATTTTTTTTTCTTTTTTTTTTATTATTATACTTTAAGTTTTAGGGTACATATGCACAATGTGCAGGTTAGTTACATATGTATACATGTGGCATGCTGGTGCGCTGCACCCACTAACTCGTCATCTAGCATTAGGTATATCTCCCAATGCTATCCCTCCCCCCTCCCCCCACCCCACAACAGTCCCCAGAGTGTGATGTTCCCCTTCCTCTGTCCATGTGTTCTCATTGTTCAATTCCCACCTATGAGTGAGAATATGCGGTGTTTGGTTTTTTGTTCTTGCGATAGTTTACTGAGAATGATGATTTCCAATTTCATCCATGTCCCTACAAAGGACATGAACTCATCATTTTTTATGGCTGCATAGTATTCCATGGTGTATATGTGCCACATTTTCTTAATCCAGTCTATCATTGTTGGACATTTGGGTTGGTTCCAAGTCTTTGCTATTGTGAATAATGCCACAATAAACATACATGTGCATGTGTCTTTATAGCAGCATGATTTATAATCCTTTGGGTATATACCCAGTAATGGGATGGCTGGGTCAAATGGTATTTCTAGTTCTAGATCCCTGAGAAATTGCCACACTGACTTCCACAATGGTTGAACTAGTTTACAGTCCCACCAACAGTGTAAAAGTGTTCCTATTTCTCCACATCCTCTCCAGCACCTGTTGTTGCCTGACTTTTTAATGATTGCCATTCTAACTGGTGTGAGATGGTATCTCATTGTGGTTTTGATTTGCATTTCTCTGATGGCCAGTGATGCTGAGCATTTTTTCATGTGTTTTTTGGCTGCATAAATGTCTTCTTTTGAGAAGTGTCTGTTCATGTCCTTCACCGACTTTTTGATGGGGTTGTTTGTTTTTTCTTGTAAATTTGTTTGAGTTCATTGTAGATTCTGGATATTAGCCCTTTGTCAGATGAGTAGGTTGCGAAAATTTTCTCCCATTTTGTAGGTTGCCTGTTCACTCTGGTGGTAGTTTCTTTTGCTGTGCAGAAGCTCTTTAGTTTAATTAGATCCCATTTGTCAATTTTGGCTTTGGTTGCCATTGCTTTTGGTGTTTTAGACATGAAGTCCTTGCCCATGCCTATGTCCTGAATGGTAATGCCTAGGTTTTCTTCTAGGGTTTTTATGGTTTTAGATCTAACGTTTAAGTCTTTAATCCATCTTGAATTGATTTTTGTATAAGGTGTAAGGAAGGGATCCAGTTTCAGCTTTCTACATATGGCTAGCCAGTTTTCCCAGCACCATTTATTAAAAAGGGAATCCTTTCCCCATTGCTTGTTTTTCTCAGGTTTGTCAAAGATCAGATAGTTGTAGATATGTGGCATTATTTCTGAGGGCTCTGTTCTGTTCCATTGATCTATGTCTCTGTTTTGGTACCAGTACCATGCTGTTTTGGTTACTGTAGCCTTGTAGTGTAGTTTGAAGTCAGGTAGTGTGATGCCTCCAGCTTTGTTCTTTTGGCTTAGGATTGACTTGGCGATGCGGGCTCTTTTTTGGTTCCATATGAACTTTAAAGTAGTTTTTTCCAATTCTGTGAAGAAAGTCATTGGTAGCTTGATGGGGATGGCATTGAATCTGTAAATTACCTTGGGCAGTATGGCCATTTTCACGATATTGATTCTTCCTACCCATGAGCATGGAATGTTCTTCCATTTGTTTGCATCCTCTTTTATTTCCTTGAGCAGTGGTTGAAATGGATAAATTCCTCGACACATACACTCTCCCAAGACTAAACCAGGAAGAAGTTGAATCTCTGAATAGACCAATAACAGGAGCTGAAATTGTGGCAATAATCAATAGCTTACCAACCAAAAAGAGTCCAGGACCAGATGGATTCACAGCCGAATTCTACCAGAGGTACAAGGAGGAGCTGGTACCATTCCTTCTGAAACTATTCCAATCAATAGAAAAAGAGGGAATCCTCCCTAACTCATTTTATGAGGCCAGCATCATCCTGATACCAAAGCCGGGCAGAGACACAACCAAAAAAGAGAATTTTAGACCAATATCCTTGATGAACATTGATGCAAAAATCCTCAATAAAATGCTGGCAAACCGAATCCAGCAGCACATCAAAAAGCTTATCCAGCATGATCAAGTGGGTTTCATCCCTGGAATGCAAGGCTGGTTCAATATACACAAATCAATAAATGTAATCCATCATATAAACAGAACCAAAGACAAAAACCACATGATTATCTCAATAGATGCAGAAAAGGCCTTTGACAAAATTCAGCAACCCTTCATGCTAAAAACTCTCAATAAATTAGGTATTGATGGGACGTATTTCAAAATAATAAGGGCTATCTATGACAAACCCACAGCCAATATCATACTGAATGGGCAAAAACTGGAAGCATTCCCTTTGAAAACGGGCACAAGACAGGGATGCCCTCTCTCACCACTCCTATTCAACATAGTATTGGAAGTTCTGGCCAGGGCAATCAGGCAGGAGAAGGAAATAAAGGGTATTCAATTAGGAAAAGAGGAAGTCAAATTGTCCCTGTTTGCAGACGACATGATTGTATATCTAGAAAACCCCATTGTCTCAGCCCAAAATCTCTTTAAGCTGATAGGCAACTTCAGCAAAGTCTCAGGATACAAAATCAATGTACAAAAATCACAAGCATTCTTATACACCAACAACAGACAAACAGAGAGCCAAATCATGAGTGAACTCCCATTCACAATTGCTTCAAAGAGAATAAAATACCTAGGAATCCAACTTACAAGGGATGTGAAGGACCTCTTCAAGGAGAACTACAAACCTACAAACAATTTTTATAAAATTAGCCAGGCATGATGGTGTGTGCCTGTGGTCCCAGCTACTCAGGCAGCTGAAGCAGGAGGATCTCCTGAGCCTGGGAGGAAGGCTGCAGTGAGCTAGTATTGCACCACTGCACTCTAGCCTGGGCAACAGAGGGAGACTCTGTCTCAAAAAAAGAAAAAAAATTAGGCTCTACCAGCAAGATGTGATGGCGTGATGTCTCACAAGAAGTCCTCCACTCCCAGACATGGGTCCCTCGGCTTCCTGCCTCGGAAGTGCACAGCACGCATCGTGGGAAGGTGAAGAGCTGCCCTAAGGATGACCCTTCCAAGCCGGTCCACTTCGCAGCCTTCCTGGGATACAAGGTTGGCATGACCCACATCGTGCAAGAAGTCAACAGGCTAGGATCCAACGTGAACAAGAAGGAGGTGGTAGAGGCTGTGACTATTGTGGAGACACTGCCATGGTGGCTATGGGCATTGTGGGCTATGTGGAAACCCCTCAAACCTCAAGGCCTCCAGACCTTCAAGACCATCTTCGCTCAGTACATCAGCGATGAGTGCAAAAAGCACTTCTCTAACAACTGGCATAAATCTAAGAAGGAGGCCTTTACCAATTACTGCAAGAAATGGCAGAATATGGATGGCAAGAAGCAGCTGGAGCAGGACTTCAGCAGCATGAAGAAGCACTGCCAAGTCATCCATGTCACTGCCACACCCACATATACCTGCTTCCTCCACGCCAGAAGAAGGCCCCGCTGATGGAGATCCAGGTGAACAGAGGCACCGTGGCCAAGAAGCTGGACTGGGGCCGGGAGAGGCTAGAGCAGCCCATACCTGTGAACCAAGTGTTTGGGCAGGATGAGATGATTGACGTCTTCAAGGTGACCAAGGGCAAAGACTACAAAGGGGTCACAAGTCATTGACACACCAAGAAGCTACCCTGCAAGACCCACTGAGGCTTGCGCAAGGTGGCCTGGATTGGGGCATGGCATCCTGCCTGTGTGGCCTTCTCTGTGGCACGTGCTGGGCAGAAAGGCTACCATCACCGCACTGAGATCACAAGAAGATTGATCTCTAAGATCGGCCAGGGCTACCTTATCAAGGACGACAAACTGATCAAGAACAATGCCTCCACTGACCATGACCTTCCTGACAAGAATATCAACTCTCTGGGTGGCTTTGTCCCATATGGTGAAGTGACCAGTGGCTTTGTCATGCTGAAGGAATGTGTGGTGGGAACCAAGAAGTGAGTGCTCACCCTCCACAAGTCTTTGCTGGCTGAGACCAAACAGCGGGCTCTGGAGAAGACTGACCTTAAGTTCATTGACACCACTGCCAAGTTTGGCCATGGCTGCTCCCAGACCATGGAAGAGAAGAAAGTATTCATGGAAAATATTCATGAAACCACTCAAGAAAGACCAAATTGCAGTAGAAGACGGAGCTTAATGCCAGGAATAGATTTTGCAGCTGCTGAGGTCTCACTAAAAGTTATTTTCCACTGAAAAAAAAAAAATGAGGAGTGAAAACTAAGGCTATGATGGAGGCAGTGAGGAGGTTCTTTAAAGAGAGAGAGGATCACAGGGGGGAAATGATGCAGCAGAGGTGAGGAGAAGGCTTGAGAAGAAAGTGTAGTCAGGGCACTCCAGAGAAACAAAATCAATAGGAGAGCGATATATAAAAAGTACATGTGGCCCGTGTGTGTGTGTATATATAGATATCTTCTGTGCCCTTTTATATTTATATAGAGAAAGATTCATTCATTATAAGGTATTGGTTCCTTTGGTTATGGAGCCTGAGAAGTCCCACCATCTGCCGTCTACAAGAGGGGGCCCCAGGAGAGCTGGTGGTAGAGTTCAAAAGCCAGAGAGCTGAGGGCCCATGGTGTAGACTCCAGCCCAAGTCTGAGGACTGGAGAGCCAGTAACCAGCTGGCAGCTTGCATGGCCCATGTGAGAAATGTGGTTTATTTCTTACTACCGTACTCATAACCAAGAAGCTCTTTCCGACAAAAATTAACCCAGATACCATCAAAGAAACTTGTGACAAATGTATTTAGGACACAGCTGTACATTTTTAGACTTCCCACTGTAGATTCTCTCCTATCTCTTGTATTTCTTTTGTGGGGGAAAGAGTAGCACTCTGCAGCCCTCAAAGCCATGAGGAATGTTGATTCCCTAGTGCTGTCGCAAATGCATGAGCAGAAAGTAAAATGACGAGCTAAATGCAAGCTCAAAAATAGTGGAGATGTGGCTGGGCGCGGTGGCTCATGCCTGTAATCCCAGCACTTTGGGAGGCCGAGGCAGGCGGATCACGAGGTCAAGAGATTGAGACCATCCTGGCCAACATGGTGAAACCCCATCTCTACTAAATATACAAAAAATTAGCCAGGCGTGGTGGTGGGCGCCTGTAGTCCCAGCTACTTGGGAGGCTGAGGCAGGAGAATGGCATGAACCCGGGAGGCAGAGCTTGCAGTGAGCCGAGATTGTGCTACTGCACTCCAGCCTGGGCAACAGAGTGAAACTCCATCTCAAAAAAAAAAAAAATAGTGGAGATCCTTGATCTGTTTTTCAAGTTTAGTTGCATAAGCTATCACGTTGTTTGGTGCATATTAATTTTTAAATATAGTGTTCAGCCATTATAGTTTCTGGGTTGGTTTTCACTTCTGAATCTAGAGAAGGGGATTATTATTTCACTCTCAGATCAGTGGGAAATCGTCAGCCTCTTCAAAATCGCTGGTCGACCTCTCCCCCACCCCAGGATACGGACCCAGAGGGGAGGAGCAGGTAATCTGAAAGCCGCTGAGAACAGATGTATTTCAAAATATATAACCTCATTTCAAAAAATCTAACAGTTGCAGCCCTATTTGAATTTTTCCACAGCCCTACCAGTGTGAGATGTTAGCCATCCCTCAACAGCCTACTTCAGATGCACATATTTACCAATAGAAAATTTTCAACAAAACCTCCATGCATTTGAATCGCTCTTTAAGCCAGGCAGGAAATAATAGCAGTAGTTAACATTTGGGGAGGGCAAGAAGAAGGCGCACGGTTTATCTCTGACTGCCCTCCTAATTTCACAAAGATATTTTGATAACAAAGCCTCTTCTGGAAACATTTGCATTTGCATCTCTGCATCTCTCAGTATGTCCCATTGACTCTCAGTAAGAAACTTTAGAAACGTTCTCCATGTAGCATTTATCTGTGTTGTGTAAGGGACAAAGTTCACACAGTAGCCGGAAACTTACGAAAAATGGTCAGTTTCCATAAACCAGCTTTTTAAATATGCACTAGTCCCCCCTTATTCTCAGTTTCACTTTTCGCAGTTCCAGTTACCCACGGTCAAGTGTGACCCATAAGTATTAAATGGAAAATTCCTGAGTTTTGAATTGTGCACCATTCTTCGCAGTGTGAATGAAGTCTTACACCATCCTGTCCCATCCCACCATGGACGTGAATCATCCCTTTGTCCAGCATGTTCATGCTGTATACACTACCTGCCTGTTTCTGTATAGGAAAAAGTATAGTGTATGTAGTGGTTGGTACGATCCGAGGCTTCAGGTGTGCACTGGGGTCTTGGAATGTATCCTCCTTGGAGAAAGGAGGACTACTATCGTCTAAATCAAATCGAGAGGCCTCCATAAGTTTATTTTCACTTAACAACTGCTTTGTCCTGAGTGATTTATAACTGATTGGGCCATGAAGAGAAAGTGAGAGGCCGATGAGAAAGCAACTGTCTGCTCTAAAGGAAGCTTTCTGTGCGGTTGAGCATCTTAGCGGTACCCAGAGACCGGGCAGGTCAAGTCTCAGTACTACTAACTGTGATATTTGAGGAGCCCCAGAGAAAGCAAGGCCCAGAAAACTGGAGCCATGGAAATGGCTCAGTTTGCAAAAAAAGGCAAGAAAGTTGGATGCAACAAACCACAGATCATGGCATGCTGGTGTGGCCAAGCAGAGAAGGCAGATACTACAGTGACTCAACTCTGAGGTCGGTCTGCAGGTGAGAACGCACTTCTCCTCCCACCTGTTCATTATTTGTTCAGCCAGCAAGTGTGGAAAGCAATGGAGATGGAAAATGGCGGAGGCATGAATAAACACTCCCCTCCAGAAGCATGAAGTCACTTAGGTGGGCCAAATGTAAGAAATTTACATTTGTTGGGTGCCATGGTCTGAATTTTTGTGTTCACCCACCTACAAAAAATTCATACATTGAAAGCTAATCACCAATGTGGTGGTGTTAGGAGGTGGGGCCTCTGAGGGTGATTAGGTCCTGAGGGCAGAGCCCCTGTGATTGAGATTAGTGCCTTTGTGAAAGAGACCCCAGAGAGCTGCTTTGCCCCTTCCGCGGAGTGAAGACATGGCTAGAAGGTGCAGTCTCTGAAGCAGAGAGCAGCCCCCACCAGACACAGAATCTGCACCTTGATCTAGGACTTGCCAGTTTCCGGAACTGTGAAAAATGCATTTCTTTTGTTTATAAGGCACTTAGTGTATACTATTTTCTTATAGCAGCCTGAGCCGGTCAAGTCATTACGAATAAACACCTAAAAACCATTCATATAATTTCAAAGCAGGAGATATCTGTCTACATGGTATATGCATTAAAAAGATAGGAGGACTTTGTTAACTCCAGGCCCATGGTGTGCTGGGAATGTCCAGACAGTGGCATAACTGCAGGCCACCTTCACATGCCGCAAAGGCCAAGGAGGTTACCGGCCGTGGCTCCACCATGACCATTAAACCAGCACCGTTGCTTGACTGGGAGCCTGGGTAGCTAGAACAGTCCACAGAAGATGGCCAGGAGGGCGAATAATCTGGAAATCTCTTTTGAGCGATGGGGATAGGAGTCAGGAAGGCTTCATCTGGAGCAGACTTAGGGCATGAAGAGGGTGCAGACTCCCTGAGGCTCCAGGAACTGGGCCTCAGCTGATGGAAGGACAACTTCAATGAATCTATGGCCTTCAGTCTAGCTGCCTGGGGTGGTTTTAGGAAAAAACGACTCCCAATATCCACACACCTTGGAAGAAATTCTCACTTAATTGAGCATAATTGGTCTAGGGCAGAGCTGGGGCATTGGATTTTTTTTCTTTTTTCTTTCTTTTCTTTTCTTTTTCTTTTTCTTTTTTTTTTTTTTTTTTAACTCTCCATTGGGTTAAGTCAAAAAAGTTGTCTGACAGTGGAGTGGGCCACCCACCCTGTGTAGAGGAAGAGAGCATCAGAACTCGGGTCATGGCTAGCCTTCCTCACCTCAGGAAGTGGGCCAGAGTGTGCAAGGCCAGCCACAGTGGTGGGATGGGATCTGGGAAGGCGACCCCTGGTTTCTATTCGGGGAAACGTGTGTGTGACAGTTACAGGGAAGCCCTGGACCTGGGAACCACCTAGTAAAAGGCATCGGGGGAAGAGGGGCTGTGGTGTGTTGCAGTCGGGGCCCCGAGGCACAGCGAGCGAGGATCGGGGAGGCAGGAGGACTCAAGGATCTCAGAGGCAGGCCCTGTGCAGTTCTAGTATCTAGTGAGTCCCACCCTTAGTAGCTGCTCAGGAAAGGTTCACAGGTAAATAGGTAGGCTCATGCACTTTCATTTGTAAAAATCAAGATAAGGCCACAAAGTTAGGAAATGAAAAGCAAATAAAATGAAGTTCAGCCACACCAACTAAAGAAATATAATTTTTTTTAAATACCATGTTACACCTATTCATCCAGCAAAACTTTTAAGCCATAAACTATGATTCTGCTATAACAGATGGATATCACATATGCATGCAAACTAGCCTCCTCCCCACCCCTCAACCCCCAGTTCCAGCCAGAGTGATGTCCCAAGGGGCCATTCCCTTCACACCAGGCTCCTGGGTAGCTGCCCTGCTCATAAGCCAACTCCAAGCTCCCTGCAGCTCTTGGTCCTTTCAAGAGCCATCCTCTTTCTCTGTGTCTCCATCTCTGTCCCCCTGTCTCTCTTTTCCTCCCTCTTCTCTCTGCCTCTCTCTCTCTCCCGCCACTCCAGCCTCATGTCTGTCTGCCCAGCCCCACGCAGTCCTCACGGCTGCCGAACCTCCTTCAGCCATCCCTGTGAGACACAGCCTCCCCATCTGGACTTCACACATGCTGTTCCTTCTGCTGGAAACCCTTTGTCACACCTCAGTCTCCTTCCCTGGAGCCCTCCCCCTCCCCCTCCTCCTCTTCCTTGCCTTCATCCATCCCTAAGAGCACAGCCTCACCAGTGTAGGGGCTCCCAGAGACCAAACATAGAACAATCTGAGTATCCAAAACAAAAATGGCAATAATAGACAATAACATTGACGAAAAAGTAATAAAGATGTATGACTCCTTAGTGATACCTGGAAAGAGAGAGACAGACAGACAGACAGATGATAAATAATATATCTGAGGATAAATATACTAATTAAAGTGATTTTAAATTTCTCTTTCGTTCATGAATTCTCCCTCTTTCCTCCCAGGCCTTGCTTTATCCACTACTAGTCTTTTTCTTGCTGCTCTTGCAGGCTTTTCTCTAATGCCTGGGTCTCTTGGGAGCCAGGAATGGGGCGTAGCTAACCCAAGCCTTGTGTCGTAGGTGGGACTTTCTTACCAGAGAGCTTTGATTTAGTGTGCGCTCTGGAAGGTGGGTGAGCTGTGTCATAGGCTTTGGGCCCCCTGGTGTTTCTGGGTCCAGGTTCTCTCCCTGGTTCCCCGCTGGCTGCAGCTCCCCCTGCATGGTTTATGGGCTGCGGTTCCAGGCAAGCCTGCCATGCCCCCCCACCCCATGAAGTGAGAGTCCTCTCCCGAGCACCCCGGGCCTCCCCTGAAGCTCTTGTGATCCCATTTCCTGCGTCTTCCTTGCTTCCTGGTGACCTGAGCAAATGCAAAGCTGAAAGACACAGTGGACTCAAAGCAAAATGCAAAGCTGAAAAATGCAAAGCTGAAATGCAAAGCTGAAAAAAGACGTGGTGGATTCACAGGGGAATAGACCACAGATGAGAGTCAGCAGGGGCAGGAGGTGTGTCCTCTGAGTGAGCTGGTAACCCGTGGTCTCAGGGGGCTGTGGGAAGCCCCTGGGGACACTTGAGCCAGGAGGTGACTTGATCAGAGCTACAGTTGCCTCAGAAAGTAACTGAGGCAACCAAGTGTGCCTTTGCTCAGGGTGTAACCCAGCACTGTCTTGGGAGCAAGAGCCGCTGCCAGCCCTGAGCTGGGGAGGATTCCAGGAAGCCCTGGCTTTCCCAGCCACCTGGGGCACGCACTGGGGAGAGTCCAATGGCTCCACACCCAGCCTCTTTTATTCCGATGGTTGTGTTGTATTCTCATGTGTATCGGGAAACCAGTGTATCCACTATGGTTTCACCTCAGCAATAGAGAGTGCCTCTTTAAAGAACATAAGTTTAAGTGAGTCTTTAAAGAAATGATGGTTCTGCTGGTCAGGGATTCTCAGATCTGGCAAAAATCACGAGGGATGCAGTGAAGTAGCGTGACAGTGGAGACATTTTCATCAACCCCAAGGAGACCCCGTACCCATTAAACAGTCCCTCCCCTTCCCCCCTCTCTTCCCCGCACCAACCCCCTGGCACCACTGATCTGCTTTCTGTCCCTGAGTTTATCTGTTTTCATATAAACGGGATCATACACTGTGAGGCCTTTTGGTTCTGACTTCACGCTCTCAGCCTAGGTCTTCACGCTTCCTCCGCTCCGTAGCCCGTGTCTGTGTTCGCTCCTTTCTGTGGGTGAGTTCAACATTTCATTGTATGGAAATACCACATTGTATTTACACATTTATCCATGGATTGAGCCTATACTTTCCCTCTTCTTGTTTCATCCAGCAAATGTCGCACACAGGCCAAGTGGCCAGGCCCCAGGGCTGGCGGGGTCCTTCCTGCCTGCTGTGTCTGGTGGGAAAAGCGGGCTGTTCTTAGGAAGTGACAATCCTGTCAAAAGGGCAGGAAGGCCATCAGAGAGGATTTCAGGAGGACGGGAGGTCTGTTCAGACTCTGAATTCATCAGAAAGTGTAGGACAAGGGTGGCCTTCCAAGCGGACAGGACAGCAGGGCAAAGAGCATGGCAGGTGCAGGGAGGGTGGCCTTGTCAGCATCTCTGCAGTGACGGCAGAGGCAGGAGGCGGCAAGGGCAAAGGCCCCAGAGGTGGGCGGGGGCACTCCTGAGGGACCACACCTGTGGGGGTTGTGTGTGGTCTGCTGAGGGGCTTGGACTGTGTCCTGTGGGGAACGGTGCCTCCCAGGAGCTCCAAGACAAATGCCTCTGTGGGGCTTCCAAGGAAGGAAGTCGTAAGGCCAGGTCTGCTGCAGACCCCTTCCAGCAGGAGAGAAGAGAGTGACCCTGCGTTAGCCAACCTTGGAGCAAGGGGCCAGGGCAGTGGGACTGGAGGCAGAAGCAGGGAGACCCCAGGAAAGCCTCCACGGCAGAACAGTGGGGTTTGGTGATTGCTTGGCCATGGGGAGAGAGAGGAGAAATACCTCTGGATCTGATGCATGGATACTACACAACCACGAGGGACTGTGGGGGCACCGTGTTCAGGCCACCGCATCCCGGAGCCCAACCCTGGAGCCCAGAAACGGAAGAGCCCATCAGGTGCCAGAGTCAGGGCGTGCTCTGGAAGCAGCCCAGGGGAGGCACGCCCGCGCCACCCAACTGCTGCCCCTCCTGTCACTGCATAGAGAGTACTGAGCCTGCTTCGGGAACCCGAGGACCAAATGGAGGCCAGCGTTGTTCCTTTCGCCCTCTCTAAGGGTAGCAATAGCCATGATAGTGGTCATCGGAAACCAGACTATTGAGGCAGTGTCAACATTATTGCAGAGAAACATCACATGAGGGTTTGCAGGGCCTAGCTCTCACTATTAGGCGCAGGTGAACCCTGGCGGCAGAGGGGCAGAGGGGGTGTTGTGCTGGGGCTCAGAGCAGAGCTATGGCCTGGGCTGGCGGCGGGTAGCACCGCAATCTCCCATCTTGGTGCACAGAGTCAGCAGCAGGAGCCAAGGATGGTGGCCAGGCTCTCTCTGCTGTGGGGGGCCCAGGGTAGGGAGGCTAGCTAGACTCTGGCTCCGGGAAGGAAGCAGGGCCCCAGAGTCAGGCTGCAGCTCCAGGCTCAAGGATGGGGCAGGTAGCGAGAGGAAGGAACAGCCCTGGTGCTAGAACTGGCAAGCAGCACAGCTCAGCAAAGGACTCGGAGTAGCTCCAAGGGCTGGTTACAGCAACGTGGAGGAGGGAGGCAGATGGACTCAGGCTAGGAACTCAGCCTTTAGAGCAAGGAAGGAGTGAGAGCATGAGAAGACAGGACCAGGCCGGGTGTGGTGGCTCAGGCCTATAATCCCAACACTGTGGGAGGCTGAGGGGGACAGATTGCCTGAGCTTAGGAGTTCAAGACCAGCCTGGGCAACATGGCAAAACCCCACCTCTACAGAAAAATTTAAAAATTAGCCAGGTGTGGTGGTGCACACCTGCAGTCCCAGCTACTGGGGAGGCTGAGGCAGGAGGATTGTTTAAGCCCCGTCTCAAAAAAAGAAAGAAAGAAAGAAAGTTTTTTAATCAAAAAAGAAGACAGGATCAAACTCGGGGCATGGGGTACCCCAGGGGAGGCCACTGAGAAGAGAAAGCCGGTATCAGCAGGGGATGCTTCGGTGAGCCTGGACCACCCATGCCTGGTCAGTGGACACAGCACTCCATACTTAGACGGGCCAGAGGGGCACTGCCCAGGGGGACCAGGACTGGGCCTGCGCGGCATGGACCCTCGTCACGGTTATCACAGCGTCTGCGTCTTTTGCTGCCCGGTCTTGCCTGAGATTAACGAAAATATTCTGCTTTGAACAGGAAGAAGACGAAAAATGGAAAATGTCACCAAGTCTTTTTCTTCCTGCAATGAAGGAAGGATGTAACGCATACAAAGGTCAGTTTAGGAGAACGTGCATGGTCACCAAGACAGCAGCACGTGCTGGGAACCCCATCACGGGAGGCTGCTGTATGCCACTCACAACCGAGACATTCTGCCTGTCTCTATTTTAAATTTCCTGGCCAGGCGAGGTGGCTTGCGCCTGTAATCCCAGCACTTTGGGAGGCCGAGGTGGGCAGATCACATGAGGTCAGGAGTTCAAGACCAGCCTGGCCAACATGGTGAAACCCCATCTCTTCAAAAATAAAAAAAATTAGCTGGGCGTAACAGCGGGAGCCTGTAATCCCAGCTACTCGGGAGGCTGAAGCAGGAGAATCACTTGAACCCAGGAGGCGGAGCTTGCAGTGAGCCGATATCACGCCATTGCACTCCAGCCTGGATGACAGAGCGAGACTCTGCCTCAAAAAAAAAAAAAAATTCCTTTTGGTGGCCTTAAGCATACAATTGGTTAAAAGGCAAGATGCATATAGGATGAGAAGATAGTCAAGACCTCCATCCTGTTTTTGAACCCCTAAGACTTCAGCTGAATGTTTTCATGCTAGTGGCAGGGAAGAAACATATTTTTAGATTGCTTAAATTAAGAAAATTGATACTGTATGTGTAGTCAAATGTCTTATTCCTATTAAACTAAGATGTGTGCCTCAATTCTGACACACGATTTTTCTGTCAGTTGTTCAGCCTGATGAGCATAGCTGTCATCTGGCTGGATCCGCAAGTGTAGGAACTGGTCTTTCAGATATTTGCATTTTAATTTCCTAGAACTATTACCGAACTCCTGTGGTTCTACTGTGCCCTCAAGATAAATCCAAACACAGTGACCTGCCAAGGTGACCTCAGTCATTAGTGCTAGTGTGGAAGTTTCTGAAAGTTGCAATCCGGATGTGAAGTGGAATCTTTCCAAATGGCAGTCATTCGTGGCCTCCTTCCCAACCTTGGTCTTCTCTGGATATTATTAACTTAATAGATGTATTTTTAAATTGACTCAGGGCTTTCACCTTAATAATTGCACCTTATCCTAAGCAACAATATGAATGTGGTCATAGGTTTGATATGCTAGTGATATAAGATAAAAATGTCTGTGTGCCACTGAAAATTCTCTTACATACCACTAGTGGCAAGGGCACCCCACTGCATGAGATGCTGAACTAAAGGGGAACCCTGGGGGACACGATGACACTGGCAGGATTTGGCAACTCAATCCATTTTCACTGGGAAGAAAGGAGGTCAAAAGGGGAAACTAACATTTATTAAGTACCTAAGACGTGCAAGGCTTGGAGTTTTTCCATGCCCATCTCATTTAATATTCACAACAACTGGGGGAGGTAAATGTTGCTCTCCTCGTATGGGCAGGTACTGGTAGAAGCCCCGCTGTCATCCAAGCTTAAGAATCCATCAACTCCTTAATGGTGCAGAGCAGTCACTATCAAAAACACCTTTTCACTTGCATATTCCTTCAACAAACATTCAGCATTTCCAGGGTGTCAGGTGCAGTGCTAGCCCAGAGATATAAAGGTAACACCTGCCAACAATGAGCTTATATGTTGGGGATTACAGTGGTGGGATGGGGTGGAGATAGTGGCATAAACTGAGTAGTTTCTGTAAGTTCGGATGACAGTAACAACATCCAGTGGGTCCTGCTGGGAGTTACTGTCATCCACACAGTGGGGCCGTGGGCCTGGCTAGGGTCCACTGGCATCAGGTATGTGTCTGCAACAACATCCCATCTAAGACTCTGCTTTGCATATCATCATTTGGCCTTTACAGCCACCCTCACTGGTTTGGTACTGCATGTACCTATAAGATAACTCCCACACCTTCAAACATGCCAGGTAACTTACTAATTTGTTTTCTTCCGAAGAGCACCTTTGTGGAGCCCTCCGTCTCAGCTGCGATCCTTGAGCCTTCCTTGGCCTTTGCTGACTTCTTGCCTCTCCCTCATTTTGGTAGAGCTCATTCTCTAGGATGTCCCAAGAAGGGACTCACAGAGGGGAGTTGTGGCTGCCCTGGGCATCTGAAAGCTGTCCTTCACTTACACTCAGACAGTAGGTGCCCCAGGATGTGGAAAGCAGGGCTCCCTTCTCTTCTGATACGACTATGTAAAGACAATGAGGGCACAGGAAGAAAGGAGCCAGAGAGCAGAAGCCTGCTGTCCCATGGCAGGAAGTCAGGGGCTCATGTCTGACATGGATAAATCAAGAAGTAGCATATGAGCATGTTATATAGACACTAGGAAAAGAACACAGAAACCACCCGAAAGAGCTTCCACGAAACCAGATCGCTACACACGCCCCTGTGGCCACTGCGCTTCCTCCAGCAGGCTGGGCACGCTCCACCTCCGGCACTCATGCTTTCTGTTCCTCTGGCTCAGAATGCTTGTCCCTTTGGGCCTCAGTGCCAGTGAGGCCCCTTCCTTGAGGGCCCTTGTGGAGTGACAGTCCCCCTCTGCCCGCGCCCACCCTTTGCTCGCTGTACTTACCACTTGGGTGTGAGTGTGTGTTCACGGATGCTTCTCACAGTGCAATGCCAAGTCCTTGAGGGCAGGGCCTTCCATTATCCACCTGCTCTGAGAGCAGTGCCTGGCCTATAATCGGCTCAATAAAGTCAAAATGTAATAACTGAATTTGACCTATGTATTTTTAATGAATAAATGAATATAGGAAAGAATGCCATTGGATAATGTAATTAGCAGGTAGATAGAGTGGGACAGGTTTTTTATTATAATCTGTTTAATACTCTGACTTTGTTTAAAACAATGTGTATTATTTCTATACAAGCAAACGTTAAGCATTAGAGAAATCTAATGCTCCCATGGGAAGCCAACTCTTGCAACCTGCTGACCGGCCCAAAAGCTCTGAAAACTGTCCACGCCTTTTGTGTAATATCTGTTTCCATTAAGACTGAAAAAGCAAGCAGCGTCCCTCCTAGAAGCAAGCCTGTAGTGTCATTTTCCTGGTTGGATGTTGTGGCATTGGACTTGTTATCTGCCAGGTCTTTGGTAACTTCAAGGAATTAAATGTCTTCCTCTTAGAATTCTTTTCTTAAAAATCAAAGGTTTTCCTCTTCAAATAAAACATTAGCATTTTAATCACTAAGATTAACCCCCCCCCGCCCCTCTTTCATTGCCCCCCCACGTGTGAAACTGCCTTGGCCTCGCTTTTCACATTCTTAGGATAAAAGCTCTTTCTCCGCTCTAGGAGAGAGTGGGGCAGTTGTTGCCCTTTGAGGGCCATGAATAGCTTCCTGCATTTATAAATGTCCATGAAATTCTTGAAGGGATTGAAAAGTGCCCTGCGCAAAAGTGTCATGAGAAAAGCAAAGTTTCAGTGGAAAACTCAATCCATTTAAACGATCTAGAGGGGAAATGGGCAAAACGGCTCTGCAGTGTTTTATTTTAAATATAATTGCAACTCCAGAATGAGAATGTGTTCTACCGTACAACTGTTTCTACATAAGTAATCGTGTCATGGTTTCCCTTCTGTTAAAGATTCTGCCTTCCTTTTATTATTAAATACATTATTTCCTGATTTTAGTGAATCTAGTGAAAAAGAAAAGTAGCTTCCCGTTACTAACAAAGCTGTTTTGTTTAAAATGCCCTGATGTAACAGGTAGGTGCTGCTATTGCAGAAGATTTAGAAATCCTACAAGGGGGATTATTATTAGTAAACAGCACATTATGACACATTTAAACCTTTTCTAGAATTTTCGAAGGAGAATGCTTACAATTTTAAACACATAAAAGGAAGCATTGATTCCTTTTCCTATGTTTTATCACTACGTGTTATTCCTACATTTTGAAGTTTTTCACAGTTTAAGCTTATGTACATTTCAGAAAATTTACTAGAAAAGAGCAATTCACTTCAAATGCAGGAGTCGTAAACTCTCCGGGCCTTTGGAGTACATACCTCCTACAAGCTAACCACAAAATCTAAGGGAGTGCAGAGCAAAGAACGAACTTCCACATATTAGTGACATGAAGTATCTCTTCCACCAATGGGATGCTTTAGACAATGTATGCAATGCTTGTTTTCTATACCTTGGCTCTCGGGCTGGCTCTCACTGGAAAGGATTATGTGTAAAGAGAGTTGTTCAGCCCAGGCTTCCCAGCTGCCTCCTGTAGGCCCACTCCAGCCCATCAGCCTTTTTCGCCTCTTCTCCCCTCTTGTCGTCACACCTGTTTTGGGCTGGCCACCTGCCCCGTGTGAATGAAGACACCCCTTGAACTTTGGCCTCACCTCTGCAGTCACCTTCAGAGTCCCATCTGAGCCCCCTTCCCACCCCCAGCGCTGTGCCCCCAATCCCTGGGCCACCTCTTATGAGACTGCCCTGTCTGGGGAAGGACGCCTAAGTGCATTGGTCCTATGAAAAATTTACCACCTTTGTGATTTATTTTCTGTCTGTTTGTAAGCCCACATTAGCCATTCTGAAAGAAATTTGCATCATTTTCTGCATCATTTTCAAAAACCTGCCCAACTGCCCTTGCGCCACCACGGGCTGGTCCTCCATATCTCTGTGGCAGAGATGGTGCTCAGCCAGCAATACACACACAGCCCTGCCCTTCGGTTTGCTGGTAGGAGGTAGGCCAGCCAAGAGCTCTTGCTGGGTCCTGCTGGAACCCCCACCACCCACCCCGCTCAGACACCTGCTGAGCCATCCGTGCCGTAGTCTGTCCAGGAAGGCAGGTGGACCTGCCTCTGCCGTGTGTGGCAGACAACCCCTTCTGCCCCTTCTGTGCTCACCTCTGGTATCAGCAGCTGCAGCTTGTGAACCCAACCCACTTTTTTTTTTTTTCTTTTTGAGACAGTCTCGCTCTGTCGCCTAGGCTGGAGTCTCAGCTCACTGCAACCTCCACCTCCTGGATTCAAGCAATTCTCCTGCCTCAGCCTCCTGAGTAGCTGGGATTTCAGGTGCACGCCACCACACCTGGCTAATTTTTGTACTTTTAATAGAGACAGGGTTTCATCATGTTCGTCAGGCTGGTCTCAAACTCCTGATCTCGGGATCTGCCCACCTCGGCCTCCCAGAGTGCTGGGATTACAGGCATGAGCCACTGCGCCTGGCCCAACCCACTCTTTTTGAAAACTGGAGCTGCATTTCCATGTCCTGTCTTCCTGCAGGTGTCCTGTCCTGAGGGTCCTGACTCTGACCACTAAAGACGCAGGCACTGGCCCCAGGGCCCTTATTCCTCTTTGCTGGCATGCACCTGCTTTGGGGCTTTGGGGCATAGCTGTTTCTGGTGTAGCTGCTGTCCTGCATTATCCTCTCCCCTCGAGGGGTACAGAGTGTCAATGAGGTAGGCTAAGACCCTGTGAGATGCTCTGCTTCCTGGGGGATGGCAGCAACTATTTGGGGCTAAACTGGAACTGTATATATTTATTTATATATAAATATTTATTAAAAATTAATTTATTCATACAACTTTATATATTTTATTCCATTTACCATCACCATATCAGCGTGAGGAAGGGGTTATTTTCATTTCTCAGAAAGGGGAATGGTCTCTGCAAAGGCTATCCCCTGCTAAGGTCACCAGCTGGTAGGTGGTAGGGCAGGGGTTCCACCTGGCCACAAACAGTGGCTCTTGCACCAAGCTGTGCTGCCCCAGGCAGGTGGCAGGTGGCCAAAACCCTCGGGACAATTGTCCTGCCTATTCACCAGTTCTGAGTTTGCCTCAGAGTCTCCCCAGGCTTTCCCCACCTCTCCTGAGAGTCTAGCTTTTCCCGGGTCTCACAGCACCTTATCCCTGCCCCTTTCCTTGTCCATCCCTTTTGCCAGTTCCTGGTCCTCTGTGGTTTGTTCAGAGACTCAACCCCTCCTTCCCATTAGTTTGCCCATGTAATTCTCTGGGGAAACGTCTCTATGCTAGGTCTTCACGTTTGATGGCTCTGGGTCTCCAGCAGCCAGATTTGTGCTTCTGTCTGTGACTATGACTTTCCTCCCAATGTAGAGTTAGAGCACCACCCTCTCCCTTCTCGGTCAGTGGGTCATGCCATGCTTGTCAGGGAAGCCATGCTGAGAAGCCTCCCTCATTCATTCACCACCCCCTGCCTTGGAGGCCTGCAGCCTCTGCTGTCTTCACAAGGGGCAGCCCTTGTCCCTTAGAGGTTGGGAGCCTCTGTCTGTGCCCTGGGTCCTCAGCTGCCTTCCTAGGTTGAAGGTCATCAGAACCCTAAAGGCAGCTCCCAGTGAAGTGGCCAGACTGGGTGGCGGTTGTCAGCTTCACAAATTCCAGCAAATTTCCTTTACATTCTCGACATAGATTCCAGAAAGATGTCTCCTTCCCCAAATGACAAGTCTTGGCTTCCCATGGGAGACCTCTTCCAAGTCCCACGTCGAGGATCCAGCTATTCCACACCTCAGCATACATTTGGAACCTCCCTTCTGAGAAAGGAGCTCTATTTCCATTTATTTTAGTGATGGGAAATTATTCTTACTTTGTCTAGGGTCATGTTTCTCCAGGTCCACCCTCCTAACCACCAGGAAGAGGCAAAAGGGAAATTTTAAATATGTGTGATTTCAAAAACATCCAAAAAGTAATTCAGAAATTTAGCTGTTGAATTAGGGAGAAATACTGGGTACTTGTGTGTTTAGTGTTGTCTGTTTTGTAATAGGAGGCAAGGGATAATTCCTGGAGAGTTCAACAGGCAACAAAATCTTTCGTATTTTAGTGAATCATTTGAAGAAAAAAAGTAAGATAAAACATTACAAAAAAGGTCATCTGTGATTGTATAATCCCAGCATTAACATATTGTTTTTACATGATTATAATAATACAGTAGAATACTATTGTATCACACTTAAAAAATATTGAGTAAACTAAAACTCAATATTTTTACATCAGCAGTTTTTTTTCTTTTTTTAGTGCATTTACAAGCACATATATGAATCTCATCTGTCCAGCTTATTTTATTCAAACTTTTATCCTATGCAATAACATATAAAGTTAGGCTTATGTTTATATTGCAATAACTTACAATTAACCTACGTCTTTTTAAAATTTCATTAACCTATATCTTTTTAAAATTTTTTCTTTTTCTTTTTCTTTACCCTTCTGGAGTGTAGAAATCTGGATGAAAAAAGATGAGTCTTGGAATTTCTCTCAGGACTATGATCCAGAACTGATCAAAGAGGAGAAACGAAAAGAATTACAGTCAGAGATCAGGATACAGGTACAGCTACGTTTATGGTGTAGTAACAGCAAATCATTTACTTCAACCATTGTGCTTCTTTACAATTTCCTACTAATGACCTACCCCATAATTTAAGGGATTTTTAAACTTCACAAACAAAACACAAGACATGCAAAGTGACTTAAAAGTAGTATGTTTTGTATTCTCCTAGGTTGATGAGTTGATGAGACAGGAACTTAAAAACTTAAAGCTAGCTGTGGACAGAGAAAGGGAGCGCCCAGTGAAAGCAGGAAAGAAAAAGGACAAGGTGAGTGGGGAAGGAGCCTGCAGAGGGGTGCGGTGGAGCGGATTCAGTCATGAAAAGCAGCCCCTGACATGCTGTGGCATGTCCAGGAGGGCCGCCTGTTGCCAGGACACCTCACGGGGAAACATGCCTGCCTTTGGTAAATTTAATTGGTCCACCATTTAACCTTTGGGCCTGTGGATTCATAAATAGGATAAACCCAACCATCTGAGAGTAACATCTCCCCAGCCCCGGTCAGTTGCAGATTCATATTACCCAAGCCCCACTGATAGAATGGGAACTATCAAAAGAGCCAAAGCACATTCCCCAAACAGCCCCCAACTGTTCCTGTACATAGATCTATAAGGGAGGCCAATGGTAATGAGCAGGTTTTTGTGAGTGAGGGAATCATAGGGAAAGGAATTGGATGAATTGGAAGTGTAAGTTGCCACCAATCCATCTCACAGTGGTTTAGAGTAGCTAGTTAGATCAGGGTATTTGAAGTTCATTTAGTTTGGCCCCTGCTTCTACCTTCATTCCAGAGACAGCCCTGTCATTGGAGCCAGAATACCCAAGGTAGAGGGCGGAGAGTTCTCCCTGTCAGTGCTGGCATGAGCATAGGCAGCCTTTGCTTCTGTGGCAGCTTTCTCCACGTTCCATGACTGGAGCCACTCTTTCTGTGATTCACACATTTTCTCTTAGAGGTTTCCACACATTCAGCTGCATTTGTGACTACTTTTGCTAGATCAGGGGCCATGCATGTGGTCTTTTTAGGATGACTGGCTCTTGATCCATTTTGTGTTGATATTATGGTTTAACCCTGAAGGCAACTGAATTGGTGTTCTGAAGATCTTTCACTGTAAGCTGAAAACACCAATTTAATAACCATCCATAGATGAAAGTAACTTCACAAGAGCTCTGGGATTCAGGTGAGAGGCTGCAGCACCTGGGTGGAGCACAGAATCATAAAAAAAAAGATGCACTGAAGAGAGTAAGAATGAAAGTTTCACTTTACCCATGTCACCCCAAAGCCCACACAGCCTAGTGCCAAGAGAGATCTCCTAGACCCATGAGTTTTATCTTGGAAGAAAGGGACAGAGAAGTGAACATCTGACTTCACCATGGAGCTCAGCACCAGGCCAGTGAAACCCAGTACCATGGGCCTCCCACAAACCCTGACACCAGGCCCACCCACAAAAATCAGCACTGGGCCTGTCTTTGGACCCCAGAACCATGGGCCTCCCACAAACCCTGGGTGCACCTTGCTTCTATGGCAGCTTTCTCCACTTTTGTGGTGTAGTAATAGCAAGTCATTTACTGCAACCATTGTGCTGCTTTATTTTTGTGGGCCCACCCACAAAAATCAGCGTTGGGCCTGTCTTTGGATCCCAGAACCAGAAAAGAATCAAAGTATATCACTACAAAACATCGTTAAGTTACACAGCAACTTGTAACTTCAGAGAAGAACAAAAGAACCTCAAAATAGAAATAACCTAACAAAATGGCAAAAGTAAGTCCTTACCTTTCAAAAAATACTTCAGATGTATATGGATTAAACTCACCAATCAAAAGATACAGAGTCACTGAATGGATTTTAAAAATCCAACTATATGCTATATACATGTGATTCATTTCAGATTTAGGGACACATAGGCTGAAAGTGAAGGGATGGAAAAAAGATATCTCATGCAAATAATAAGCAAAAGAGAGAAGAAATGGCTATACTTAGACAAAATAGACGTCAAATCAAAAACTATCACAAGAAACCAAAAAGATCATTAACTAATGATAAAAGGGTCAATTCAATAGGAAGATATAACAATTATATATACACCTTTAATCAAAGCACCTAAATATATGAAGTAAATATTAACATATCTGAAGGGAGAAATAGACAGCAATACAATAATAGTAGGAGAACTCACTATCCCACTCTCAGTAATGAATGTATCATCCAGACAGAAAATCAATAAGGAAACAGCAGACTTGAATAATACTAGGGACCAGATAGTCCTAACAGTTATTGTACCCAACAGCACCAGAATACACATTCTTCTCGAGTATGCATGGAACATTCTCCAGGATATATCACATGCTAAGTCACAAAACAAGTCTTAATAAATATAAGAATATTGAAAACATTCCAAGTAACTTCCAGCTGCAATGAAATGAAACTAGAAATCAATAACAAAAAGAATACAGAAAAATTCACAAATATGCGGAAATTAAACAACACACTCTTGAATAACCATTGAGTCAAAGAAAAAAATTCGCAGGGAAATTAGAAAATATCTCAAGACAAAAATGACAGGCAGAGGAGCCAAGATGGCCGAATAGGAACAGCTCCGGCCTACAGCTCCCAGTGTGAGCGACGCAGAAGACGGGTGATTTCTGCATTTCCATCTGAGGTACCGGGTTCATCTCACTAGGGAGTGCCAGACAGTGGGCACAGGTCAGTGGGTGCGCGCACCGGTCGCGAGCCGAAGCAGGGCGAGGCATTGCCTCACTCGGGAAGCGCAAGGGGTCAGGGAGTTCCCTTTCTGAGTCAAAGAAAGGGGTGACGGACGGCACCTGGAAAATTGGGTCACTCCCACCCGAATACTGCGCTTTTCCGACGGGCTTAAAAAACGGTGCACCACGAGATTATATCCGGCACCTGGCTCCGAGGGTCCTACGCCCATGGAGTCTCGCTGGTTGCTAGCACAGCAGTCTGAGATCAAACTGCAAGGCGGCAGCGAGGCTGGGGGAGGGGCGCCCGCCATTGCCCAGGCTTGATTAGGTAAACAAAGCAGCCGGGAAGCTCGAACTGGGTGGAGCCCACCACAGCTCAAGGAGGCGTGCCTGCCTCTGTAGGCTCCACCTCTGGGGGCGGGGCACAGACAAACAAAAAGACAGCAGTAACCTCTGCAGACTTAAATGTCCCTGTCTGACAGCTTTGAAGAGAGCAGTGGTTCTCCCAGCAGGCAGCTGGAGATCTGAGAACGGGCAGACTGCCTCCTCAAGTGGGTCCCTGACCCCTGACCCCCGAGCAGCCTAACTGGGAGGCACCCCCCAGCAGGGGCATACTGACACCTCACACAGCTGGGTACTCAAATAGACCTGCAGCTGAGGGTCCTCTCTGTTAGAAGGAAAACTAACAAACAGAAAGGACATCCACACCAAAAACCCATCTGTACATCACCATCATCAAAGACCAAAAGTAGATAAAACCACAAAGATGGGGAAAAAACAGAACAGAAAAACTGGAAACTCTAAAAAGCAGAGCGCCTCTCCTCCTCCAAAGGAACGCAGTTCCTCACCAGCAATGGAACAAAGCTGGATGGAGAATGACTTTGACGAGCTGAGAGAAGAAGGCTTCAGACGATCAAATTACTCTGAGCTACGGGAGGACATTCAAACCAAAGGCAAAGAAGTTGAAAACTTTGAAAAAAATTTAGAAGAATGTATAACTAGAATAACCAATCCAGAGAAGTGCTTAAAGGAGCTGATGGAGCTGAAAACCAAGGCTCGAGAACTACGTGAAGAGTGCAGAAGCCTCAGGAGCCGATGCGATCAACTGGAAGAAAGGGTATCAGCAATGGAAGATGAAATGAATGAAATGAAGCGAGAAGGGAAGTTTAGAGAAAAAAGAATAAAAAGAAATGAGCAAAGCCTCCAAGAAATATGGGACTATGTGAAAAGACCAAATCTACGTCTGATTGGTGTACCTGAAAGTGATGGGGAGAATGGAACCAAGTTGGAAAACACTCTGCAGGATATTATCCAGGAGAACTTCCCCAATCTAGCAAGGCAGGTCAACGTTCAGATTCAGGAAATACAGAGAACGCCACAAAGATACTCCTCGAGAAGAGCAACTCCAAGACACATAATCGTGAGATTCACCAAAGTTGAAATGAAGGAAAAAATGTTAAGGGCAGCCAGAGAGAAAGGTCGGGTTACCCTCAAAGGGAAGCCCATCAGACTAACAGCTGATCTCTCGGCAGAAACCCTACAAGCGAGAAGAGAGTGGGGGCCAATATTCAACATTCTTAAAGAAAAGAATTTTCAACCCAGAATTTCATATCCAGCCAAACTAAGCTTCATAAGTGAAGGAGAAATAAAATACTTTACAGACAAGCAAATGCTGCAGATTTTGTCACCACCAGGCCTGCCTTACAAGAGCTCCTGAAGGAAGCACTAAACATGGAAAGGAACAACCGGTACCAGCCACTGCAAAATCATGCCAAAATGTAAAGACCATCGAGACTAGGAAGAAACTGCATCAACTAACGAGCAAAATAACCAGCTAACGTCATAATGACAGGATCAAATTCACACATAACAATATTAACTTTAAATGTAAATGGACTAAATGCTCCAATTAAAAGACACAGACTGGCAAATTGGATAAAGAGTCAAGACCCATCAGTGTGCTGTATTCAGGAAACCCATCTCACATGCAGAGACACACACAGGCTGAAAATAAAAGGATGGAGGAAGATCTACCAAGCCAATGGAAAACAAAAAAAGGCAGGGGTTGCAATCCTAGTCTCTGATAAAACAGACTTTAAACCAACAAAGATCAAAAGAGACAAAGAAGGCCATTACATAATGGTAAAGGGATCAATTCAACAAGAAGAGCTAACTATCCTAAATATATATGCACCAATACAGGAGCACCCAGATTCATAAAGCAAGTCCTGAGTGACCTACAAAGAGACTTAGACTCCCACACATTAATAATGGGAGACTTTAACACCCCACTGTCAACATTAGACAGATCAACGAGACAGAAAGTCAACAAGGATACCCAGGAATTGAACTCAGCTCTGCACCAAGCGGACCTAATAGACATCTACAGAACTCTCCACCCCAAATCAACAGAATATACATTTTTTTCATCACCACACCACACCTATTCCAAAATTGACCACATACTGGGAAGTAAAGCTCTCCTCAGCGAACATAAAAGAACAGAAATTATAACAAACTATCTCTCAGACCACAGTGCAATCAAACTAGAACTCAGGATTAAGAATCTCACTCAAAACCACTCAACTACATGGAAACTGAACAACCTGCTCCTGAATGACTACTGGGTACATAACGAAATGAAGGCAGAAATAAAGATGTTCTTTGAAACCAACGAGAACAAAGACACAACATACCAGAATCTCTGGGACGCATTCAAAGCAGTGTGTAGAGGGAAATTTATAGCACTAAGTGCCCACAAGAGAAAGCAGGAAAGATCCAAAATTGACACCCTAACATCACAATTAAAAGAACTAGAAAAGCAAGAGCAAACACATTCAAAAGCTAGCAGAAGGCAAGAAATAACTAAAATCAGAGCAGAACTGAAGGAAATAGAGACACAAAAAACACTTCAAAAAATTAACGAATCCAGGAGCTGGTTTTTTGAAAGGATCAACAAAATTGATAGACCGCTAGCAAGACTAATAAAGAAAAAAAGAGAGAAGAATCAAATAGATGTAATAAAAAATGATAAAGGGGATATCACCACCGATCCCACAGAAATACAAACTACCATCAGAGAATACTACAAACACCTCTACGCAAATAAACTAGAAAATCTAGAAGAAATGGATAAATTCCTGGACACATACATTCTCCCAAGACTAAACCAGGAAGAAGTTGAATCTCTGAATAGACCAATAACAGGAGCTGAAATTGTGGCAATAATCAATAGCTTACCAACCAAAAAGAGTCCAGGACCAGATGGATTCACAGCCGAATTCTACCAGAGGTACAAGGAGGAGCTGGTACCATTCCTTCTGAAACTATTCCAATCAATAGAAAAAGAGGGAATCCTCCCTAACTCATTTTATGAGGCCAGCATCATTCTGATACCAAAGCCAGGCAGAGACACAACAAAAAAAGAGAATTTTAGACCAATATCCTTGATGAACATTGATGCAAAAATTCTCAATAAAATACTGGCAAAACGAATCCAGCAGCACATCAAAAAGCTTATCCACCATGATCAAGTGGGCTTCATCCCTGGGATGCAAGGCTGGTTCAATATACACAAATCAATAAATGTAATCCAGCATATAAACAGAACCAAAGACAAAAACCACATGATTATCTCAATAGATGCAGAAAAAGCCTTTGACAAAATTCAACAACCCTTCATGCTAAAAACTCTCAATAAATTAGGTATTGATGGGACGTATTTCAAAATAATAAGAGCTATCTATGACAAACCCACAGCCAATATCATACTGAATGGGCAAAAACTGGAAGCATTCCCTTTGAAAACTGGCACAAGACAGGGATGCCCTCTCTCACCACTCCTATTCAACATAGTGTTGGAAGTTCTGGCCAGGGCAATTAGGCAGGAGAAGGAAATAAAGGGTATTCAATTAGGAAAAGAGGAAGTCAAATTGTCCCTGTTTGCAGACGACATGATTGTATATCTAGAAAACCCCATTGTCTCAGCCCAAAATCTCCTTAAGCTGATAAGCAACTTCAGCAAAGTCTCAGGATACAAAATCAATGTACAAAAATCACAAGCATTCTTATACACCAACAACAGACAAACAGAGAGCCAAATCATGAGTGAACTCCCATTCACAGTTGCTTCAAAGAGAATAAAATACCTAGGAATCCAACTTACAAGGGATGTGAAGGACCTCTTCAAGGAGAACTACAAACCACTGCTCAACGAAATAAAAGAGGATACAAACAAATGGAAGAACATTCCATGCTCATGGGTAGGAAGAATCAATATCGTGAAAATGGCCATACTGCCCAAGGTAATTTACAGATTCAATGCCATCCCCATAAAGCTACCAATGACTTTCTTCACAGAATTGGAAAAAACTACTTTAAAGTTCATATGGAACCAAAAAAGAGCCCGCGTCGCCAAGTCAATCCTAAGCCAAAAGAACAAAGCTGGAGGCATCACACTACCTGACTTCAAACTATACTACAAGGCTACAGTAACCAAAACAGCATGGTACTGATACCAAAACAGAGATATAGATCAATGGAACAGAACAGAGCCCTCAGAAATAACGCCAAATATCTACAACTATCTGATCTTTGACAAACCTGAGAAAAACAAGCAATGGGGAAAGGATTCCCTATTTAATAAATGGTGCTGGGAAAACTGGCTAGCCATATGTAGAAAGCTGAAACTGGATCCCTTCCTTACACCTTATGCAAAAATCAATTCAAGATGGATTAAAGACTTAAACGTTAGACCTAAAACCATAAAAACCCTAGAAGAAAACCTAGGCATTACCATTCAGGACATAGGCATGGGCAAGGACTTCATGTCTAAAACACCAAAAGCAATGGCAACAAAAGCCAAAATTGACAAATGGGATCTAATTAAACTAAAGAGCTTCTGCACAGCAAAAGACACTACCATCAGAGTGAACAGGCAACCTACGAAATGGGAGAAAATTTTCGCAACCTACTCATCTGACAAAGGGCTAATATCCAGAATCTACAATGAACTCAAACAAATTTACAAGAAAAAAAGACCCCATCAAAAAGTGGGTGAAGGACATGAACAGACACTTCTCAAAAGAAGACATTTATGCAGCCAAAAAACACATGAAAAAATGCTCAGCATCACTGGCCATCAGAGAAATGCAAATCAAAACCACAATGAGATACCATCTCACACCAGTTAGAATGGCAATCATTAAAAAGTCAGGCAACAACAGGTGCTGGAGAGGATGTGGAGAAATAGGAACACTTTTACACTGTTGGTGGGACTGTAAACTAGTTCAACCATTGTGGAAGTCAGTGTGGCGATGCCTCAGGGATCTAGAACTGGAAATACCATTTGACCCAGCCATCCCATTACTGGGTATATACCCAAAGGACTATAAATCATGCTGCTATAAAGACACATGCACACGTATGTTTATTGTGGCATTATTCACAATAGCAAAGACTTGGAACCAACCCAAATGTCCAACAATGATAGATTGGATTAAGAAAATGTGGCACATATACACCATGGAATACTATGCAACCATAAAAAATGATGAGTTCATGTCCTTTGTAGGGACATGGATGAAATTGGAAATCATCATTCTCAGTAAACTATCGCAAGAACAAAAAACCAAACACCGCATATTCTCACTCATAGGTGGGAATTGAACAATGAGATCACATGGACACAGGAAGGGGAATATCACACTCTGGGGACTGTTGTGGGGTGGGGGGAGTGGGGAGGGATAGCATCGGGAGATATACCTAATGCTAGATGATGCGTTAGTGGGTGCAGCGCACCAGCATGGCACATGTATACATATGTAACTAACCTGCACAATGTGCACATGTACCCTAAAACTTAAAGTATAATAAAAAAAAAAGTTGTTTTAAAAACAAAACAAAAAAAAAAAAAATGACCACACAACATACCAAGAATTATAGGATGTAGCAAAGGCAATACTAAGAGGGAAGTTTTTCACAATAAATGCCTACATTAAAAAAGAACAATCTCAAATAACCAACATACCTCAAGGAACTAGATCAAGAGGAGAATATTAAACCCAAAGCTAGCACAAGACAGGAAATAACAAAGATTAGAGCAGAAATCCATGAAATAGAGAATAGATAGACAATAGGAAAAAATGATAAAACTAAGAGCTGGTTTTCTGAAAGGATTTTAAAAATTGACAAACTCTGTGCTAGACTAAGAAAAAGATGAGATTTAAATACCTTCAGAAATAGAACAGAGGAAATTACAACCAATGTCAAAGAAACGAAAAAGATCATAAGAGACTGTTATGAACAATTATATGCTAATAAGTTGGACAACCTAGAAGAAATGGATACATTCTTAGAAATATACAACCTACCAAGACCAAATCTAGAAGAAATAGAAAGCTTCAACACACCAATAACAAATAAAGACGTTAGATCAGTACTCCAAAACCTTCCTGGGATCCTGGAAAACAAAAGGATATTAGGGAAAAATTAGTGGAAACCTAATAAACTTCGGGTTTTTATTGATAATATTATACCAATGTTGGTTTCTTAGTTGTGACAAATGTCCCATACTTGATGTAAGATGTTAATATGGAAAATTATGTGAGAGGTATTTCTGTACTGTTTTTGTAATTTTTCTGTAAATCTAAAACTATTATAAGGTTAAAAGGTTTTGTTTACAGATGACATTATTTTCTTGTGGAAAATCCCAAGGAATCTACAAACTCCAAATCAGCTTACATCAGCAAGGGTGCAGGATATAAGATAAACATGCAAAAATCAATTATATTTCTACATATCATCAATGAATACATAGACACCAAAGTTAAAATGGAATGTGATTTTTAAATCACTCAAAAAATGAAATACATATGTGTAAATCTAACAAAACAGGTATAGGACTTGTATGTTAAAACTGCACAATGCCAGTAAAGAAATCAAAGCAGATCTGAATAGACAGACATACCATATTCATGAATTGGAAGACTCAACATAGTAAAAATGTCCATTAGGATATTTTTATAGGATAGGATTAATGCAATTCTATCAAAATCCCAGAAATATAATTTGTAGACATAGACAAATTTATTCTAAAATTTTTATGGAAAGGTAATGGAACTAGAATAACTAAAGCAATTTTGAAAAAGAAGAATAAAGTGAGAAGGACCAATTTACTCAATTTTAAGGCTTATCATATTGCTACAGTAATCAAGACTGTATGCTATTGGTAAAGAGCTAAACACATAGATCAGTGGAACAGGACAGAGATCCTAGAAATAGGCCCACACAAACATGCCTACCTGACTTTTGATGAAGGTGCAAAAGCAATTCAAAGGAGGAAAGAGACACTTTTGAATAAGTAGTGCCAGAGTAACTGGAGATCCATAAGCAAAAAGAAATGGACCTCAACCTAAGTCTCACACATTATATAAAAATTAATTCAAAATGGGTCACAGACTTAACTTTTAGAAAAACAAAAAGAGAAGACTTTGGGGGCTAGGCTAGATAAAGAGTTCTTAGAATTAGCATCCAAAACACAATTTTTAAAAGGAAATATTGGACTTCATCAAAACTAAAGATGATTGCTCTGTGAAAGACCCTGTTAAGAGGATAAAAAGACAAGCTACAGACTGGGAGGAAATATTTGCAAACCACATATCTGACAAAGATCTAGTATTCATATACTAGACATATATAGAACTCTGAAACAATAAACATATAAAGAACTCTCAAAACTCAGAAGTTAAGAAACAAGCAACCCAATTAGAAAACAAGTGAAAGACATAAAGAGACATCACACTGAAGAGGATGTACAGATGGCAAATAAGCACATGAAATAAGCACATTTGAAGCATGTCTCTCTAGGCTGTCACAAGTACCTGAGTGCAAAGCCCCTTGGGAACTAGAGGTAGACTGTTGCCAGGCCCTGAGGGCTCCAGATGTGGGGCTAGATGCCAACAGAGAAAGGTGATTGGGACTGCCTTAGTCTGTTTGGACTGCTATAACAACGTTCTTAGGCTGAGTAATTTATAAACAACAGAAATTAATAGCTCATAGTTCTGGGAGCTGCGAAAGGCGATTGGGTACTGCCTTAGTCTGTTTGGACTGCTATAACAACGTTCTTAGGCTGAGTAATTTATAAACAACAGAAATTAATAGCTCATAGTTCTGGGAGCTGTGAAAGGCGATTGGGACTGCCTTAGTCTGTTTGGACTGCTATAACAACGTTCTTAGGCTGAGTAATTTATAAACAACAGAAATTAATAGCTCATAGTTCTGGGAGCTGTGAAGTCCAAGATCAAGACACCAGCGGACTCGAAGTCTGGTGATTTTGTGTCTGGTGAGGCCTCATTATCCACTTCAAAGATGGTTCCTCCTAGCTGTGTCTTCATATGGTGGAACGGGTGAACAAGCTCCCTCAGACCTCTCCATGAGAGTGGAACCCTTGTGACCTAATTGCCTCCCAAAGGCCCCATCTCTTAATACCAGCACCTTGGGGGTAGGCTTCAACTCATGAGTTTTGGGGGAACACAAGCATTCAGCTTATATCAGGCACCAAAGGTGAGCACAGCTTGACTCCTGTATGTGCACACGGCACTCTCATCCTTTGTGGGACACCAAGCCAGAGCCCAGAAAGTCAGAATGCTCTTCCCTGTTTGGAATTTGGCCCTGTGCAAGTTCCACAGTGGGGACCTCACGTCTGTCCACACAAGGACACACCACATAAGCAACTTGGGATTTTCCAGGCCAGTCCCTACGTTCATGAAAACACGGCAGCTCTGTGTTCACGCCACCACAATTAACTTTCCACCTCCCACCACCCCCAGAAAACAACGTGCTTAGCTAATTTCTAGGACTTATTTGCTTGCTTGTTTTGACTAAATTGTTGGTTATTTCCTTTTTTTCCAAAGAAGAAAGGAAAGAAAGGCAAAAAGAAAGAGAAGAAGGCAAAGAAGGATAAAGATCTGACAGCTGACAGGTGAGGAATGGACTCGTTGTGTTGTGATGCGCGTGAGCAGCCCCAGAGAACAGCACAGGGAACCCCGAGTACGCCCCCTCTGTGATGCCACGCCCTCTTCATCCTCCACAGTCCCGGAGTGGTGGGAGCCACCTCTAAGTCCCTACAAATCCCAGACTGGAAAGATGCCTGGGTGGCCCAGAAGGCAAACCTGGACCCCCATGGCTTCTGACGTCATAACATTTTTTTAAGTTTTAAAATTCATGGAATTTTTTGTTTAAGTTTTTTGTTTAAGAAATAACACCCTGGTGAAGCATTTGAGGAAATACGGAGACTCTGAGTTCTCACAGGACAGGAATCTGCCCGAGCGCCTCTGCTGAGGCCGTTGCTCCTGCCGCGGAAGGAATGAGAGCAGTGAGGCCCAGTCTCAGGAAGGGCGGTGTCCTTTCTCAGAGCTTCATGGGCCCAGCTTCAGTGCAGGACGAATGAATTCAAGTGTTCATTTTTAACTTGAAGTGGCCTGAAAGTACTTTAACACTGAAAATAAATAGTACGTAGGTTTTCAAATATTATCAAGGAATTTAATTAAAATCCCTAATAATGTGGGAAGTAATTTTGAATGTATATTTTTCTTCCCATAGGTCTTATTAATGGATCAACACCTGTCGCTCCACTGTTGGGGGTTCCCTCCCCTCTCCCTTGGTCCTGTCGCTCCCCTGTTTGGGGGTTCCCTCCCCTCTCCCTTGGTCCTGTCGCTCCCCTGTTTGGAGGTTCCCTCCCCTCTCCCTTGGTCCTGTCGCTCCCCTGTTTGGGGGTTCCCTCCCCTCTCCCTTGGTCCTGTCGCTCCCCTGTTTGGGGGTTCCCTCCCCTCTCCCTTGGTCCTGTCGCTCCCCTGTTTGGGGGTTCCCTCCCCTCTCCCTTGGTCCTGTCGCTCCCCTGTTTGGGGGTTCCCTCCCCTCTCCCTTGGTCCTGTCGCTCCCCTGTTTGGGGGTTCCCTCCCCTCTCCCTTGGTCCTGTCGCTCCCCTGTTTGGGGGTTCCCTCCCCTCTCCCTTGGTCCTGTCGCTCCCCTGTTTGGGGGTTCCCTCCCCTCTCCCTTGGTCCTGTCGCTCCCCTGTTTGGGGGTTCCCTCCCCTCTCCCTTGGTCCTGTCGCTCCCCTGTTTGGGGGTTCCCTCCCCTCTCCCTTGGTCCTGTCGCTCCCCTGTTTGGGGGTTCCCTCCCCTCTCCCTTGGTCCTGTCGCTCCCCTGTTTGGGGGTTCCCTCCCCTTGGTCCTGTCGCTCCCCTGTTTGGGGGTTCCCTCCCCTTGGTCCTGTCACTCTTCTGTTTGGGGGTTCCCTCCGCTTCCCTTAGTCCTGTCGCTACCCTGTTTGGGGGTTCCTGCTTCTCCCTGTGTCCCAGCATTACTCTCCCCAAACTCTGTTGGAGGGAAGCTCAGTGAGGGAGAAAGCCCTGCCTAGAGCTCTCTGCGGGGGGAAGAGGAGGGCAGAGCACCCAGAGGGGCACTGGGCATCTGTGGCCTCCAGGGAGGCCAGAACACTGCCGCGGCCCTGGCAAGCAGCCCCTGGAAACACAGTCGGGGGAGTGTGGGTTTCTGCTCTCTAGAGAAATGGCTGTCACGGGACATCCATAGGGGGAGGGGCTGCAGGTTTCTCCACTCAAGGCTGCATTGTTTGAGAAGCAGTTCCAGGTCGAGATGCTGTGGCTGACTGCTGCCGAAGAAGCAGCTGGTCAGCGTTTTGAGTCTCAGGTGCCCCAGTTCCTGGGGAGGCACACATCTGTCCATGCGTAAACACCGGCACCTCCTGGGGCAGATTTGGGGGGCAGAGGGGCCTCGGAGTCCCATCCCTTGAGGAGGGTGCAGCCCATGCTCACACACTGTGCCACGGTGTCTTCTAGCTTTTTTTTTTTTTTTTTTGAGACGGAGTCTCGCTGTTTCGCCCAGGCTGGAGAGAACTTGCGCCATCTCAGCTCACTGCAACCTGTGCCTCTGGTGTTCAAGCGATTCTCCTGCCTCAGCCTCCTGAGTAGCTGGGATTACAGTTGCCCACCACCAGGCCCAGCTAATTTTTTTGTATTTTTAGTAGAGATGGGGTTTCACCATGTTGGCCAGCCTGGCTTGAACTCCTGACTTCAAATGATCCGCCCACCCTAGCCTCCCAAAGTGCTAGGATTACAGGTGTGAGCCATCACACCTAGCCTCAGACCTTCTTAATATCATTTGTTCGATTGTTAGAGAATCTTCTTCAAATTTATGTTAATATTTTATGCGTATATTGTTTATATTAAATAAGTATTCAAGTTAAAACACTACAGTTGATACTTCCTTGATATATATGGGTCAAATATTGCTATCCTAAATTCCACTAAATTAAATATTTCTTAACTTTCAGCAGAGGGCATACTACTTTAAATGTTTGATGCAATACAACTCCAGTCATCCAAAGACTAGGGTCATTGGATTAACATTTCCCCGAATAGTATTTGGCTTGGGTCTAACTGATATTCTTGGGTATCTTTTAATCACACTAACTTGGATCACAGGACAGTCAGAAGAACTGTCTAAATAAAGTTGTATTTACAATTCTCAACTTAGAGAAAGACCAGAGTAGGATGGGAGAATAAAGAAGAGGAAAAGACAAAACATCTCGAAGGATTATACTGAATAATATTTGAGTTTAACCTATCTAATTTCTGCAAGCCAAACCCCAGCAAGTATCATTGGGAGTTTCATCCGTTATGTGGGATACTATGTCCATTTTTTTCTCAATTAGTATAAATTACCAATGTGCTGGCTATATGCTCAAGGTCCTTTTAGAGAAGTGGTTTTGACATCTGTAAACACTCTGTAAAGTATAACACCCTCCTAAAAAATCATCACCCTCATTGCTTTAGACGTTTTATCTTCCATATAAGAATTATCTTCAGTATAAGTCTTTGTTCTTTGTAGATGTTTCTTTCAAACAATTGTGCAATTGGGTTAAAAGGAAACATAAATTTCACAAAGGATTAATGATGTACTACAGCTTGAAGATGCTAGCCGAATATATAATTATAGGTCCATTGCATTACTATTATTGGGTAATTTCTAATTCATATTTGTGCCATCATGAAGACTGATGGAAGGGCAGACTGCAGGAGTTAGAGCTGGTCCCAGACGCCCAAAGATATCGTTCTTATTAATGGGAAACATCAGATACACACATGGATGAGTGAAAGTATTGTTTTTAAAAAGCCTAATTTATCCCCAAATTGTAGAAACACTTCAAAAATCCTTTTATTTGCATATGAACAAATGTACTTTGAAATAGATCTGGTTTAAGTTCTCCGCGTATGTGATCATTAACAGAAATACCGCCGATTTCTGTGTGTGTGCCTCTGGAACAGACACTCTGCTTTCTCCCCAGGACCATCGAGTCTCTGTATAAGGAACTGGTGGAAGAAGGATTACTGATCCAGGCTCTGAAAGTCAACCTCTCTGATTACATTGGTGAGTACACAGAGAATAATACATGTATGTGTCACGTGTCACCTCTTGTGTTTTGAAATCCCAGCAGCCGGAAATATGTTTTATTTACATTTTTGTTCAAGCCAAAACCTGGCCGATGGTGGCTCCTGGTAAATGTTTGTTGGATTGAATTGATTCAAATAACCTAAGAGGATGCTGTGGACTAACAGATTCTCTTAATAAAATGGTTGCAGCTCTCTCCCCTAACGTAATAGAAGCAGGTTTTTAACCTACTAGCAAGGTTCCTTGGTGCATTCTTTCTGGCATAATCTGATTTAAGGAAATGGGGAATTGTTAATGATTTCACTTGTAAAAAATGCACCTGGGGCAGCACCTAAGGCCTCCACAACAGAATCCTTACTGGAGGAATTCTTTCCAAAAGATACCTTCCAATAGAGACACAAATATTGGGGAGGAATGAGGTGGGGACATTTGTTATCACAGCCTCACCTAATGGTTTTCTCTAAATTTTTAAAAAACACCATGATGACCTGAAAACACACTTAAAGCTTAAAATTCCTCATAACTGTACTACCGTAATGCAGTTATTAGTTTTACTTTTATGAAGAAATTACCCCCAATGAATGACAACATTCTCCTACATAACCACAGAAGGAAAATCACTCAGAAAATCAAATGCAATACTGTTACCTAATATACAGTGAACCTTCAGCTTTCCCAATTGTCCTGATAATGTCCTGTATAAATACTTGTCTTTCTCCATCCAAAATCCAGCCAAGGATGGTGCAAGTGATTGTTGTGTCTCTTCTGTCTCCCGTAATTCCTTCCGTCAGGAACAGTTTCCCAGCCTTCCGCCATCTTTCACAACACTGACATTTTTGAAGAGTCTGAGCTGTGCACAGACTGTCTCTCAATTGAATGTGTGTCATGGTTTTCTCATTATTCGATTCAGGTTAAACATTTTGACAGGAAAATGATGGTGTCTCCCTGTCAGTGTTTCCCACTGGGGGCACTTAATGCCACTTTGTCCCATCAGTGGTGAGGTTAAGTTTAATCCTGTGGCTTAGGTGCTGTTCCCGGGATTTCTCCACTGTAAAGCATCATCTTTCCCTTTATAATTAATGAACAATCAATCCAAGGGGTGATATTTTGAGGCTGTGGAGATTCTGTTCCCAGCAGCCTCTCAGGCAGCGTTTTAGCACCCACTGATGATTTTGTATCTGCATCAGTTATTGCTGTAGCAGTTGTAAAAGTGGAGATTTTTCTATCATTCCTTCTACATTGAATAGATATCATTCTTCTGTGAGGAAGTGTGGAATCTTTTAAAATTGCGTTATCAGTGTAGACACATGGATTCTTTTTTTATTCAATGTATTATCGTCTGTCCCTATCATTATCCATCCTGGTATTTACATTGACCCAATTTTGGTCTGTGAGGGCAAGAAGGCTGGCATTCTCCTTTGATCAAAGGGTGGTTATTTTAATCCCTTTGCAAGACAGCCTTGTTTTCTTCTTGAGGGCTTAAAGGAGCCCTCACATTTCCTAATAGCATAAGAATTTTGCTGGAATATTTATTAAGATATGTTTTGGGTTTCTATTTATTTTACTTTCTGTGTTTCTTCTTCAAGTGCTGGAGAATTTTCTCCTGTACCTTGATTCTGTTTTGTTAATTCTGTTAATATTTTAAAATGGCTGTTTTTAACAGAACTGTCTCTTATTTATGGTTTGGATTTCTGAACAAAAGATCCTAGTGCCGAGTACAGTGCCTGGCACGTGGTAGATTCTCATTACCTATGTGCGGACTGACTTCTCAACTAATTATTAATTTCTCATCCCTTCTGAACTTTTTCAATGATCTGTCAATTTCCAGGAAGCATCTTTAAGATGCCTAAGATCAAAGTGGGTGGAGTCAGCCGTTTAAGAGTGACTTTGATGTGGTTTAGATCTGTGCGCCCACCAAACCTCATGTAGAATTATAATCCCCAGTACTGGAGACGGGGCCTTGTGGGAGGTGAGCGGATCATGGGGGCAGTTTCTCATGAACGGTTTAGTACCATCCTCCTTGGGACTTTCCTCATGGTAGTGAGTTCTCACGAGATCTGGTCATTTTAAAGTGTGTAGCAGGCTGGACACGGTGGCTCACACCTGTAATCCCAGCACTTTGGGAGGCCAAGGTGGACGGATCACCTGAGGTCAAGAGTTTGAGACCAGCCTGGCCAACATGGAGAAACCCCATCTCTACTAAAAAAAAAAAAAAAAAAAAAAATTAGCCAGGCATGGTGGCACGCGCCTGTAATCCCAGTTACTCAGGAGGCTGAGGCAGGAGAATCGCTTGAACCCGGGAGGTGGAGGTTGCAGTGAGCCAAGGTCACGCCATTGCACTCCAGCCTGGGCAACAAGAGCGAAACACCATCTCAAAAAATAATAATAATACAAATAAAAACATAAAAATAAAAGTGTGTAGCATCTCCCCCTTTCCTCTCTCTTGCTTTCGTTCTCACAATGTGAGACATCTTGCTCCGCCTTTGCCTTGTGTCATGATTGTAAGTTTCCTGAGGCCTCCCCAGAAGCTGAGCAGATGCCAGCATCATGCTTCCTGTATAACCTGCGGAACCGTGAGCCAATTAAACCTCTTTTATTTATAAATTACCCAGTCTTGGGTATTTCTTTATAGCAATTCAAGAACAAATTCATACAGACTCTAAGTGAAAATGACTCAATCTAACCAAAGTAGTCAAATATCCACCAAAATCTGGCACACTTTGACCTTGTCCATATTTTCATTTTTTCCCCTGTCCATATTTTCATTTTTTCCCAGTTAAGGTCCTTAGCTTGAAAGATGGCAGTGTATCTTCCCAAATCCCCACATAGTAAAATAGAGCAACTAGAAAACAAGACCAAAACCCCCCAGGCAACACTTGCACCAAAACTAAATGACAAATTTTCCCCATTGAGCCCCAAAGTACAAGCTTTAGGGACACCAAAGGACCTGAGAACAGGAGACCCCAAAATAACCAGAGAGCAATGGGCCAGGTAATGTGCAGTGGGCCAGGTAAGAATCAAAGCTGAAACTAGGAGGGGTTTGGCCCACCTCAATAGCAGATGAGTGTAAAGGACCGGAATAAGAAAGTGTGAAGGAGCTGGGGCGGTGACCCACCCCAGTGCCTTCCTCCACAGGGCCCATACTACAAAGAAACTCTTGGGAATTAAATCAAAATTGAACAGGATGGGAAAAGTAAAGATGAAGCATAGAGAAGGCCCAGAAGAAATTAGGGGAGGGGACCAGAGCCAGAACATCTCAGAAAGCAAACCACCGCATTTTTAACATCTATAAAGACGACAGAGGAGGGAGCTCTGTGAAACTGGAAAAGCTATCCTGCGCCACACTTCCTTCTAAAAGTATTGGACTATTCACTCATATAAATTTGAGCAATGGAAAAGTTCAAGGTCAATGCCCATGCAAAATTATCATAAGAAAAAAAGAATAAGAAAACATTAACTTCCCAAAAAGACATCTCCACAAAGCAGGTCTATACTGAAACCTATTTCAAAACAGGTTAATATACAGTAAGAGGTCAAGCGCGGTGGTTCATGCCTGTAGTTCCAGCACTTTGGGAGACTGAGGTGGGCGGATCATTGGAGGTCAGGAGTTCCAGACCAGCCTGGCCAACATGGAGGAACACCATCTCTGCAAAAATTACAAAAGTTAGCCAGGTGTGATGGCACACACCTGTAATCCCAGCTACTCAGGAGGTTGAGGCAGGAGAATCGCTTGAAGCCAGGGAGGTTGCGTGAGCCAAGATTGTGCCAATGCACTGCAGCCTGGGGGTCAGAGCGGGACTCCGTCGCAAAAAAAAAAAAAAAAGTTAATATACATTAAAGAATTATAGAAGACGTGTGAGAACAGCATAAAATAGAAAGAGTAAAACCCAGAAATGAGGTGACAAATCTCAATAAATATAAATAAAGGGGAAAATGTTTTAGAAAAAAATAAATTATAATGAATACAAGAGCAAATAAAAATAGTAATGCTTTAGAAATAAAAGGCAAAAAGGCAAATTTTTAAAGTAAAATTAGAAATTAAGGATATTAAAAGAATTCAAAGAGCATATCAAATATTGACGACAGACAAAGAAAATCCAACATACAGATAATACGAGTCCCTAAAGAAGAAAATCAAAGCAAAGGAACAGAAAAAATGCAAAGAATTTTGGCCGGCCACAGTGGCTCACACGTGTAATCTCAGCACTCTGGGAGGCGGAGGCAGGAGGATCTCTTGAGACCAAGTATTTGAGATCAGCCTAGCAACATAGCAAGACCCTTTTTCTACAAAATAAAAAATAAAAAGTAGCTAGGCATGGTGACACACACCTGTAGTCCCAGCTACTTAGCAGGCTGAGGCAGGAGGAGCGCTTGAGCCTAGGAATTCAAGGTTGCAGTGAGTCAAGATCACACCACTGCATTCCAGCCTGGGTGAAAGAGCAGGACCTTGTCTCAAATTTTAATTTTATAAATATATATAATTTTAATTCATGAACATTTCTTTTAGGCCTTTTCCTGTTTAGGAAAAAAAAAGTGCAGCTCGCTGCTAATGATCATTTAACTTTAAGTAAACGTGTTCTTTGAGGCTGAAGCAAATCTGACTGATTTTCAATGTGAAAATAAAATACAAAAACTGTTCTTGGAGTTATTTCTAAACAGAACTAATATCAGAATCTTCTGAATCATCAGAATTGTCTATTTCAGAAAAAATCAGATTCATCAAATGAATCTTCAGCCAACAACCACTGGAAAACGATGTCAAGATCATGCATAGGAATGCTACGTTTCCTAGGATTTGATATTTTTCGGCAATCAAGAATTACTATATTTCCTAAATGGAAATACCACTAGTGAAAACAGAATGCTATAGATAGAATGATGTCTTTTGTTTCTGAAGTCAGTATACTAGAGCTCTGCAAAAATAATAATAAAAACGAGATATTTCGTGGCAAAGTTATCTTGGGGTAAATGCTGCGGTCGAAAGCACCTCTGGCAAGTATTCTCAGGGCAAACGGGAAAAGGGTTTAGACGTTTAAAAAACATTAAAACCACATAACGAAAGACCACACTGTCTATCTGAGAATATTGACTCAGATTGATCAAGAAGACATTCTAATAAAAGTGCCTTTGGGTATCTGTGTAAAAGAGATCATATGACTTGGAAAGGAAAGAAAATTAGATTACCCTCAGACTTTTCCACAGCAATGCTTTACACCAGAAGTAAATGGAGTGACATACATAAGATGCTCAGGGAAAGGAAGCAGGATCCTAGGATTTTGTACCCAGCCAAGTTTATTTTCAAGTACATGGGACACAAACTGATAAACATGAAAGAACTCAGCAGTTTTCCCCCTGAGCCCTTCCTGAAGAATCTGCTAAGAATGACCTACTGACAATCAAAAATGACGTGAGACACCTTGGCACGAGGATTGGTAGTGAGCATTCTCTATATACCCATAAAACCAGGACAAGGTGAGGGCTTCAGGAGAGAGAGTGCAATGCATAAGAGCGGTGTGCGCTGACAACACGGCATTGCAGACTTCCTACCTTAGGGGTACTGGGCTCTTGCACAGCTGGGAGCTTCTTCCTGATCACATAAACTCAGGGGGCTTGGGAATGCCCCCCTGCCTCTGGAAAGCACACTGCTCTCAGCACCCAGATAAGTCATGCCTCGTCATCTTGTCTAAGAAGAGCATTAACGAGATGAGGACCCAGGCACCCTCACTCACCCTTGGGTTCCCTGGTTTTGAATTTATTATCTTGGTTCCTTTTTAACACCTTGACAACAGAGGCATGGCCCAGAGGGTTCCTCTGTTGCCTATTCCGTTGCTCCAGAGGCCAGCACTGCAAAGCCTGAGTGCCCAGAGCCGTTTATTTCTCCTGCTTCTAGAAGATGAGAGAGGGTGGATGTGGGCTGTTCCTCCCCAGCCCTTCATCCAGGCAGGGCAGGAGCAGGGATCCCCGGACGCAGAATGTGGTTGCCCGGATGGATGTCTCCACCAGGCCAGGAATGCTCTGCACAGATCCAGCGTGCTCAGCCGCTGGACACGAAGTTGCTTTTTTTAGTCTTGAGATTTGTAATCCCACTCTGTCCTCAACACCATTGAACTCCCAACAGTCATTAGAATCTCAACAGTCATTAGAATCACAGCAGATAAGAGCTACAGGAGACAAGGGGAGGAACAGAGCCAGAGGATGCAAAGCCTGCACTGCAGAGCTGGGGACAACACCTTCCTCCAGGCCCAGCCCTCGGCTCCCACCAGCCCACCCCCACCACCCACCCCACTGCTTGCTGCACCCCTGCATGGCCACCCTGCTCCAGAACTGGCCCTGTGCCCAGCAGCAAGCACCTGCCACAATCTCAGGTGTGCAAGAAATAGCAAGTTCCTTATTTTCTTTATATCACTTTAATTTGGCTTCACAACCCCTATACTACCAAGGTGATTTAAACTCAGTCCTTCTTGCCAGTCCCCACCCCTGCCCTAGGTATCCTCAAGGCCCCCAGTTCCCAGGAAGCACCAGGGTGCTGCAGAGAAATTCTGGGGGCCGGTGCCCATGAAGGCCCCCCAGACCTCCAGGGCCTGGGGCTGGATGCCCGCTGCTCAGGGACCACTGACCGGTCTCTCCTCCCAGGCTCAAGGAATCTCTCCTTCCTCTCGTCTTTCTGAGGCTGCCTCCCTCCAAGATGCCAGGCCTTTACTTACTCTTTCTGTGCCTCAGTTTCCACTACTATGGGATGAGGTAATTACAGCAAATGCCTCACTAAATCGCTGTAAACATTAAGCAAGTGGCTGGATGGAGCACCCCAGGCTGCACCTGCACGGCATTCAGCTGCCCCTGGCGTGTGGCTGGCGATCTTCGGTGATGCTTGGTGTAAAACCATCACCTCCCTCTCTGCTTTTATCTTCACGTGGTGTTCTGCCTCTGTGCATGTCTGTCTCTGTGTCCAAATTTCTCCTTTTTTATAAGGACACCAGTCCTGTTGGATTTAGGGTCCACTCTAATGACCTCATCTTAATGAAATCTATCTGCGACAACCCTATTTCCAAATAAGGTCGCGTTCTGAGATGCTGGGGATTAGGACTTCCACTTAGAATTGCAAGGGGATTCGATTCCACCTGTCGTGCAGCCGCTGTTTGGTTTTCTGCCCTCTTGATCTGGGTTTCCTGGCATTTTCACGCCCTCTATCCTAAATGCCTTTTCGTCTGCCACTTTCTTCTTCCCTCCCCTGTGGAAGATCTGATGTCTGTGCCGGGAATGCTGGACTTTCCGAGCTCCGAATGCACGGATGGGAAGGGGCATGGCTTCTGTGTGGGGCCACTGCAAACACAGGAATGTGCTTTCAGTGCGAGTCTCAGACCTTGGCAGGCAGCCGGGGCTACTTGTGTCCTTGCCTCTGTTAGAACCAACACCCACTAATTCAACTGAATATAATTTGTTTAAACAAGATCTGTTATGTTCTAGAAAATATGGTGCATCTGGAGATTAATATGGGTTTAGATAAGCAGGAAAATTGGGGTCACTTTCCTGTCACCTTGAATGTCATGTTTACTGGCAATGAGCGCTGGATTTAACGGTTGTTACAGGATCTCTTTCTATTCTAGTGGAGGCTAAATTAACCACTCTTCTATTTATTACCTGCTCATTAAAAAGTGTGGTATCTGAAGCCATAATAGATGCTTTCATTATCACTCATTCTCCCAACCAATACCCATTGTCCTTGCCAAGGACGTTTTGTTCATGTGGAGGCTCTGAAAGGCTGCCCCCTGCCCCACAACAAAACAGCGGTCACTGTCTGAATTTTAACTCTGATTTTCTTAGCATTTGAAAATACTTAAAAGCTTGGGATACTTTCAGTGTTTCCTACACACATAAATGTGCATATTGTACTTGCTGTACACATGTAGCATCCGAAGCTCTGCAGGACCAGGACTCGCTATAGGAAGAAAGCATCAGGGAAAAAAATCCAGACATGGTGATTCGTTCATTGAATATTTTTACTCCAGATTCAGATACAGATCAAGAGAGAATCATATGAACCTATAAAGGTCCGTCCTCATGACAAATGGAGACAGCCAAACTAATTTTCTTGGTGACCTTATCTAAATTAGTTAGAAAATAACACTTCAGATTTATGACTAGTTACAATTAAGCCCTTTGATATCTTCTAATTAAACCTGTAAAGATTTATTTCTGCATTATTCCTTTGGTACTCTCTTAAAAATGATAAAAATGTAAATGAATATTACCCTCAAAAGGAGATGTTTCTATTTATCCTAAATTAGACTCATACCCTTCCTTTCAAATGACTGCATTTTACACTCAGATTTACACTGCTCCAATACAAATTCTACATCGATCTTAAATAACTTATTTATAAAGTTTGCACAAATGTTATACATAATCTATTGGAATATAAATAAAGCAGAGCCCCCTATATTTCAGCCTTTTTTGTGTGTCCTTCTTTTTAGCACTTTGTCCCATTTCACATAACTCTATATTCAAATGTTGTTTTAGAAAGTATTAGGAGGCTAATATAATAGTCAACATCATTCCCAGTTTACTCTAGCTAGTAGAGCAGGGCTTTCTTGCCTGGATAGCTTTTCTTCAAACCTTTATCTGAGAAAAGATGTGTTCTTCATAATGACTCTCCTAATAGGATTCTCTTTGCTCTGAAATGTTCAATTTGTATTCTCCGATCGTTTTGCAGATGCCAAAATTATGCAGCTCAGACCAGCGCTGTTTTCCATTTATTGTTCCTCTGTTTCTTTTCTCTCCAGGTGAGTACAGCTACCTGGGGACTACTCTTCGCCAGGTGTCCATAGAACCCATGCCCTCCCTCCTGGATGTCAGACAGCTCATCACATTGTACGGAATCTGGCCATTAGGTAAAGACTCGGCGTGCGCGGATGTGCCTTTTCCAAAGCAGCTTGCACCGCTTGCTGGTTTGGACAGTGTGTTCCTGTTTGTCATCAAAAGTACAGTGCTCCTTAACTTTTCCTACTGAGAATTCTGAGTGGGCACAGTTTCATTTTGATAGTGCACCCACCAGCACACAAAGTACTACCAGGGAGAGCACTTCTGCACCCTCTCTGCGTGCCTGCTTAGCAGTGCTGGGCTGAAGGACATACAGGCAATGAGCTGGGGAGATAATAGGCAAAGCAAGTACCTGCAATTACGATTAATCAAATTAGAGAACGGGCTAGGGCTACCACTTGCCTTTTACCCACAGGCTCCTATTACTAGGTCCTAAACAGAGGCAGCCTTTCAGGAGTCAGTGCAAGTGTGTTTCATGGATCTAAAGGATCACCTTTAAGGCCCTGCCAGTTTTCACCGACGTCTACTCTCACTGCTAAATGAGGTTCAATTGTGACTTTTTTCAGACAGACACACTAGAGCTCTGTGGTGTGCAGGCGATGCAGGAAAGATGGGCTCTCCACAGCACAGATATCTGCGGCTCACGTTCGCTTTTTTCTTTTTTTTTTTCTTTATGGCTTTGATATGTGTATGACCTGAATCACCAGGGGCAGGGATGGCAACTCCAGCCAGGAGTTTCAGTTCTGACAACAACTCTCAAATAGAAATCACCTTCTGGGTTTTTAATTTGCTTTAAAATGAGATGGGAGTAGTTCAAACCCTTATTGTTCCACTTTGACTTCAGAACTTAAGACTTCAGAACTTGCCTATTGGCAAGAAATAGTTAATTCCTCTTCTAAATTGATGTCAGAAGTAGTAAATGGAATTTGGGGTTAATATACATTTATATATATATAATATATATGTTTTATATAATATATAATAGCACATAATTTATATTATATATAACAAATATATCATATTTGAGGGGCAACATAATTTGTGGTCAACAGAATAAATGTATAAGTGTCAATGGAAATAAAATAGAGGAGACCTCACACTTCCATGAAGCATCATGGAAGGCAGTAAGACAGAAAGCACCAGTGAGCCAGGCATAGTGGCTCACGCATGTAATCCCAGCACTTTGGGAAGCCAGTGTGGGCAGATCACCTGAGGTCGAGTTCGAGAGCAGCCTGGCCAACATGGTGAAACCCCATCTCTGCTAAAAATACAAAAAAAAAAAAAAAAAATAGCCGGGTGTGGTGGCAGGTGCCTGTAATCCCAGCTACTCAGGAGGCTGAGGCTGGAAAATTGCTGGAACCCGGGATCACGCCATTGCACTCCAGCCTGGGCGACAAGAGTGAAACTCCATCGAAAGAAAGAGAGAAAGAGAGAGAGAGAGAAAGAGAGAGAGGAGGAGGAAGGAGGGAGGGAGAGGGAGAGGGAGGGAGGGAGGGAATAAAAGAGAAAGAAAGAACCAAGAGCCAACAAGTTTGGAAGGGAACGCCTCCCTAATGAGGTTGGTGTATTTCACAGCTGCAAAGGATACAAGGTGGTATCTGTGGTTTCCAAGCTGGCTTTGAACACACCACAGAAGGGCCCTCAGGAAGCACCCCACCCACACCCTCCCTTTCTCACTGAGGAACCTACTGTCCAAAAGGGCTATGAGGTCCTCCGGAGAGCAGAGCTGGCTGGGGCATTTGTTCTCATGACAGGGCATGTGTGCCAAGTGTTTGGAATGCATAGAAACGTTAGGCAGATGAATTGTGTGCACAGTTAAGCTTTTGGGAGGCTGATTTACATTTCATACATTAAAATAACATCCTGTCATAAAAAGGAATGTCTGGGGGCTCCAGTTGTTTAGATCACCTTGATGGTGGCGGCTGCCCAGACTAAAAACCTGGCCACTCAGCAGAGGACCTTGAGAACATCTCCTGGCCGCTTACATACTTGGCCAGGAGACACCGGCTGCAGCCTGGGGCTAGGGCTTAGACTCCGAAACCACCTTGTTAGAGAAGAGGAAGCCCAGGAAGTATCTGGTCAGCATCCACCCACCCTCCTGGAGGTATTACTGCCACGTAGAGATCAGGGAGAAGTGAAGGGTGGGGGCATGCTCACAGAGCAGAAACCGTGTCCACTGTTTCATCTCCTGCCAGACCCCTCCAGGTGGACGTGGTCCAGCTTTTAGTGATTCGTAAGCTGTTCCAAGATGCAGGGGCACTTCCTTGGAGTCACAGGGCTAGGAAGGGGCTAAACTGGGTTGAGGACAGAGAACACTGGCCTCCTTGTTATCTCTTAATTCTCGGAAAGTTGAACAGGGCTCAGGTGCGAAAACTGGAACCATACTGTGTCTCTTGGTAACTCTACGAGAGGGGCAGGAAGAGCTGTGGACACTGGCACATGTGTGTCCTGTCAGCTCCTGGGCCCTCTGTCCACCTTTGTCCTCCCTGAGGTCAGCCAGGCCCCCGTTGAAGAGGCCTCCCTGGACCAACCTTTTCACCTCTCTGGGTGACCTTGGTGACCACCCCCTTTCTCTGGAAGGCCACTGCCTGTGTCACTGCCACACACTCTCCCGGGTCCACTCACCTGCCCTTGCTCCTCTGCCTCCTGCTGCCCCCTCCCAACCCAAGGCTCTGTCCTCAGCACTGTTCTCTCCTTCCTCTACCACTCCCAGAAACCTCTCCCGGCCCCCTGGCTTCAGCCAGCACCCGCCTGGCACCTGCAGTCCCCGACCACCTTTCAGGGCCCCTGACCGCTGGCTCCTCACCCCTCCCTGTGCCAGCCTGGCTTCCCGGCCCCACATGAAGCCTGCCCACACACCCCCCTCACCGCATGCTACCATTCTGCCCATTCCTCAGAGGCTGGCCCAGATGCCACCTCCTCCTGGAAGTCCAGCCTGAGTCCTCCGCGGGGAGCAGTTTCTTCTCTGAACTCCCTGTGGCTCTCCTGGACCTTCTCACTGCTTGCCTCCCGTTCTCATTATGGCAACTCAGGTTCAGCTCCTCCCCTGGCCTGAACTCTCCACAGCAAATCCTGAGTCTTTTCCACATTTGTGTCACTCCCCGCCACAGTCCCCACTCCCACGGACCCCCACACTAGCTCCCAGCCAGGGCTACCACAGAGCAGCCTTCCATACCCAGGTGTCCAACGCAGGGCAAATGAATGGCATCTCTCTCCTGTTGTGGAAAAAGAGTCTCTCCTTTATCCCATTAGATTGCCGCAGCCCCTACTAACCACAAAAAAGGCATGCTCATTGAGTTACGTGGTAAAGAGAATTTGCTCAAAACTATTTTCCAAGTTTATGTGGAGAATGGTAGGTAACCATAAAAATTAGGTGTCTAATCATCACTTAAATTTTCTGTATCTTTTCAATTATACAAGAAAAAAGAAAAGCATAATCATCATACTGACATTTACAGAGTATCAAAAAGAGCCCATTAAGTGACAGAACGCAAACTAACATGATAGTAAATGATTTGATCACAGCACTTTCCAGAATTTAATCCCGTTCACTTTTTAGTTGCTTTGTGCCCAATATCTGCTCTGCTTGTGTTCTCTGCAATGGAGAATACCCACACCTGAGGCCCCTTCTGGGCACTAAGGAAATTGACAGTGTGGTGGAGAACACGGCATGAACCTCTGAATGACTCCAGTAATTCAAGTCACTTCATTATCAAGCGTCAGGTTAACTCTGCCGCTACTGACAGCTAGAAACCAGGGCAGGAGAAAGAAGTTCAGGCTGCTGCTGCCTGCATCTCCATCCTCCCTTGATCTCACAAGAATCACTAAATGGTAGGCAAGAGGGGTGCAAGGAAATAAACACTTAGTCAACCTTATCGTCTATGTCTCCACATTCCTCTTCCCAAGCTTTCAAAGAATTTAATGCTGCTGCCGACAAGCAGAGAAAGCACTCAAAAAAAAAAAAAAAAAGCCAGAGGTAAGCTATTGCAGGAATGCTCTTTAAAATTATGATTTCAGGGGAAATACTGATGTGGAGAGGGGGAGAAGGGTATTAAGGACCCGCAGAGACCCTATGGCTCTACCACGAGCCCTGACCTACAAATTAAAGGTGTCACAGAGCCAGCTGGGATGGAGGCGTGTCTCTGGTTTGAAATGCTTTGGACGCCTTTATCACTGTTGCAGAAAGTGGAGTCACACGATGCAGTTTTGACCTTGAGTTATCCTAGTTGAAGAACCACTGATTTTCTTGGCAGAACATTAGCACCTTTGCCTCTGCCTTTTTTAGGTTCTGCAGCAGTGCATGAGAAAGCTCCTTTGGTGAAATCGCTACTGTTAGCCGGGCCGTCTGGGGTAGGGAAGAAAATGCTGGTCCATGCCATCTGCACCGAAACGGGAGCCAACCTCTTCAACTTGTCCTCCTCTAACATTGCTGGGAAATACCCTGGCAAAAATGGCCTCCAAATGATGCTGCATGCAGTCTTCAAGGTATGGATTACATTTCTTGGTTTCCAACTCTCCTCCCTCTTTCAAATTACATTTTCAAACCCTGCAGATAATTTCCATTGGCAGACAAGCATGACTGTCTTAAATTTCCTCATTGTCTACTCCTGCAAATTACTTCATTATTGCGTATGGCCAAACACACACAATTAGAAACAACTTTTTTCTTTCCGTAAGCACCCTACTGTGCCATCCCAATCACCCTCCCTCTGCCACAGGAACCCTTCTGGAAATGCTTTCATGTCTCATTGAAAATTAAACCCACAATTTCTTTGCTCGGCCCACCTCACTGTAATAATTGGCATCAGGTAGAGATATTTGCATTATTTGGATTCTTCCTCACATGACATGGGTTGCCAAGGTATGGCACCTTCTGTGCTTCTGTGCACTCCTCACACAGGTGTGATGGAAAAGCCTGCAGGCACCTAAGCCGACCAGAGTAATGTAAAGACGTGCTGATATCACAGGATCCGAGCAGCTCTGTGATCTTAGCTAAGCTCCTAGCTTCCCTGGGTCTCCATTTTATCATCACAAAATGAATGCGTTTGAAAGAACTTTGATACAGATATTTTATATTTAGTATCAAGGCTTTACAAAATTTAATTTCTACTTGGTTGAGAACCTCCAGGTTAGCCTTATGCTATTCATTTCAGTTGCTGCCATGCCAGCTTTTACTGTATCAAAGCCTACATGGTGGCAAACACTGTCCCATATTGGAGGCTAGGTGTTGGCTCTGTATCTGCTTTCTAAGGGGCTGTAAAGCATGAGAGATGCTCATCAACGAGGCAGTTTACAGGAATGATAAACGGACAGGAATGTCTCCTTAGTGTCACGCTAATACACCAAAAAACTAGGGAGCGACAGCAGTAGGATTTCTTCCCTTAGCCACGTGGTCCCTCCCACTGCAGCGACTCAGGACATCCCACTCTCCTTTTCTCTCATGCTTGTAAGGAAGGCGTTCAGAGAGGAAACTGTAGAGTATACAATGTGTAACCACCATTTTCATGCACTTTATGGTCATTGTACAACTTTTTTTTGAAATTTATATTCAAGTCATTTACCTACAGTTGATGCTTGAACAACACAGGGGTTGGGGCGCTAATCCCCTGTGCAGTTGAAAATCCACGTATAGCTTTTGACTCCCTAAAAGTCTAATTACCAATAGCCTACTGTTGACTGGAAGTCTTCCTGATAACAGAAACAGTTGAATAACACGTATTTTGTATGGTGTATGTATTATACACTGTATTCTTATAATCAGCTGGAGCAAAGAAAATGTTATTAAGAAAACCATAAAGAAGGAAAAATCTATTTACTATTCATTAAGTGGAAGTGGATCATCATAGAGGTCTTCATCTTTGTCTTCTTCACATTGAGGAGGCTGAGGAGAAGGAGGAAGAAGAGGAGGAGTTAGCCTTGCTGTCTTAAGGGTGGCAGAGATGGAAGAAAATCTGTGTATATATGCACCCACACAGTTCAAATGAGTGTTGTTTAAGGGTCAACTGTACCTTTCATTGGGTTATTGTTTTCATTGGTTCATTTCATTGTTTAGGTTAATTTCATATTTTTTAGTATTTCAAAATTTCTGAGAATTTTGAGGAGCTCTCCAACTATATGCATTTCTGTATTTCTCCCTGTAGTACTGTCAGTTGCTTCATATATGTTGAAGCACTGTTATGAGATACATCCACGTTTAGGATTGTTATGTCTTCCTTCCTGGTTGATTATTTTATCATTATGAAATGACCCTTTTTGTCCTGGAAATACTCCATGTCTTGAAATCTACCTGGTCTGATACTAATGGAGCCACATCAGCTTTCTTATGCTGAGTGTATACGGTATATTTTTATGCTGTTTTATTTCCAATATGTCTATGTCTTTATAGTTAAAGTGCATTTCTTATGGATAGCACATAGTTGGGTTTTGCTTTCTTCTTCAATCTGACAACATATGTCATTTAACTAGAGCATTTGCTCCGTTTATTTTTGTATGCAATTATTTAGATGATTGAGTTCAGTCTACCATTTTGCTATTTGTTCTCCATTTGTTTCATTCCTCTTTCATTCAACTTCTCTTTTCCTGCCTTCTTTTTGGTCTCTTTTTATTTTCTTTTTTAGTGGTGGCCTACGGATTACTGTAGTCATTCTTATCACAGTCTATGTAGAATTAATATGGTATTTTACATAAAATATGAGAATCTTGTGACAACATAATCCATTTATTATCTCTGTCCTTCATTTTCTTATTATACATTTTACATCTATAAATGTTATATATACCACAATAGAATGTTATTTTTGCATTTCATGGTCATTTGTCTTTTTAAAAAATTGAGAGAAGAAATATACTCTTTTATACATCTCCATATATTTGCCATTTTTAGTACTCTCTTTGTCTCTGTCAAGTTAAGTTTTCACCTGGTATCATTTCCCTTTCAGCTGAAGAACTTCCTTTAGCATTTATTTTAGTGAAGATCTGCTGGCAACAAATTTTCTTTTTTCTGATCTTCTTATTTTTTATTTCTGATCTTCTTATCTTTTGCTTTTCAGTTCTAGCACTTACATTTGCTTATTACTCGTTTTCATTTCTCTGCTGTAGTTCTCTATCCGCCCATTTCATATGACCATCTTTTTCCTTCAAGTCTTTGAACTTAATTGCCTTAGAGTCCTTATGTGCTCATTTCAAAACGGGGTCATCATGGGGCCTATTTCTATTTGACTGCTTTTCCCTTGACCATGTGTCACATTTCTCTGTTTTTCATCTGATTGATAATTCTTATTGTATATTAGACATTGTGGATGGTACGTTGTGGAGCCTCTGAAGCAAGCGGGGCTTTGTTCTAGCAGGCAGTTAAATTACTGGCTGATCAGCTTGAACTTGCAGAGACTTCGTTTTCCATTTTGTTAATATGGGTCTATTTTGACTTCGTCTGTGGTCCAAAGCAAATCTCTTAGTCCTGGAATATGGTCTTTACTCCAGAGTTTCAATGGAAATCCTGTTTACCAAGCTCCTCTGACTTGGCAGTAGCTGAGGAATGTGCTGCGTTCTCTGTTTTTCATCTATTGCTTTTCACTGAGCTTGGAATCTTTCCCCACGCAAGCACACATCTAAAGTTAGCCAATGATTTGAAGGTGAGCTGGAATTTGAAGCCAGGCAGCCTGACTTGTGGCCTCCATGTGCTTAACTACCAAGTTGTAAGCACTAAGTTCTTCAGAGGAAAGGTAAAATGAACCCTTCCTCTTGCCCAAAAGAACACCTGCATTTGTTCATTCTAAACATCAAATTTTGTTGACATTTGTCAAGTAACAGACAGAAGCACATAAATATAAAAATATTAGTGTTTCGTAAGCATCTATATATCCCAGACTGTTGCATACATCACTACGTATTAACTCACTCAGTCCTTACAACAACTCTATGAGGTAGACACTTTCATTATACCCATTTTACTGTTAAGAAAACTGAGGCACAAATCATTTTAGTAATTTTCCTGGTTGCAGTGCAATGATAGGATCTCACACAGTCTGGCTCCAGAGCCTCCAAGTTTCAAAACTGCATTATACGGCCGCTCACTGAAATAGGGCTGAATGGCTGAATTAAGTATCCATTTTCTGACTCACCAAACAGCTTAGTAGCTCCTGGTGTGAATCTAGGACAGAGCAAGGATGTGATCTTTCTGTTCTCACTCTAGGAAAGTCTTTGTTCCTGCTGCTGAGAGATTTTGTCTTGATACCAGATAAGCGATCTTTGCGTTTATTAGAATTATCACAAACTGGCATTGTGTGGACTGCAAAATGCTGGGTGTCAAAAATTATTAAAATGTGGAGCACCACATTCACCCACCTGGGCCACTTCATGTCAGAGTGCCTGACACACACCTCATTAAACTTCACCTTTCTTGTGTATATAACTGATTAATGAAAGACCCAGAGGTCTCAGGAGTGGGAGTCAATCAATTAAAAATTGTGTGCGGTGAGGCCACCGTGTCCCAGTGTGACTGACAGAGCAGCTATCTGCACTGCAAAGAGGTATTTGCTTTTAATTAACCAAAGGCAAGCAGGACAGGATGCTTGTGCTGGTACGTTGACGGCAGGAAGCTGGAGGGCCTGACTGTGCCGTGTGAGCTGCAGAACACGGGCTGTGGCTCAAGAGCAGCAAAATATGGTTCATGGCATTTGCAGGAGAAGGTGAAATAACAGAAGGGCCTGATTCCTCATGGATTCTTCCTAGAGAGAAGTCCTGTTACCAAGTTAATCTCGGGAGGGTAAACAATGCAACTACAGGGAAATGCTTGTCATTTCTCACTTCAGGCAGGTGGCATTCGCCTCACTCACAGCACCGTGGAAGCACGCAGGGAAAATGAGTCTCCGATTTGTTTCACAACTGTAAATTCAAATCCATTTTGTGATCATTGTGTTTGGAGGATTTATTTTACAAACAGTAACTAATAGAATAATGAGTGAGGGGTGAGGGGAAGCGTTTCCTTTTTAAGAAATGTATCTACAAGTAAATGACTATTTACTTGTAGACTATATATATATAGTATATATAGTCTACTATATATAGTCTACTAGGGGAGGAAAGCAGAACCTAAAAACCTCCAGGGGCAGAGAGGACCCTCGACCCAGATCCAGGGGGCCGCTGAAGCGTCCTCTGCTCCAGCCTCCTTCCCTGCGCCCTGCCCTGGCCTTCCCTTGCCTGTCTAATGAGAGGTCTGGAGGGCGGGGGCCATTCTCACTGGCAAGGCGGATACAGGAAGAAGCAGGATGGCCTTCAGTTGCTTCATCTTCTCACACTGGGATATTCCCAGCAGACCCGCTGGCCCAGGAATGGCCTTGCCCCTGTGTCTTGTGGAGGGCACATCCTCCCACAGGGTGGGGCATGCGGAGCCGATGCTTCCCCAGAGGCCAGCTGGGGGGCCACGTGACGGTCTTGGGGCCTGACCTAGCGTGAAATCCAGAGGTCAGACCTCTGGTTCTCTTGCATTTTTGTTGACATTCAGCACTCTGAGTGTCACTTTTCTCATCTGTAAAATGGGCACGTTAATTCCTACCTCATCAGAGCTTTGATGCAGTTAAAAGAGAAAGTATGTGTAAAACGCCTTAGCATGTGCCTGACTCCAGGGCAGAGATCAGAAAAAGCCCTTCCCGCTCCGCTGTCCCCTGGTTTACTATTATACAGACTCAAGGAGACTGGTACCTGGGGGGTGGCGGGGGTGGTAGGCAACAGCCCTGCCTTATAACTTCTTTCACCTGTGAAATGTTTATTGCATGTTCATCATTTGTCAAATATTTATCAAATATTTATACTTTTTATATGTATATTTATATATGATATATATTCATATATCATATATATTTATATATGATATTCATATATCATAAATATATATCTATATATTATATATTCATATAGTATATATCTATATATCATATATATTCATATAGTATATATCTATATATTATATATATTCATATAGTATATATATCTATATATTATATATTCATATAGTATACATCTATATATTATATATTCATACAGTATATAATATATTCATATAGTATATATATTATATATTCATAGAGTATATATATTATATATTCATATAGTATATATCTATTTATATATTATAAATATATATTCATATAGTGTATAATATATATTCATATGGTATATATCTATATATTATAAATATATATTCATATAATATATATCTATATATTATAAATATATATTCATATTATATCTATATATTATAAATATATATTCATATATATTTATATATGAGTATATATTCATATATTATATATATTTATATATTATATATTCATATATGAATTTATATAGTATATGTATATTTATATATTATAAATACATTTATATAGTATATGTATATTTATATAGTATATATTTATATATTACATATTTATATAGTATATGTATATTTATATATTCTATATTTATATAGTATATGTATATATAACATATATTTACATAGTATATGTATATTTATATATTTACATATTATATGTATATTTATATATTATAAATACATATTTACATATCAGATATTTACATATTGTAAATATATATTTATGTATTATGAATATAATTTATATATTTACATATTATATGCATATTTATATATTTATAAATATATATTTACATAAATGCATATTTATAATATATAACTATGCATATATGTAAATATGTAATAATATATAAATTATATTCATAATATATAAATATATTTATAATATGTAAATATGTATTTATAATATATAAATATACATGTAATATGTAAATATATATAATTTATAAATATACATATACTATGTAAATTATTTATAATATAAATATGCATATACTATATAATATCTATACTATATAAATATATTTATAATATATATACATATAATATATATATTCATATATGAATATATATAATATATAGATCTATATGAATATATAATATATAAATATATAATATATGTATATTTATAATATATAGATATATACTATATGAATATACATTTATAATAGATATATACTATATGAATATAATTTATAATATATATGAATATATATAATATATAGATATATATGAATACATAATATATAGATATATAATATACGAATATATAATATATAGATATATAATATACGAATATATAAAATATATAGATATATAATATATGAATATATAAATAGATATATAATATATGAATATATAAATATATAGATATATAATATATGAATATATAAATATATAGATATATAATATATGAATATATAATATATATATTTATGATATATGAATATATAATATATAAATATATATGAATATATATAATATATAAATATACATATTATAAAAAGTATAAATATTTGATAAATATTTGACAAATGATGAACATGCAATAAACATTTCACAGGTGAAAGAAGTTATAAGGCAGGGCTGTTGCCTACCACCCCCGCCACCCCCCAGGTACCAGTCTCCTTGAGTCTGTATAATAGTAAACCAGGGGACAGCGGAGCGGGAAGGGCTTTTTCTGACCTCCGCCCTGGAGTCAGGCACATGCTAAGGCGTTTTACACATATTTTCTCTTTTAATTGCATGAAAGCTCTGATGAGGTAGGAATTAACGTGCCCATTTTACAGATGAGAAAAGTGACACTCAGAGTGCTGAATGTCAACAAAAATGCAAGAGAACCAGAGGTCTGACCTCTGGATTTCACGCTAGGTCAGGCCCCAAGACCGTCGCGTGGCCCCCCAGCTGGCCTCTGGGGAAGCATCGGCTCCGCATGCCCCACCCTGTGGGAGGATGTGCCCTCCACAAGACACAGGGGCAAGGCCATTCCTGGGCCAGCGGGTCTGCTGGGAATATCCCAGTGTGAGAAGATGAAGCAACTGAAGGCCATCCTGCTTCTTCCTGTATCCGCCTTGCCAGTGAGAATGGCCCCCGCCCTCCAGACCTCTCATTAGACAGGCAAGGGAAGGCCAGGGCAGGGCGCAGGGAAGGAGGCTGGAGCAGAGAATGTTTCAGCGGCCCCCTGGATCTGGGTCGAGGGCCCTCTCTGCCCCTGGACATTCTTAGGTTCTGCTTTCCTCCCCTCTGCTTGGTGACCTGGCCCCTGAGGGCTGAGTTAGAGTGAGGACCTGGGAGAACGGGGCCGAGGCAGTGTCAGCTGTAGGACACGTGGCCCACAGTGGTCTGCAGCATCTGGACAAAAGGGACCCTCGATGCTCTTGTGCCCCAGTACCATCCACCCGGCTCCTCTGTGGGCTCACAGCCAGCAGCCTTATGGCAGCACACCAAGGGCTCTTGCCCAGATGTGGTGTGTGGTGGTGTAGACAGCTAGTCCAGGTGTCAGCAGAGGTGCCTGGCCAATTTCTGTAGTTCATAAAAGGTATGTTTCTGTAGCTCATAGAAGAAGACTTCTCTTCCTGATTAATAACCCAGACAAAGACATTGCTGCTATTTGTGGTTGATTTAAAACACACACACACACACAGAGAGAGAGAGAGAGAGAGAGAGAGAGATGTACAATTAGTGTAATACATATGTTAGTCTCATTTTACAAGGTGAATATCAGTAAGGATAACCCAAGGCCTACATCTGGCCCCTAAAACAGGGCTAATCAAAAAGGAGGGGGAGAGGAAAGAGAGGAGTAAGGACATGGGGAGAGGGACACAGGATTTAGCGGCTCCAGTGCAGCCTCGGGTATGGACACGGTGGGAGGCCAGTGCCCTGAGTCTTGAGTGGGTCGTCCATGAAGAGGCCAGGCTCACCTTCCACTGCGTGCGGACGCAGCTGCAGGCTGAGGAGCGACATGCACATAGGCTGCAGAACCTTTTCTTTTTTACATAGACTATTTTTCAGAGCAGTTTTCGGTTCCTGGCAAAAGGGAGGAGAAAGTGCAGAGAGCGCCCACATAGCCTGCTCCCACATAGGCAGGGCCTCCCCACTCTCCCCGCCCCACAGTGGGCCACACTGACCATGTGCTACAGTGAGGAACACAGACAGACACCTCACTAGCGCCCAGAGTCCATCAAAACCCACTGTGGGTGGGGATGCCGGCGTCTGTACGGCCAACGAGGCCTCTGCCATTGTTTCCCCTGCCTGGAACATCGGTGTCAGTCCTGGGAGGCCACGTCAAACCAGACACCCGGGAGGGGCCCAGGGTGGGGAGGGAGCCTAGACCCCGACACATAGGAAACTTCTCGGAATTCAGACACATGCACCTGCAAAGAAAGAAGGAGAAAAAAGAACACAAAAGAAAGGCCCCTAGACCAGGGTGGGCCATGTAGCCGGGTCCAGCTGTGTCAGAGGCTGCCGTGGGAAGGGGACTCCCAGGAGGAAGGCAACAAGAGAGCCAGGCTTCTCCAGGACCCGGGATACATGTCCCACTCCACCTGTCCAGTGACGACAGGGAGCACCCCACACAGGGAGGGCATCAGGCTGTGGAGGCCCCGGGCACTGTGTGTCAGTCAGGTGTGGAAACACACTCTGCAGGCTGTCAATCACCAAAAACACAGAGTGGCATCCGCAGGTGTTGTGTATCAGGCAGTGGGGACAAGGCGGGACCAGGGTTTGATGCCACGAGCATTCAAAATGTTTAGGCAACCCAGAAACACTCGGGGTGGGGGCGATGGAGGTACCTTGGGAAGTTGAGAATGGCTTTGCACACAGGCTTCTCCAAGCTGGCTAGAGTCCATTCCACCTGGCGAGAATTCATTGGCCATAGTGTGGTGGGCAGTGGGCTGGGGAGGAGACGGGGCTTCAAGAGTTAAGTTCAGGTGGTTTGTAAGCCTGACGCCCCCCACCATCCAACACCTTCCCATTGAACACAGTCTGGATAAGCACTAATTGCATCAACATGTTCCTGTTACTAGCACCAACCTGCCCCCCACACACACACATGCACACTAATACACTCACACACATGCACACACATGCACACATGTACACACTAACATAAACTCATACACACACACGCACACATGTGCACACTAACATACCTCATACTAACATACGCACATGCACACACATACATTGACACACACACACATTGACCACAGACATACACGCATGTCCCCTCCTAGTTACTGTGCCCAGTCTTTCCTGTGAGCCCCTGCATCCCAGCTCCTCTCTAGTTCTTTGCTTTGCCTCAGTTTACCAGCCCAGCCAGGCTTCTCATTCTAGTATACCTCTGCCCTTCTTTTGATGATCATCTATGGTTTATATCCAGCTAATTGCAGTGAGGACTTGAAGTAACCTCCGCAAGTACATAAAAGGTATTACAAGGAAATAGAAACTTAAAATGTAATTTTTAAATAGTGGAAATGCAGGCCAAAATGTCATATGAAGTATTTAAACAGAATCCAAGTGACCACAGTATGGGAAAGTGAGCCCCCTCCCCCTGCAAATAAGCCTTACGCCCCTGCACCCTCCCTAACCCCTAACCCCGCAGCACCTCACTCAGCGACACCCATTCAGACACAGGCAGCTGCACCCTCCACAGGCAGGGACCGTGTCTCCCAACTCCCAGACACCCCTGCTTCCCACCACAGAGCTCTCAGATGCTCCGTAAATATGTGTGGGATGAATGAATGAATGAATGAGTTTCAGCCGAGACACATCAGCTGAAAAAAATAGTAGCTGTTTTTTTTCCTGCAGTTCTCCTTGGCAAGCAAAATAGGATCCTTTCAGAGAGAACCTCCAAAACGTCCAGGGGTCATCTGGGCAGAGCATCTTCATAACCCATGCATGCCGAAACACAAACAGGTTTTAATTGAGCCATTATCCCCTGAGAATCTAATTCTGATGGTGAATGTTTGACAGTGTTTCTTTGGAAAATACAAAAGATCAAGCCCATAAAATGCATGTGGATAGAGACGTCTTTAGTTGTTTGCTAGAACTTCCTAGAATTTGAAAAGGCACACGGTGGAAATTTGTCTTTATTTCATAATTGACACACAACAAAAACCCTCTAGTGATATTTGATAGTAGCGAAGAGCCCTCTACTGGCAGGTGACGTGAACTACCCGACAGAACTCTGGAAAGTTCAATTACGAATTAATTAATGTAATTGTCCGTGACCTCAAACTATCTGTGGGTAATTTAAATGAAGCCTTTTCATAGCTAAATGAAAATTAGAAAAGCAAAGGATACCATTTTTCATTAGCAAATTGGCAGAGAGTTTTTTACTATTAATACTTGTCGAGGAGAAGAGTGTAGAGAGCCAGAGCCCTCATTTATTCCTGGGGAGAGTGTAAACAGATGGAACCCCTGGGGGGGCAGTGTGACAGTACGCATAAAAACGACACGCACAGAATGTCCAGGCCCCTCCACCTGGAAGCCTCTCCTGGCAGTCATTCTAAGGAAATTCTCAGCCAGGTGCCCTAAATAAGTACTATTTGGGGTAGTAAAAGATGGAAACCATCTATACATTCAAAACCAGGGGATTAATTAGAACCGTAATGCTGGTGCTTCCTGTTAAAATGATAACGGAGAAATAACTTTCATATGACATGAACAAGGCAGCCCGTAAAGCAGTATGTGTTGAACAAGATCCCATTTTCGTAAAGGATCTGTAAGGACAGGAAGTGTTCAACGGTTGATTCTAGGTGGAGGGAGAAGAGGTGTTGTTTATGCCATTCAGTATATTCTGAGATTTTTACTAAAGAACACTGCTTTTCCACAAACTCTAAGGGCAGATTTTATTCCCAGCAGATGCGCCTGCCAACATTTCTTGTCTGGCCTGCACACTTCCTGCAGCAGCAGCCACCCTATCCCCCAGTGTCTGTGGTGCAAGGAAGATGAGCCCTTCTCCTCCCAGCCCATCCTCCTGCCTTCTGTCCCTAGCCCACGCTATCCCCAGACATTTCCTGGGCACTGACTACCCCATGCGCCACGTCCTCCCCAGGCTTACTGTCTGCCCGTCTTTGTGAAGGAGCTCTCCCTGTCACCTGGCTCTGTTCCCTCCACTCCCCGCCAAGGCCACCAGTGACCTCCTCATTACCAAACTCTCTGGCCAGCACAGGCCACCGCTGGCCGCCCCCCTCCTGCTCATTGGCCCCCTGGCTTCGAGGCTAGCTATCGCTCCAGACCCATCCCTTCTATCCACGGCTGCTGCCCCTTGGCAGCCCGGACCTCCTCCTCTATCATCGTCTTCCCTGTGTGGCCCCGGGCTCTCTGTCACCCTCTCCCGGCCTCATCTACTGTCCCCCTTTACTCGAGAATTCCTTCCATCCATTCTTGAGGCGTCCACTGCCATTGCTGTGGCCTCGGAGGCCCTTTCTGCCCTTGCCTCTCTCCTCTTCTCTGGCCCCAGCAGCCCTCCCTGCCTGCCCTGCTGCCCAGGGGCTCATGGCAGCTGGCACTGACCCCCTCATTACCATCCACTGGGCATCTAGCATCGAGACCCCTCCTGCAACCCACAACCCACTGTCATTGAGGCTGGCCAGTCCTGCCCTCCCCATCCTGCCCTGCCTATCCCCCGCTGCGGGCTCTCATCTTCTCCCCACAGCAGCCCCGCAGCACCTCCCTGCCTGGGCCTTGTCCTCACTGTGCCCACCGCCCACACCTGCCTGCTCCCCAAGGCCAGCACAGCTCCCACCACATCCTCCTCTACACACTCCCAAGAGGGATTTTTCTGTAACATAAAAAGGATCAAAATTCTTGATTAAAGTCCTTTCCAGGACTTCCACAGCCTCCAGGATACAAGCAACCTCTGTAGCATGGCCGTGCACTTTTCTGACCCCTTCCAGAAGTGCCAGGTGCTCCCCATGTGCCCCAGGTGAGGATACCTCACCCTGTGCCCTGGCTCCTGGCCCAGGAAGGGTGCTTCCCCCTCTCCAGACCATCTGATCTTCTGGAGATCTCGGAAGACCTGTCTGCTTTAACCACTGTCTGCGGTCTCCGTTCCTGGTTCCCCCCACCCGCCCACTTCTCCCACTTTCTGTCATTGGTGCCCCTCACTGACACCCTGATTTCCTTGGAGCACCCTCAACCTCAGGTCTGCTCTCCCTTACCACAGGTGGGCTCCTGGAGGTCAGGGACCCTGCATTATTACTCTTTGTGACCCTGGCACCTAGCACAGTGCCTGGCATACCAAGCTCTTCTGTAAATGTCTTATAAAGGAAGAAATGAAAGAACAGCCTTCATTCTACGTTCAGGGCCAAACATAGCAAAACCTGCCTTTCTTCCCCATGGCAGTCCTTCACACGTTTGAAAACAGCAAACTTACCAGCCTCAAGTCTTCTTTTCTCCAAGAGAAGCAGCCTCTGTCCCTTTCATCCCTCCTGGACGAAGTAGCTTCCGCTTGACACTGCCCCAGTTTCCATGCCCATCTTCTTTCTGGCCAGACCTGAACATGGTCACCAGGGGTCCTGTGACCAGCAGGCCCCTCAGCTTCCCCAGGGGAAGGTCAGGAAAGCCAGAGATCCGAGCTCTGGAGGGCAAGACAGTGATGGTTTTAGCATTCTTCCTGCTGGGATGAAAGATGGTAGCGGATCAGGTAGCGGTACAGGTCAAGGAATAGGCATCCCATCTCCCCTGGCAGTGTGGCGGCCGCCTGGTCCATGCAAGGGCTTGTGGGTGCTGGGCAGACCCAGGTCCCGCTCCCACCTCCAGCACTTACCAGTTGCTGAGCCAGCACATGACTCATCCCTCACCTGGCTCTGCCTCAGCAGCCTCATCTGTGAAAGGGGAGAGCCGCTGGCTGTGCTTGGCACACATGGAGCATGTGTCCGGTGAGGATGCAAATGGTGTCCTGGACGCCAGAGCACTTTGCAAATGAAGTCAGTTGTATCGTTATCCTCATCTGAGAACACTCTTGGGAAGCGTTCTCTGTCTTGTTTGGTAATAATTGAGCCCTTCCAAACCACATCACTCCAGAGTGCCCTGTACAACCCTGTGTGCCCCCAAAGCTGCTGAACTAGGGAGAGCAATTCCTTCACAGGTGTGTGTTAAAAATTCAGGAAGCATGGAATTCCCCCATTAGTTCTGAAGGAGCTACACGTTAAAGGAACAATCGCTAACTTCACAGTCAACAGAATGGAGCCGCCGTTTTCAAAACAACTGATTTAGAATCTGATGCTGGAAACAAGATTGTGGGTCTCAAAATCATTCCAAGTTAGGGCGACTCCTGTTTCAAGGCTGCGCAGCTTAGTTTGTTAAGAGCAAAAAGAGAAAAGTTAACGCTGAAATACTTGGTATTCACATCTGCAATTCCCATCTGGGTTGAGAAAATAGAGGCCCCAATAGGCACTATGGAAAACCCATTGCTTGCCACGTGGACATCGCGAGAAGTGATCCACAGCAGCCACGAGTGCAGTCAGCTAAGACAAGAGACGGTTGCTTTTGTTTTTGTTTTTAACTTTTATTTTAGGTTCAGGGGTGTGTGTGCAGGTTTGTTACATAGGTAAACTCGTGTCACAGGGGTTTGTTGTATAGATTATTTCATCGCCCAGGCATTAAGCCCGGTACCCAGTAATGATTTTTTCCACTCATTTTCCTCCTCCAAACCTTCACCCTCAAGGAGGCCCCAGTGCCTGCTGTTCCCTTCTTCGTGTCCATGCATTCTCACTGTTTAGCTGCCACTTATAAGTGAGAATAAGTGGTATTTGATTTTCTCTTCCTGCATTAACTTGCTAAGGAAAGGATAATGGCCTCCAGCTCCATCCATGTTCTTGCTAAAGACATAGTCTCATTCTTTTTTATGGCGGCATAGTGTTCCATGGTGTATATGTACCACATTTTCTTTATCCAATCTGAAGAGATAGTTGTTGATGCGAAGATGGTTTCTCCATTGGATTCAGTTCTAAAACTGAGATTCTTAAGAGGTACTGAAAAAAAATAAGATCTTGCCTTTGTTATTACAAATTATCTTTACGAAGTATAAACCTTTTACATACAACGTCTCATTTTCTTATTTACTTTTGGAGCTGGAAGTAGGGAAGCTTTTGACTTAAACTCAAAATAGCTGTAAGGGAACAATGGCCCCTTGGAGCTTGCCCCCTCCTCACTCTTCAGCTCCATCCCTTGGCAGCAGTGCCCAGGCCATGTTGGAAGGAAATCGGGGGCTTGCACCAAGGAGCTGAGAGAATGGAAGACTTGGAGTTGAAAGGGATTAGGAAGTGCCATGAATAGACTGTGGGGTTGTTAGGTGTCGGGAATGAGACAAGGGTGGATACCCAGGCCTCTGGCTTGGGTAGGAGCAGAGTCACGCAGGGAACGGGCAGGAGGCAGGATGGAGGGAGGGAAGGTGGCCTTCTGAGGCTTCAGTAGGCAGGCACCATGTGGGGATGGGAAACTCTGGCCTGGAGCTCTGGATGTGCATTTGGTTGTGGTCAGCACGTAGAGGCCAGCTGAAGCTACCAGAGTGGTTGAGATCAGCCCTCAAGGTGGTATTGAGAGAGTGCAGAGAAACCAGGGCAGGGTCTTTGGGAACCTGTGCATAAGCCAGTGCATAGTAGACATCTGTGCTTCCGAGCGGGGCTTCCTGACCATGTCTGCTCTTCAGCATCATCTGGGGAGCTTTCAAAACTGCTAACGCCAGACAACACCCCAGTCACACCAGAATCTCCAGGGCTGAGACCCGGAGGTCGTACTTTCCAAAGCTCCCCTAGTGATCCCAGTGAGAAGCACTGAATTGTCAGGGGAAGAAAGAGGCTTCCCTCTCTGGCTTGTGCTCCGCCCCCTCCTCACTTACCTGCTACTGTGAGACTCTGCACACAGGGGTCTCTTTTCTCCAACTTCCAAGCATGTGTTTTTGTCAACACCACGTGGTGCTGTCGCCCCTGACTGGGTGCATTTCCCGGTTGGAGTGACCCTGTTCGGACCGGACCCATCCCATTCCTCTTCCTGCCCTTGCTGCTCTAGCAGAGGGTATGGTGCCCAGCCGGGATCAGTATAGATCAGCTCAGTGTACAGCGTCGAGCTCCATTTCCAAAGGCCCTTGAGCCCACCCTACATTTTCTCCTGGATTTCCCTCCTGTGGCAACTTTCTCCTGCACACTGACTAGAACTCCGGATTGCCAGCTCAGAGACCCCTTCGAATCTACATTTTATGCAAAAGCTTTCTTTGTAGAAGCACAGAATGTTTAAGCTGGAGAATCACTTAATACTTTGCTGTGATCTACTAGAGAGCTGATTTTATTAAACGTTCTTTTAAAAATCAAAGATGAAGAGAGAAGACGAGAGAGTTCCTTTATCCTGTAGCATTTTGTCTGTTTCATTGATGAAAGCTCGGGGGCAAAGCGCCCGGCTTGGTGTTTCTCCTCATCAGCTAGTCTTCTTGGCTAGGCTTTGAAATAGACTAGCTCCTCGAGTCCACTGGCAGGTGCTATAGTTAATAACCTACTCATTGATTTGAGATTTGAGATTTTGATTTTTTTTTTTTTGCCGTAAGTTATTGGGGGTACAGGTGGTATTTGGTTACATGAGTAAGTTCTTTAGTGGTGATTTGTGAGATTTTGGTGCATCCATCACCTGAACAGTATACACTGCACCCTTTTTGTAGTCTTTCATCCCTCACCCCCCTCCCACTCTTCCCCACAGGTTCCCAAAGTCCATTGTATCATTCTTATGCCTTCGCGTCCTAGTGAGAACGTACGATGTTTGGTTTTCCATTCCTGAGTTACCTCACTTAGAATAATAGTCTCCAATCTCATCCAGGTCATTGCAAATGCTGTTAATTCATTTCTTTTTATGGCTGAGTAGTATTCCATCATATATATATATATATATAGCACAGTTTTTTTATCCACTCGTTGATGGGCATTTGGGTTGGTGCCACAATTTTGCAATTGTGCATTGTGCTGCATGTGCAAAGTATAAACATGCATGTGCAAGAATCATTTTTGTATCTTTTCCTCTGGGTAGGTACAGTAGTGGGATTGCTGGATCAAATGGTAGTTCTACTTTTAGTACTTTAAGGAATCTCCACACCGTTTTCCATAGCAGCTCTATGAGTTTACATTCCCACCAGCAGTGTAAAAATGTTCCCTGATCATGCCAAAAAATAAAATCCTAGTGGCAAGGCCAAAATAAAGTGCTCACAAATGCAGATCACCCCCACATTCAGCAGAACGAAGGGTGAGAGGTCTCGTGCTCTAGGTTGCAGTCAGCCAAGATCGTGCCACTGCACTCCAGCCTGGGTTTTCTATGTTAGCATGCTTCTGGGGTCTTGCGTCCCTTCTCTCCTGATTCTTCCCTTGGGGTGGGCTGTCCGCATGCACAGTGGCCTGCCAGCACTTGGGAGGGAGCATGCATGCACAGTGTGTTCACTGGAGTTGTGCGCATGCTCACTTGAGATGCTCCTCCCTTACCAGTCGAATGTCCCTAGAAGGTCATAGGCCAGTTAAATTCCACCGTTTTGCCTCTTAATGCACATGGTTGAACCCACTCGCCCAACCCCTGAGATCTTATTGGGAAGCTGCTGATCACCCACTTCCGGTGTTTCTGTTTATTGGGAGACTGCCTTTCGCTAGTGCTGGCTGTGACCAATGATTATTATAGAAATACAGAAAACAACCACCTGCCCATCATGGGATGGTCACCTGACATTCTTGGTGTGTGTATGTATTGGAAGGAGCCTTCTCCTGCCCTGCTCATGCCCGACTAGCTCCCCACTGTAACATAACCACCTACTCGTCTCAGTTCTCAGCTCCGAAGCAGAGGTCCTAGGGCTGGCCCCTCACGCTCGTGGTGAGAGTAGATGAGGGAACCCGCATAGGCTGCCTCAGCTGCCAGCACAGATTGTAGCCCCCAGCCTGGCCTCCAGTCCTGCTTCTGCCACACTGGACCTGTATGACCAGGGCCATCAATTAATGTCTGCAAGCCTCAGTTTCCTTGTCTGCAAACAGGGATGATAACAATGGTTCATTGTTATCTGCTTCATAGGGTTCAGATGAGATGAGCAGTTTATTCCACATGTGCTAAGGCCTCCAGGAGGAGGCAGCGCCAGGTGTGTGCTGGCTCTGACCATGTGTGATGCTGGGCACAACATAGGTGGCTGATGCCTGGCACATGTCTGCCAACTCATTCACTGCAGTTATCACACCACACTGGCTCAGGGATCACGATTAAAATTTGGGATTCTGAGTTCCTAAATTCTGTGACTCTGGGTCTGCAAAATACCTATCAAATGGTGCTTGGCTGGCACTCTTTTCTCTCTGAATGTCCGTGTGTGTTGGGGCCTGGGAATGCAGCCGGCCCAGGCGTTGGGCCAGCGCAAGGATCCAGTTCAATCAGTGCCCACTTCTGCCTTTGAAGGCGCATAATCTGCTTTATAGCCCTGACTTGCCACTTCGTACATAATGACAGGGAGGCAGACACAGTAGAGTGTCCCTAGCGATTTTTCCATCACTCACTGAATGACTGTCTTGGTTTAAAATCATGCCTGCTGCCTTAATGATGTTTTAAGAAATATAAAAATAGGAGTACATAACGCTGTATTCACCATGGCTTTTATCTGTCACAATTTCGCACAAAGCACAAATTGTTGCAAAAATACCTGAACTTCGCTATCACAGGGGTGCTTTGAAGAGATTGTTAGGTGTACAGCAATTATTCATGGGCCCAGGGTAAGTCCCATCCCAGCTCTGTCGCGAGGCCCTGCTTGTCCAGAGGGGCTCGGAGCCACCTTTCAGGGGGAGCCTAGGCCACAAAGGCACAGCCAAACAGAGATGAACAAATAGCCTCGTGGGGGCCCGAGTGCTGAAACGGTTTTTCTCATGGTAAGCAAACTTGAATAAACCCGGGAACGGCCAGAGGCGGTAATTAAAACTCGTGGCCCAGTTCTCCATTCATTTTCAGCAGAAAACTGTGGGTTTCTTTCAAGCCAAACTGAGAGGATGTTGAGGTCCTAGAGCAGAATGTTTGTCCTCAAGCTTGTCCTGCCTGTCAGAACAGGACTGACAGAGGAGCGGTTGGGGGGGGTGGGGACTTGTCCTGCTGTGAAGGAAGGGACGTGGTGGGGCAGGTTGTAGCTGCAGAACACATTTCTGTGCCTGTGCAGCAGAGCTGATGAGCCGCACGGGGAGAGCAGGTGCACACCTGAGAGGGAAGCGCGTTTACAGCCAGGGCTCTGCACACCCCAGAGGGAAGCGCATTTACAACCAGGGCTCTGCACACCCCAGAGGGAAGCACGTTTACAACCAGGGCTCTGCACACCCCAGAGGGAAGCACGTTCACAGCCAGGGCTCTGCACACCCCAGAGGGAAGCACATTTACAACCAGGGCTCTGCACACCCCAGAGGGAAGCGCATTTACAACCAGGGCTCTGCACACCCCAGAGGGAAGCACATTTACAACCAGGGCTCTGCACACCCCAGAGAGAAGCACGTTTACAACCAGGGCTCTGCACACCCCAGAGGGAAGCACGTTTATAACCAGGGCTCTGCACACCTGAGAGGGAAGCGCATTTACAACCAGGGCTCTGCACACCCCAGAGGGAAGCACGTTCACAGCCAGGGCTCTGCACACCCCAGAGGGAAGCACAGTTACAACCAGGGCTCTGCACACCCCAGAAGGAAGCGCATTTACAACCAGGGCTCTGCACACCTGAGAGGGAAGTGCATTTACAACCAGGGCCCTGCCTTTTCCTCTGCAGGTGGCTCGACAGCTCCAGCCCTCCGTGGTGTGGATTGAAGACACAGAAAAAACCTTCTACAAAAAAGTTCCCAACGCAGAAAAGATGGTGAGGACTTTCTCATGCCTTACTTTTGCCTTTTCTTTCCTCCAAAGGAGGCCCTTACCAAGGCCTACCTCTACTTTTTGAGAAGGTCTTGCCTTTTCAAGCGAGGAAGGAAACACTGGGGCTCTCTGTAGTGGTCTCTGTCTGCCCTAACTGTATTTGAAAGGGTTCTGTGGTCTGACTTTATGAGACATAGTTTAGAAGGAAAGAAAGTGTGGAAGAAAGGGGAGAGGGATTTTCCACCCAAACATACGATTCAGAGGTAAGAAACAATTTAGAGAACTCTGCTCAGTTAAAGCAAATGGCACACATAGGAGTTATTATTAGGATTTCCTATTGTTCATCATAATAAATAGCAAAAGGCCCACAATTGATGAACAAAGACCCTCAGCAGAACTGCTAAGTGCACCACATTCGGGCCTCCAGGGAGTCCTTTTTCAATTGCTTCCTTCCTTCTTTTCTCTCCTTTCAATGGTCCCCCTCCTCCACCACTTCCCCCCACAAATCACCAGCAAATTTCCCACAAGTTAAAAAAAATGTGCAGATACACGAGATTGTTATTCCACATCAATTTGCACCAAAGCAAATAGTGGTTAACTGTGAATTTCTGATTAAATTCATAAGGATTTTAATCACTTTTGATCCTTATGTATTATACATCACTTTTCGCAGGTAGAGATGATTTGGATAAAGAGTGGAAGCTCAATCTTTTCTTCCCCAAATGAGCCTTGATTGCCCTGTCATTTCAGAAAGTCTTCAGAGAACTCATTTATTATTTAATCTGGGACTCTTGTAGTTCACTCCCTCTGCTGGCGAAGTTGCTGCATTGCAGAAAAACTTGAAAAGGTCCACAAGTAGGTATGCAAAATGGATGGCAGGAATGACCGGGTTCTCCACCAGGTCCCACGTCTAAGAGAAATGCAGGGCAGTGTTTCGTCTCACGTGTCACACACCTGGAGTTATCAGAAACCTGGCTCATTCATGGGCAGGGGCTACTCCCTCTCCCACCAGACATAAGCCTGGGGAGTGGAAGACACTGGCCTGGAACTCAGGCCAGCAGTGAACAGCATTCACACAGCTGGCTGTGTGTCCTTAAACAAGTAACTTAACCTCTCTGAGCCTCCGCTTCCTTTACTATTAAATGAAAGCATTTCAGCCCGCACGGCCTCTGAGTTCATGCAGCCCCCTGCATTCTCCCACAGTGCCCTGGGCTTGCCATCAGTGCTTGCGGCTGCCTGCTCACTGCACATCTGAGTCTGGGAGAGCAAGGGGAACGGGAATGTTCCTCCTGAGAGAGCCAGAGGAGCACTGGGGAAGGAGCGCTGAGAGGGGGCCTCTGAGAGAAAGCTGGAGGCAGGGAATGAAATATACCCTGTAGACACCCTCGCATAAAGGGAGTGGATGTGAGGGGAAGGAGGCGCGCTGAGGAGGGAGCTGAAAGCCGTGAAGAAGCAGCCGAGCCTGCGGAACCCTGCCTTGAATCAGCCCTTGTGCTCCTGACACAGAGCGAACCTCTCAGCACCATCCCCGATTCCCGCAAACCCTGCCCATGCCTAGCTTTGTCCCTGTAGGAAATGAAGGCCACTGGAGGCATGGTCTTTGCTGTGGATGAACTGGACGTTTTCTCTGTTCACTTCCCATTAGAGGAGTCCGTCGTGTGTTGGGGAGGTCAACTGCACTGAGGACCAGGAGTCACACCCTGGGATAAGTCCTAGGGGACTGCAAGCCAAAGGGCACCCTGGCTTCCTGAGCATCTGCAAGGCCGGCGAGGGGACCTGAGCCACCCCAGACTCAGAGCTGCAAGAGGCATGAATGCCATCCTCCACCTCCCACCCCCAGTATTTCCACCCCCAGCTCCAATGCTGCAGCAGGAGAGGAGCGGGGGAGGAAACCATTGCGTGTGCATGCCCAGCTCTACACGGAACTCCAGCTCCACTCGGCCTGCACCGTGCAGTGATGGCATTGCGGGGCCTGCCCCTCAGGGAGCAGGGCTGCAGAGTTCCTGCTGCCTTCCTGCGTCTCCAGAGCCATGACTGGGCCAGTCCTGCTGTCCTTCCCAGCCTCTGAGACTCTGTGTCTCACCCAAGATCCTCTGCCACCAGGGCCCCAGGTGGCCATGAGCATTGGACGTCCACATTCTGAAGGTGACCAAAAGCCAAGGGCAGCAGAGGCATCCACAGGTGAGAGGAGCCCAGGAGGCATCGTAACCTGCTCCTCATTGCATCACTCAGCCACCTAGGGAGCCTAGTCCTTCCTCCCACCTGCCCCGGCCTCTGTCCCAAAGGCTGCCCTGATCCCAAGGGCACAGAGGCACAGAGAAGAACATCCAGGAGGCTGGCACTCCACCAGCTACGGGTGCCATACAGGCAGCAGGGCCGACCTTGCCCTGGGGTTGAGGGACTCCGGGAAATCCCCTTGAAAATCCAGTGACTGAATGCACCCTCCGGCCCCTCTGCCTTTGGGTGAGGCCCCTCCCGCAATAAGAGGCAGGAAGCTCACCCGGGGATTGGGGCATGGCGAAGATCAGTGACGCCACCCGAGCATGGAAGCCAAACTTCCCGGGCGCAGGGACACTGTTGCGGACAGGAAAAGGAGGACCCCGGTGGCGGTGGGGGACATCAGTTGAATACCTCCTCTTTCCCAAGCACAATACATATGTCAGGGAAACTCCCGGCAACCCTGAGAGGAAGGCATTGTTTTCCCTGTGACACAAAAGAGAACAAAGGCTCCCAGAAGGCGCACAGCTGCTCTCGGGTCATGCTGGGATTCAGAAACAAGGTTGCCAGAATGGGGCCTTCTCCCCACCACACACAGCACAGGCTGGAAGACATGGGGGGGAAACCACCAGCTTCGCCTTCTGCCCATTGGGTCAGCCCTCCTGGTGCACCTAAACCACACCGCATCCCTGCGGCCCTCTGAGCCCTGGGGCCACTCCAAACATCATCCCAAAACCTGCCTTTGGGGCCCTCTTGTCTTAGAACCAAATGGGCCCTACTCCGGAATTCTCTGTCCTCCTGCACACACTCCTGTTCCCCTCACACTGTCCTCAGCAATCTTTGAAAGAACCCCTCACACCTCTAGAATTTCAGCAAAGTCCAAACTCCAAGTACCTCCACTCCAACCCCTGCCACTTTTACAAACACACCCCTGCCCCCTGCAGACGCCTGGACCAGGCCCGCTCCTTTCTCCTCCTCCTAGGAGAGTAGCGTCTCCTCCCACCTGCGCCTCGAGTGCGCTCAGTCAGTTGTTTGTATCTGAGGTGAAGGCGGTAAAGAATGAGGCGCACGGGCTGCTCCTGCATTTTCTGCCCCATTACCCTTTGTTACTTCATCTAGCAAGCGCCTCCCTGACATCACGATAGTGCCTCTGCCAAGGAATCGCTGCTTTCTTGGGGCTGGCTGTGGCGGTTGTATTGTGGAGCTAACTGCAGAATAGCAAATTGAAATTGCTGCGTGGATGCTAGCCACTAATTTGAAATTGCCCAAAGTAATACAGTTGTGAGGGGCTGGCAGGCCCCGCGGTAGGGGCGGCGGTTTTGGAGGTGGCCAGGTGATCATGGGGTGGTTTGCTGGCATGATGGATGAGTGCACAGGTCTCGTGCATAACAGACGGCTCTGCACTGGAATGGGGGTGGTCTGAGTGTAGGGGAACTACCAGTTGAATGACACACCAATTTCTGTCCCCTGTTCATGGGACTGCACCTCACCATCAGCAAGGATGTCACTCTGGACATTGCCCAGAATCAACGTTTGTCATCCAGATAGGCTGATTCATTTCAAATGTCCCTGCCATTTCAGGACAGAAAGGTAACAGTGTCATCTCCTGCCTCAGAAAGGGCAGGGATCACACTGCCATCACCATGGCAACTGGGTTGCTGAGGGTGGGCTCAGACCATGCAGGTGTGTCTCTACCCCCATGGATTCTCAGTCTCCAGCCTCACCAGGACTGTCAGATCAGTCCTACTTCCACTGTTCTTTGGGCAGCTCACATGTGCACCCCAAATGCCCAGTCACTCCCACCACCTGCTTTGTTCTTTAAGGCAAGTCTCTTCTCACCACCCTACTCACCCCTCAACCCACCACCATCGGCTTGCTACCCCCACCACTCTATAGAAATTGTTCTCACAAAGTTCTTAGGGCCAGGCACGGTGGCTCACACTTGTAATCCCAGCACTTTGGGAGGCCGAAGCGGGCAGATCACTTAAGGTCAGAAGTTCGAGACTAGCATGGCCAACATGGCAAACCTTGTCTGTATTAAAAATACAAAAATTAGCCGGGCATGGTGGTGCACACCTGTAATCCCAGCTACTCAGGAGGCACAAGAATCACTTGAACCCAGGAGGTGGTGATTGCAATGAGCAGAGATTGTGCAACTGCACTGCAGCCTGGATGACACAGTGAGACTCTGTCTCAAAAATAAAAGAAATTGTTCTCACAAAGTTCTTTGACACAAGAAGTGCAAGACTTTTCTGAAAACTACAAAAACGCTGAAAAATTTAAAGGAAGCCTAAATAAATGGAAAGACATTTGTATTCATTGGTTGAAAGACTTAATCTTGTTAAGATGGTAATAATTCCCAAATTGGCCTACATATTCAATGCAATTCCCATGAAATCTCAGCCAGCTTATTTGCAGAAATTGGTAACTGATCCTAAAATTCATCCAGAAATTCAGGAGATCCAGCCAAAACATTCTTCAAAAGAAAAATAAAGTTGGGGGACTCACATGTCCCAATTTCATTTTCCAACTTACCACAAAGCTACAACAATCAAGACAGTGTGGACTTGCCTAAGAAGAGACATAGATCAATGGATCAGAATCAGGAATCCAGTAATAAAGCCTTACATTACAGTTCGTTTTGACAAAGGTGCAAAGACAATTCAATTCAGAAAGAATAATCTTTTCAACAAGTAATGCTGGGACTGTTGAATTGCTGCCTGCAAAAGAAAGAGTTGGACCCTTACCTCACGCCATATACAAAAATCAACTGATAATGTATCAAAGACCTAAAAATAAGGGCTAAAACTAGAACACTCTTACAAGAAAATATAGGCATAAATTTTGTGACCTTAGATTAGGCAGTTGTTCCTTAGATATGACACCAAAAGTACAGGCCACAAAAAGAAAATTGCAACTCATCAAAATTAAAAACTTTTTTGCTGCAAAGGACATCCTCAAGAAAGTGAAAAGACAACCCACAGAACAGAAGAAAATGTTTGCAAACCATGTAATATTGAGGGACTTCTATCTATTAATAGAACCTACAAAGAACCCTTACAACTCAATAATAAAAAGACAAATAACCCAACTTTTAAAGTGGGCCAACAATCTAAATACACATTTTTCCAAATAAGATACACAAATGACCAATAAGCACATGAAAAGACGCAGGAACATCATTAGCCGTCAGCCAAATGGGAGCAAAAATGGCCTCGACTGTGCTTGGGAAGTCTCTGCAGAGGCTCTCACCATTGCCCCTGGTGTGCTTCTCCTTCCCCGGCTTCCTCTTTGCTGTCTGCACTGGGGGCGAGGTTCGTTTGCAGCCAGGCTGTTGCCCATGGCAACATGGTCAGATCTGACTCCCACGGGCTGGAAGTCGTCCTCCCTGGGGTGCTGAACAGCCAGCCTGTTCTCGCTCATTCCTCTCCCTCATTAGTGCTGAGATTATACTAAAATAATTCAGGTTCAAACTATTTCCCAACTGCTTCAGAGAGATAAGTTTCACAGCCTTATGTAACCAGGTATTTTTCAGACATGAGATGCAGGAGCTGGGCTCTTCATTGTTCCAGCAATCAGCAAAGGAAGTCTTGTGTCCAGCTTCCAAACAACTTAGGAAAATGGGAGCACCACAGCTCATTACAGGTCCGAGTGAGCTTCCTTCCGTTTGTAAATCAGCCACCACTTCCCATTCCTAGGGCCAAGGTGCTTCCTTCCTTCCCACCCTCTAAATCTGGACACCAGAGGTTGAGGAAAGGAAACACTGACAATTAAAATCCACTGGGTCATACTGGGAAGCACATTCCGAGACCCATCCCAGGACAAACCTTAAGAAATTGTGTTTGTCAGAGCTTTGCAATCACTTTAACAAAGGATGCTGCAATGCATCCTAAGTAAATTTTCTTTCATTTTTTCATTCTTTTTTTCTATATGTGGACCAATTTTTTTTTCTCTCTCCCAGAATGAACCTAAACGCCTGAAAAAACACCTTCCCCAAATCCTGAAACTCCTGAAACCAGATGACCGGATTCTGATTGTGGGGACCACACGGCGTCCCTTCGATGCTGAACTCCAATCTTTCTGCAAAGTTTACCAGAAAATTATTTTGGTGCCCAGACCAGACTATGCTTCCAGATACGGCAAGTACCCCCAGCCCCTTCCCATGCATGATAGCTGAGGCTGGGCTGTCCACTGTGTGCTTGCCAGGAGGGCGGCCCTTGGACCCGGTGGGCGCCAGATGAGTTGAGGGGAGCCTGCACCCGGTGGGGTGTGTGCACCTGCACCCAACACAGAGCATGTGCTGCAGATATAAACCACTAGGTCACGTTCTGTTCTTAGCATATATCTCTCTACCCAAGACAAAAGGAAACTGGACAAGGATTATGATTTCTGGCCCTGACAGTGACAAAAGCCTTGTGGGTGCTGATTTTTCTTGGGACGGGTAGATTAAGATCACTCACCTTGCACCCATGGTGATGGTGTCTTCCTCATAGAGTGTAGTTTCTTTTCACCGGGTTGGGTTTTTTTTTTTTTCTTCCAGTCTCAAAGTCCACTTGTGTAATGATTTACTTAAAATGAACATTAAAATACAACGAGAGCTTACTTTTTCAATTCCTTCTCCTTAAATAGATTCAAAATCCACTTCTTTTGAAACATGTTTTTTAATGGGAATGACACAAAAAAAGAGCCCCTGGGAGGCAAAGCAGTGGAGCGAGGAGGAGCCTGGGCTGGGGCTCTCAGGACGCCTGGCTCAGAATCCTGGCTCTGCCCCTGCATAGCTGGGTGACCCTGACAAGTCGGTCACCTTCTGAGCCTTCATCTTCTCATCTGTGAAGTAGGAGAACGGTTCACGCCACAGGGCTGCTGTGACACTCACGAGGTGTTAGCAGAGCACCTGGCCCCATGTGGCCCCCAGAGAGAAAGGGTGTTGGCGGCAGTGGCAGTGGAGGTAGAGGAAGAGAAGAAGGTGGTGTGGGCTGGGCAGGAGGAGGGAAGGACGGGTGGTGAACGGCAGGGGAAGCTGGGGAGAGTGCTGGCGGCCGTTCTGCTATCTAGTGCTGTGTGAAAACCTCCCTGAAGGCTCAAACAGCACGTTATTCCACCATGTGCTTCCAAGGGTTGTCTGGGCAGAGCTGGGGCATTCTCCTTAATGTACCTCATGATGTGAGAGTCACATGAAAGTTGAGTCTCCTTCGTCTGGAGACTGGACAGTGTGGATACCCAGGATCGCTCGCGCATGTGACTGGAGTTGCTGCTGGCCGTCGTGGGCACTGAGCGGGGCCTATGTCGACCGGACAGGCTGCACCTGGCCTCAGTGCAGCTTCTCAGACCTGGCAGCTGGGTCCCACGACGGGTTATCTCATGAGCACATGTTTCAAGAAGTTGGAGCAGTAGCTGAAAGGATTCTTGTGACCCAGCCTCACAAGCCACACAGAGGCACCATCACCACCCTCTGTGGTCAAGAGGAAGGCACAGGGCCAGCCCAGATTCGAGGGAGGCCGAGGACACACGGGTGTGAATGCACAGGGGTGGCTCGTGGCGGGGCCACCGTAACACTGCACTGGCGGGGAGCGGTGAGGACTTGGAGGTAAGATGGCGATGGTGCTGTTGGTGTTACAGATGGTGGAGGGGATTGGCGGGAGGTGACAGCGTGTGCTAATGGAGACAGAAGTGCTTGCTGGCAGTAGGGGTGGAGGCAGTGTGGGGTGACGCTGAGGAGGCGGGAGATAGGGTGACTGTGTTGATGGTGGTGTGGGTGGCTCTGGGGAGGGTGTTGGGAATGGTGGCAAAGGTCACATTTGACACTGGAGATGATGATGGTCAGTGGCAGGAGCAGCAGACGTGCTGGTGCCAGTGGTGGTGGCCGTGGTGGCAGTGGTGGTGGCCGTGGTGGCAGTGGTGGTGGCCGTGGTGGCAGTGGTGGTGGTGGTCAGCATGAATGGTAGTAATACAGTGATTAGGTCAGACTTGGTTTCTGTTCTTCCTTCTCCAATCACGTGAGCACCGCAAAGCAGAGGGCATATACGGTCCTCTCTGGCTGTTCGTAAGTTGCTGCTCCGTTTTTTTTGCTAAAAGAACAACCATCTACTCCCTGCATGCTATAAACAGCTAGCTTATTAGCCACTGTGTTTGCAACATGTGCTTATTTCTGTCTTGATAAATTGTGATCCTGGCTTTCTAAATCAGTGTTATACACAAAATACAGGAACACTTTAGGCCCAGCTATTTCTGCATCCATCTAGTGCCTTCTTCATCTTTTAGGGCCTCAAAACGTCCCCCATGAACCTTTTGCACCTGGCCAGCATCCAAAGAAGCGAGGGAAGACAGGATGGAGGAGTCACAGAAGATCTTAAGGACTAGACCCAGAAGAAGCCAACATTTCCTCCAGCCAGATCATGTTGGCCAGAATGAGAAACATGGATGAAGGGGGCAGCGCTGTCCAGCCGAGAAAGGAGACAGCGCAAGACGGGCAGGCACCACAGTCTCGCCGCAGCCCACACAGCCAATGCCGGGGGTTCCACACCCCTGGCCTTAGCAGGACTACCCCTGTCTCCTCTCATGCGTTCTTCTTTTTTTCTTCCTTTTTTGTATGGTATCTATATTTTAAGCTGTGTTAATGGAATAAGGTAGGGTATTATTAATTCAAAGGGGCTGGAGCATTATTCTGGACTCTGGACAGAATGGTTTCTATTGTTTGACAAAACTATAGGCCCTTTAAAAATGAAGCTATTGATGGATGGTCAGCAATTTTGTTCTTTTGATAAAACACCACACATCGCTTAGGATTCAGATCACGCTGCAGATTCCTACCTGAATCTCCTCACAGCATCGTGATGGGAGAGGAAGGAGAGAAAGCATCCCTCCACCTGTGGGCAAATGATAAAGCTGCACCAGACACTTCTCTGGGGCCCTGGGTTCTGTCCGCTGAAGCACAGCTCCTCAATATTTCTGTCTTGGGGAGTGATGTGTTCAGGCCGCCATTCTGGCCGACGTCATCGCCCCTCATCCAGCATTTCCTCCAGTGACCTTGAAGTTTTCATAGCCACAGTGGCTGGGACATCTGTCTTACAGAAAGACTGTTCTTGTCTTTGCAGCTATCAAAAGTAGTATCTTCCAGTCCATAAAGCAAGGGCTGCCAATCCGTAACATAGACGGTGGCTTAGTTGTCTCTCCACCCGCAATGGAGCTCAAAGGTGTGCAGCAGTCCCCGCGGCCCCACTCCTCAAATTCCTCCGGGCCACGTGGGGACAGACGGTGCTGAAAAGTGAAGGGTGGATTTGTAGAGGAAACACAGCCCTCAGGTTCACCAAACATCATTCAATCTCTCCTTCTTTCCCCCAGACCAAGCTGTCTCTGCAAAGAAAATCCACCCCCCAGGCTGATGGATGCCCTGTCTGGTCCCCAGAAATCCCTTCGGGCTTCCGTTTCTCCACATTCCCAGTGCCCTCCTCCTCTTGCCTCTCTCCTTGGGGTGCATTTCGCTAATAACCCAATTCATCACAGGCCCACCCAGACCCAGTGTCTGGTCGGATGGGTCCAGGGTCTGTCTTCAGACTTTTCTGCAATTCCAGGCTTCAGAGGGTCAGAAGCTCACCCACATCACATTATTCACCTCTCAGGCTTTTGGAAAACTCCAAATAAAAATGAATGTTCAGAGACTGCGTCATCTCGAGCGCCAGCCAAGACAGAATCCACTGGGAATGTCAACAGCAGATGAAGGGGAGCCAAAGGCCAAATTCTCTTTCATCCAAAGAAGGGAAAGAGAATGTAGATTGGTCTGAAGATGTGAGGAGCCTTTTGCCTCCAAAAGAGGAAAGTAAAATTCAGCACTTGGCCTGGAGAGCCCCTCTGCTGCCCTCAACACTCTGGGGCCCCTAGCCTTGGTCTTCACCAACACAGCCATTGCCACACCCCAAGACTGCAGTGCATCTGTGCTCCCCACTGCACTTCTGGGCCAGAGACCCCACAGCCTCTGGGGCTCCCATGCTCACTGCCGGCTCCAGTCTCCACCCAGCCCACCACGCTGTGCCTCCCTCCACACCTGACACCACCGTGGGCCCTACAGCAGCTATTTAAGGGCCAAGAAACCATGAGTGGGTGATTGTGTAAAAGCAATAGAAGCGATTCTTTGAAAGACCAACAGCTCGAGTTCATCAGCTGCAGGAAGGAAGCCAAGCCTGGTTTTGCATCCCCTTCTCTGGATCTTCAGATGAGCAGGCAGGTGGGCAGGTCCCACCACAGCTGGGACTGTCTCACAGAGCTCTCTTGCTGCAACTCCAGTAAAAATGGTGATCTATGGAGAGTAACCAATGAGTCATGTATTCAGAGGAATCTTGACCGAAACTCTCCGTGAACACCAAGTATCCTACACTTTAAATGGGCAGCAGCGGGTTTACATGTCCCTCTGGCCCTTGTTGGTCTCACTGCAGGTCTCCAAAGCCTTGATGCCTAATTGTCCACAGCTCGGAGAAACTGGCAGGCCCCACGGTACAGTTCACCCTTTCCCAGTACAGTAACTGTACACCGTTACTAATGAATCTCTACTCATCGAGTGATTACTCCTGCAAGAAGGTTGGATGATTTGGGCAGAAAACTTCCAAGATTGTGACTGTTGTGGCTTCACAGAGAAGCCAGGGAGAGAGTTAGTTATTGGTTGCCAGTGAGCACGTGGCCCTCACCCCTTCCCACTGATAGTTCCCTTTTGCACCACGGCAGGAATTTTGCTCATGCGTGCCCAGAACCAAGTCCGCAAGCATGAAACCCAGCCTGGGATGTCAACTTCAGCTTTTGGGGCCTTACCTGTGACTCTCCCATAAATCATGTTCCCTTCTCAGCTTCCAGAGTCGCCACTCAGACCCGGTGGTACTTTGTTTAGATGTTATAAATTTGGACGGAAGACACACCAGATCTCAAGTGAAGATGTGGGCTAGTTGTTGTTGTTGTGATGATCATTTTTACCATGGGTTATGTTTTCTGATCTCTAACTCTGCAACAGTTATATTTAGACAAGGATAATCTTCACCGGCTGCCATCCATCGCTACACAAACAGGCTTTGAAACACTCTTGTAGCCTATTTTGTGTTGTCTTTTGTAATTGATGTTTTAATGAGGGTTAGGAAACTTCAGTGCAATATAGAATGAAGAACAATCATTGTCATTGTAATAACAACAGTAACACAGCCACAGAAAGTCAAGTCCCCACCAAGTGCCGGGCTGCTGCACTTCCAAGCGCTTTACAAACATTTTTGGGCTTGTTTTTCACAGCAGCACTGAGAAGTCAATCCTTCTATGCCTGTTTTACGGATAAGACTAGTTTGGGGCTCAAGCTCAAAGAAACCCACCAAGGCAGGAGCAGAGTAGATCAGGGATTTCATGATCCTTTAGGCCAATTTGGGGTCCCTGTGGCCCTCCTTGGTTTCACTGCAGATCTCCAAACCCTGGATGCCTATGCATCCACAGCTCAGAGAAATTGGCAGGCCCCAAGGTACAGTTCACCCTTTCCCAGCAGCTCAGCTCACCCACAGGGCCAAGGACCCCCCAAAAGAGGACAGTGGGAGTGAACTGCTGCAATAGCTCGTGGCCCAAAAGCCAGATTCTCCAGCTTGGTTCATAGTTACATTATAGGCCATTTTATTCCTTTATAGTAAGTAGATCTTTTCATTTTATCAGCCATTTTTGGATCAACATACTTGTGTGATGTAGTCATTTAACAGACTCAGAATTAACCGCTTACCAGGCCTGACAATGCTCAGATCAGGTAGTCATGGTCATTTTTTAAAAAATGGTTTCAAGTGTTCCTCAAGAAAAGTCAAAATGGTTTAGAAATATTTGACCAGATTATCCCAGTGCTGAGACTGACAGATGCTCTTGTAAACACCCTTCACCCTTCTCCACCGTCTCGATATAATTAAATAAGTTACAGCAAGTCTCCTTTACTTCCCTTGTGCTCCCTTTACAGAATAGAGGTAATTCTCCAAATACAGAATGATTTTAAGGATTGTACAGGAGTTCATTCCATCTCTAAAGTTAAGCATCCAGAATTATTTCATAATTCATTTTCACAGCATCCCTGTGTTCAGATTGAAATATCTCATTTACTCCAGGTCCCACGAACCAGAGAACACCCAGGACTCATCTGAAGGACTCTAGTCAACCAATGCGTGTTTACAGTTGCTGAGGGGGAAAGAATAAGGGTCAAATTGCTCTATTTAATAAAATGTGTAATACAGTGTCTTCCACTGAAAGGGAACTGACCCTGGCAGTAGCTGATGAAAACTGGAATCTGCATTCTGATTCCAGATGTAAAAATAATGTGAGAAATTAACTTTATATCTAAAAAAAAAGTTAAACTACTTACCCAAATTACTTGGGAAATACAATATTCTGATGAGAAGAGATGCCATTATACACCTTATGAAAATTTCCAGTGTTGACAGATTGTCAACATCTTTACAGGTACCACATTAAAACTATACTGACGGTGGTTTTGTGTTTCTCCTTGTTAATTTGCAGGGCACTTGTGGATCTATAGACCTCAGGGTCATTGATATGTATGGCTTATGGTTGAAAATTCTCTAGAGGAAAGCATTTAGTTACTTGGCTTCGGTTCATTTGAGTTACAAATAAGCTAGAGTAGACTTCTGTGTATTCCTTTCTTGATGAGATGCAACTTTCAACCGAGAGGGAAACTGGCACTGATTTCTCTGTGGTAACCCTTGTTCTCTGTGTCTTTTCTGGATACAACAGTTCTGTGGAAGCAAATCATTGAACGCAATGGAGGAGTCCTCACCAGTGCCTTGAATGTCAGCTGCCTGGCGAAGGTCACTGACGGCTTCACCCAAGGACATATAGTCGAAGTGGTTAAAGGCGTGCTCACAGATCAGAGAATCCGGCGGCAAATTCATAAACCTCTCACTGCAGTTGAGTTTATTACGGCGATAACCAGCATGAATCCAGTGTACAAAGAGGAAGAAGAGAGCTTTAAGGTAAATGAACACCCTGATGACCAAGTCTTAGCAGCAGACACTCCTCACGCTGCCTCCTCCCTCTGCAGTTCCGTGGGTTTCGTGAATTGGAACTCGGCCATATACAGTGAAATTTGGAAACCTGAAATTTTGGATGACAAAATCTTTGGGGTTTTGGCAGTAAAGCATGTATCTTCCAAATTTTAGGAAAACCATGGTGTGTGGCCTTATATATTAACAGCCCAATTGCAGAATTGAGTAGCAGCTTCAACACCATTGGATTCACATAGACACATATACTTATTTGGGTTTTTACTTCATATTTGGTATTATGGAATAAGTTTTGCGTAGAGAAATCATTCCCCAAATAGTATAGTTCAAGCCAATGCTGTTTGGGGCCCACAATTGTCATGGAACACTTTGTTTTTCAGTTTCAGTTCATTTGCGATAGGAAGCCACAAGATAACTCATCAAAATTTAGTTTTCCAATGTTTGAATACATTCTGACCTATTCACAGAACTTTTTGGATCTGAAGGAAACTTTGAGAATTATCTCTCCCAACACCCTCTCTTATAGGAGTGCCCAGGCCAGCAGGCACTCCTCAAACTCTGCCTGCTCTCCTTTAAGCAAAAATAAATACAGTGGTGTTGTCTTTCTGAAGGAAGTTTCCCTGACCAACTCCAAAGGTAAGAGATTATATGCATGCAACTGAAGACCACCACAATATTGGCTGTGCAGTCACCAGAAGGGGCACTGAAATTCCCATCCAAGCCTATCTCTGGGAGCCTGCTTAACATCAGGAAAATTTCCCTCTGCAACACATCACTTTTCCATCAAATCTAAAACTATGATTCCTTCCTGGTTTGCCCCTAATTCTTCAGTGAAGCATTAGAAAGGTGAAAAATAGTCATAATAATGATTTCAGAAGTAATGGTCTAGCACAGAACTTGGCAATCTTTTCCCATAAAGGTCCAGATAGTAAATATTTTAGGCTTTGAGAGCCATGCAGTCTCTATCACAGGTATTCAGTTGTGCATCATAGTACAAAAGCACCTATACACAATACAGAAATGAATGCGTATGGCTGGGTTCCAATAAAACTTTATTTGCAAAAACAGACAACAGGCCAAATTTGGCCCATCAGCCATATTTTGCTGACCCCCGCTCTGGCAAGGCTGAAAAAAAAATGTAACTCTAGCTGAGTGTTTACCAAGCATTTGAATTATTAGTAATATTCTCGTTAACTGTTTAAACCTGTTCATAATTGCTGATATTATCCTCTTCAAATGATACATCATATTCTTTTCTGAAATTCCCCATTTTTTCTCCTTTCTAAAATATTAATTTTCCTCCTTATTTTGAGGAGTTAGATGATAAGGTGTGGAAGCCTATCCTTTCTCGTGGCTGAGCCTTTAACTTTCCGAAGTAATCTCTAGAAGTTTTTCTATCTATAGGTGCTTGAGGTCTGATCACACTATTCAAGAAAAGGAATTACTACCCTTTTATGACCCGGGATGAGAATGCATATGCTTCACACATCCATTCTTGGTGTATTTGTTTGCTCTATTCATTTTCAAAAGAAACTGCATCATTTTGCCATCATTACCCTTTCCACCCAATCCCTTTGTGCCTCCATTACAGCAACAGTGCTTGGCCCTGTGCCTGGCCCCAAGTAGATGTTTAATAAATTTGTTTAGGGACACATTCATTAAACACATGGATAGATGGAGTGACACCCTCACACTCTCCTGAATAATGTGATACCATTGCTATGGTTCCTTCTAATGAGGCAAACCCTGAGAAATTTCACCTAATTGTGCTTCCGACAACGTTATCTCAGATGAAGACCTTGCAGATTCTCCAAACACGTTCTACCCTGCTCCACAGACATGATGGAGAGAATATGTATGATAACGATGATAGTAAGTCTAATAATGTTAGCTAATACGTATTGACTGCTTATTATGTGCCAGCCACTGTACTGACTCATTTAGACTCATAACCCCCTGTTTTGCACATGAGGAAACTGAGATATGGACAGGCATGGTAGGCCGGATAATGGCCCCTCAAGGACGTCTACATCCTCATCCCTGGAACCTGAAAATAAGTGAGGTTACACGGCACAGGGGGATTAAGGCTGCCGATGGAGTAAGCCTGCTAGTCAGCTGACCTGAAGATAGATTATCCTGAATTATCCTGGTGAGTCCAATGTAATCATGAAAAGCCGAAGAGGGAGTTGGAAGAGAAAACCAGAGAGAGCAGTCTGAGAAGGGCACGTTGGTACTCCAGGTAGCCCAGCATTGCTATCCAAAGGTGGAGCAGGGGCCACAAGCCAGAAAAGCAGGTGATTTCTGAGAGCTGCAAAAGGCAAGGGAAAGATTCTCACCTGGAGGCTCCAGAAAGGGACACAGCACTGCAGCCATCTTGATTGTCACCCAGTGAGGCCCGTTCCAGGTTTCTGACCTACAGCCCTGTGAAATCATAAATGTGTGGCTTAAAGCCACCATGTTTCCGGAAATTTGCCACAGCAGCAATAAAATAAACAATACAAGAGGCAAGTAACAACTAGAAAGTAGCAGAGCTGAAATTCATACCTTTCCCCAAAGCGAACTTCATTAACTATATTCTGTACGGGGTCTCGATAAATTAGGAGTTCATCGCCTTAAGTACATGGCCACCTCACCTTACATTAAAAACAGAGCCAAGGCTAAAAGAAGGAAGAGGGAATCCCCCAGTGCCACTAACAGAGAGGTACATCTCAAAGACAGGAACAACTATATGAGCTAATACATGGGTGGCCTAGGGGTGTATAAGATCCAAACAGAAAGGCAAGGAGAGGCCCATGAGAGACAGAATGCTGGAACTGCACAAAGTTGGAACACTTTATAGGTTGCCATGGGGAAGCATCAAGGAACTTGTGATCTTCTCAGGGATCTAGGTGGGGAATAAAAGTGGCCCATAAGAAATCAAAATCCAAGCCTACACCATGCATGTCAAACTTCCAAATCTGTACTACCTCCATGGTCCCAGAATCTCGAGTTGAAATATTAATATAATTTTTAAAATGATAATGGTATCATTAAAACCCCTGAAGTCACATCAAAAGCAAAATTAAAAACCACTCTGTATGGAAATTTAGCCAAGTCAGGGTACATAGGATTCCTACAGGAAATACCAGCCTTGCTAAAGATGAGTTCATAATAAAAAATTATGAGCCACAAGCAATAATCTACCCCAAGGAGAGTCAGCAAATGCAAATAACAGAATAGCACTACCAAGAACCTGAGATAAAAGGACATTCTGAAAGAGACTACAAAATAAGCATGTTTAAATTAAAGACCAGAAACATTAGGGAGGAAAAACAGGAAAATTTGAAAAAGAACCAAATAGAACTTTTGATAGTGAAAAAAATATATAGTCATTAAAATTAAAAACTCAGTGAATCAAGGCGGGCAGATCACCTGAGGTCGGAAGTTCGAGACCAGCCTGACCAACATGGAGAAACTCCGTCTCTACTAAAAATACAAAATTAGCTGGACGTGGTGGCACATGCCTGTAATCCCAGCTACTCCGGAGGCTGAGGCAGGAGAATTGCTTGAACCCAGGAGGCGGAGGTTGCAGTGAGCCAAGATCATGCCATTGCACTCCAGCCTGGGCAACGAGCGAAACTCCATCTCAAAAAATAAATAAATAAATAACTCAGTGAATAAATTGTCTGTGGACTGGACAAAACTAAAGAGAAAACAAAAGAACTGAAAAAGGGAGCAAAGAAAATTGCCTAGAATGCAGCATAGAGAAAAATAAAGGATAGAAATCAAAGAGAGTTTAAGAGTTGGCTGAACACGGTGGCTCATGCCTGTAAGCCCAGCACTTTGGGAGGCCAAGGCAGGCAGATCGCTTGAAGTCAGGAGTTCGAGACCAGCCTGACCAACGTGGCAAAACCCTGTCTCTACTAAAAATACAAAAATTAGCCAGGTATGGTGGTGCACGTGTGTAGTCCCGGGCTGAGGCAGGAGAATTCTTGAACCTGGGAGATAGAGGTCGCAGTGAGCCAAGATCGTGCCACTGCACTCCAGCCTGGGTGACAGAACAAGACTCTGTCTCAAAAACAAAAACAAAAAGAACAGTTTGTGAAAGATAAAATGATAATACCTGCTTCTTTTATGACTGGATCTTTGATATCCCTAATATCACCAGGAAGCATTAAGGGAAGCATCAATCAAAAACATCATTATAAGACCTGGTTCTGTATTTGAGTTTAGAGGATCTTATAGAAGCAGCTGTAGAACTGCTATGGAGGAAAGAATAAGGAGAGAGAGACAGAGCCCAAAACAAAACTTCCCATTCAAAATGAATCTTGGCCAGGCATGGTGGCTCACACCTGTAATCCCAACACTTTGGGAGGCCAAGGCAGGTGGATCACTTGAGGTCAGGAGTTCGAGACCAGCCTGAACAACATGGCAAAACCCCGCCTCTACTAAAAATACAAAAATTAGCCAGGTGTGGTGATGTGTGCCTGAGCAAGACTCCATCTCAAACACACACACACACACACACACACACACACACACACACACACACACACAACAAATCTGAAAATCAAAATTCCAAAACATTTTAGGAAATCTAGTGCTAAATACAATCTGACAAAATGTTTAAATTAATATAATTAAGATGTTCAAAAAATAAATGAGAGCATGACTTCCATTAGAAATGCACAGAACATTTTGGAAAAAAATGAAATGAGAAGAGATAATTATGAAAAAATATTACAAAAAGAAAGCTTAGAGAGTCAGAAGCTAAGGTCTGAATTGCAAAGAAAAAGAAAGAAAGCTTAGAAATTAAAAATATGGCAATCAGTATAAAATGACAAAGGAAATGAAAGAGGTATGAACTCTAAACTAAACATGATCAAAGAGCAATCTGTGGACAGGAAGATGGTCCTGGGGAGTACCCCCAAATAGTCAGCACAAAAAAACAAGAAGGTAAAATCCATAAAAATACAAAGATCCATCAAAGGTGGGTTGAAGACACTGACCTTCATTAATGGAAGTTCTAGAACACAATAAGTTCTAGAACACAAAAAGAATACAGTAAGTATCAGAGGAACAATTGTTTAAAGATATTATTACTGAGAATTTTCCTGAATTAAAGAAGGATTAAAAATCAATTCCAAGTAAAATAATTTATTAACTAATAAACTCCTAGTAATCAGCAGAACAAATCAAATAAATCTATACCTAGATATATTGTTGGGAACTTAAGAACAAGATTAAAAGCCAGGCTTAAAACCTACCAGATTACCTACAAAGAAACAATTGGGAAATCAGACATCTCTTTAACAACCATAGGTGCCAGAAGATAGTGAAATAATATCTACAAAGTACTAAGGAAAAACAACTATCTGCCTAATATTTGTATCCAGCTAAACTGGCATACAAGAGACAGGAGAAAAGAGACATTTTAAGACATATGAAGCCACGCACCGTGGCTCACACCTGTAATCCCTACCCTTGGGGAGGCCGAGACGGGCAGATCACTTGAGGTCAGCAGTTCAGGACCAGCCTGGCCAACATGGTGAAACCCCGTCTCTACTAAAAATACAAAAATTAGCTGGGTGTGGTGGCGCACGCCTGTAATCCCAGCTACTCCGGAGGCTGAGGCAGGGGAATTGCTTGAATCCAGGAGGTAGAGGTTGCAGTGAGCTGAGATCACACCACTGCACTCCAGCCTCGGCTACAGAGTGAGACTCAGTCTCAAAAAAAGAAAAAAAAAAAAAAGACATACAAAGACCAAGAGAGTTTCCCACTTACAGAACTTCAGAGAGCAATTTAGCAATACCAAGTAAAATTGAAGATGTTCAAACCCTACAACCCCAGGAGTTCTATTTCTAAATGTGTGCCCTAAAGAGGTTCTCTCACATAGTTACAAGGAGATTTGTAAAAATTGTGAACTTCAGCATTCTTCATAATAACCAAAAATTCAAATGTCATATATCCATTAATAGGAGAATCGATAAATAACATGTAATATAATCCTGCAATGAAATATTGCTACTATAAAGTTTATAAACCCAAATGTCTCTTAGGTTTCAAATAAAACGCAAAGGTTGAGAAAAATGCCATTGTGGGGCCAGTTACAATCACTAAGTTCTTGGTTAGTATTTGGGCTCCATTATTTCTACCGTGGTTTCAACAGCAACTCCCCCAGAGTAGTTGAATGGCCGCCCATTGTTTACTGAACATGGCCACATATGAACCATGAGCACCCTTCACGTTACCAAGAAAACCCAACCCCGGAAAAACAGGCAACTTTGTTGGGAAGGATGGCTGGTTAGGTTTAGCCTGAGATTCTCTGAAATTGTTAACTCCCTGAGTTAACAAATCATGCAGAAATACAGGTTGAAGTTTCAAATCATGCAGAAAAACAGTCTGGAAAACCCACTGAGAAAGAGCTTGTGTCAAGCATACCTTAAATGCCCAAAGTACAATGGCTGCTTGCCCCTTCCTGCTTAGCAGGCTTTTCTTTATTTTTAAGAGTATTGCGGTGAATTGGTGTCATTCTGACCTTTTCCGAAACTTCTATTGTATTTCAGAACTGGTATGCCAAAACTCCTCTGGGTAAAAAACGTGCCTTGGCGATAACAGGAGGCAGCACAGAAAAGGCAAAGGACAAAGGGAAAAGGAAATAAAAGAAAGAGAAAAAGGCAAAAAAGAAAAAGTAATGCCTTTCTGAAGAACCATGCTTGAGTCTCTCTGGGATGGAGAGGACCCCAACTCGCCAAAGAAAAGATTCACCATTGCCCGCCTGAAGAAGCCCTCAGGGGAAGGAACTTAGCAGTGTGCAGGTGAGCTGATGCCGCAAACCCGCTAACCACTGCATGTGCTGTTATGCCTTTCCCAGGCTGGACACCTAGCTGGGTGTTCATCATAACTTTCCACAGCTTTAATCCACGCCAAGTTTGTATATAACTGAAATTCACTCTTGACACCCTCCACAGTCTTTCCAAGTTGGACTCTTCCTCTCATCAGTACTAGTTGTCAAATTTAAAATGTGACAGTTAAAGAATATTCTAGTTTGACAATTAGTAAGCAATGAGTATATCATCAGTACACTAGCTTTTTATTAATCCATGTACACTGTATAGTATCTTGCATCTATTTTAATAAATTAATTCTTTGCTCTAGTAATAGATTTTATATAATGAAATAAAGGTGTTGTCCTTGAACTGACTCGGTAATTTGGTTGCTGGAGCGAAAACAGGATCTTACAAATGAACTATTTCAACATCCTAATTTTGAAGCTGAGATAGCTGGAGTCCAGGTCCCACTGCTAATATTGAAGCCTGGACATCATCCACCCCGCCTAGTCCTCACTGGAAGGACTGAAAAATTATCAGGCCAATGACTGGATGAAAACCATGGCATAAAAATGGGGTAAATGCAGAGAAGGGAAAGCCGACGTGAAGAAATAACACAGGGTACATAAGAAAAAGATTAAAGAGTAGGGAAAGCTCAAAAGAGAAATTTAAATCGTGTAAGGATGTGAAAGGTTATTGGTGGAAGATAGCAAGTAACCCACTTCTAAATTGTGGTAAGAACACAGTCAGAGGAAGTAGACTTCAATTGAGATGGGATGAATTTAACTTGAATTTTAAGAATACCTTGTCTGACAGTTTGGGGTTAGACCACAGAAATTCATAAAATCTCACACTGCATAGACCAGGTCAGGCATCCAGGTTTTGCCAGGATTCCCAGTGGCTTGGATCATCAATGGCCAAGAAGGTTTGTGGTTTCCAGGTGTCTTCTGGCCACCAGCACACCCCCCAGCCTGTGTCTGTACACAGCAGACTGATACAAATTGGGACAGACAGAGACAGTCACAGGCCGATGTGCCCTGGACAGTTCCGCACTCCCCACGAAGTCATCCTCCTCCTGAGTGTCCCCTCGAACAAACTACTGGCTTCAGGGTGCCCTCCACAGACTTGCCTTCTCATTACCAAAGGTGCCCCAATTTCCACAGACTCCCCTTACCCACTTCAGATTATGTCTAGCCAAAGCCCAGGGTGGCCTGAGAAATGGCAGACTCCCCCACCCTAACATCCCAGAGCCCTTTGACATTCCTGTCTCCAAGATGGTTCTGCCAAGATCCTTTCACGTGTCATGGGACCCCACTTATGGCCCAAGAAGAGAACATCAGGGCTCTGGGATTTGATGTCTGTTGCAAAGCAATGACATCTGCACTGCAAAGAAATGAAAACTATGAGGGTAAAAGTAAACCGTTTTTTAAAATACCATTTCACTTGGTCTTAGTTTCACGACAAGTACACTTTTTCAGAACTCATAAAAACCTGTGCAGGTAACATTTAATAAACAGTAATTAAGTGATGGAAACTTGATACTTATGCTTTAGAGCACCATCCAGTAGAACTTTCTGCAATGATGGAAAAGTTCTAGATCTGTGATCTGCCAGTAGGAGTAGTCCATAGTCACACTAAGCTACCAGGCTACTAAGCACTCAAAATGTGGCTGGTGCAACTGAAGAACTGAATATTTTATTGTATTCAATGTTCATTTCCATTTAAATAGCCACACATGGCTGGTGTGACTGATGTACTGGGCAGGACGGCGTTAGAGTAACCTAAGTTTAAAAACTGGTAAAGATAGCTAAAGATCCTGTCTACACACTCACTCCCTTTTTCCTAGCACACTAACATGGAGACGTGATTGCCAGGGCCTCACTCAGCCTTTTCCCAAAGGATGGCTTCCTGCCCTGCCCAGTGCTGAGTTTGTGCTCTACTTCCACAGTGTAAGAATTCAAGAAAGAGGAAAGAGGCCAGGCACGGTGGCTCACACCTGTAATCCCAGCACTTTGGGAGGCCGAGGCGGGTGGATCACGAGGTCAGGAGATCAAGACCATCCTGGCTAACACAGTGAAACCCCGTATCTACTAAAAATACAAAAAAAGAAAAAAAGAATTAGCCGGGTGGGGTGGCGGGCACCTGTAGTCCCAGCTACTCGGGAGGCTGAGGCAGGAGAATGGCGTGAACCCGGGAGGCGGAGCTTGCAGTGAGCTGAGATTGCACCACTGCACTACAGCCTGGGCAACAGAGCGAGACTCTGTCTCAAAAAAAAAAAAAAAAAAAAAAAGAGGAAAGAAACATGAAAAGCAGCTCAAGAGTCAAAGACAGATTGATTTTGGAGAATAAACCTGAGAGGGGCTTCTGGCTGAGTTAGGTCAGAGGCATTCTCTCTTACAGACCAAGAGTATTTAAAGGTTTAGGGCAGGAGAGCTTATCACAGGCTTGGAATGTTTCTGTGTCTTTTTGCCTCACTTATCTGGGAGGGAGAGTTGTGTGTCTGTTCCCGTATATCTTCCTGCAGCTGCAGGCATACCCCCGAGTCTGCTTTTAGCTCCCCTATCTTAGCACATCTAAAGGGAAAGGAATGTACTTATTAGGGTCCATTGTTTTACTGGGGCCCGTTGTATGAGTGTGAAGTTGGTGGTTACCCAAGAGACTTCCCCCCCACCCTCTGTGCCCGAGATGTCTTATATGGGTCTTACTGTCTGCTCTTTCTGGCTGCTTGCAGTTGGAAGAGAAGTGATATCCTTGAAATGCATGAGGCTAGAAAGGGAGCTGGAACTGTCAGAGATGACGGTGCTCCTGCTCTGTCACACATGGGGCCATGAGCTCTGTCTGAAAGCTTGGTAGTGTCAGCCAGCCCCTCCTCTGAGCCAAAGATACATACACTTTTCTGCTGCCCATGGATCAGAGGGCCCTTTGTCTGTCACTGCAAAGTCCGCCAGAGCCAACACTCCATAGCTCAGCACATGCTGATATTTACATCACAGCCTGCTGCTTTGTGTGTGAGTGGGTGTGGAGAGGGAGTGTAGATACGCTTAGATATACTCACACACATACTCATATTCTGCGTGTTTCACACAAATGGTAACACGCCATTAGAACATATATACTGTTCTACCTTCTTGCTCTTTTTGCTTAATTCTGTAAATTGAATATTGTTTCATATCAGCACATACAGACGGGCCTCATTTTGTATTCTCTCCGTACTACCCCACTTTATAGATATACCATTATTTATTTAATCAGTCCACTCTGACAGATAATTAGATTATTTCCACCCTTTTGCTATTCCATCCTTGCTGTAATAAGTGCCCTTACATAGTCTTCGTGGGTATATACCAAAAAAAAATAAATAAATAAAAGTATGTAGGATTAACTCCTAGAATGGAAATTACTGGGTCAAATCACCTGTGAGTCTTTCATTTGGGTAGCTATTGACAGACTGTCCTCTAAAGAGGCACTGGTCACACTGACTCAGTAGGAGAAGGCATGGTACCTTGTCATCCACGGAGCAGGTCAGCAAACTGAGCCTATTGGCCATCCACGCTGAAAACCCAAAGTCCTCCTGGAAGGTGAGGCCGCCATGCCCTAGAACTCCCACTTTTATCTGATGGGGAGAGGAAGCACAGCAGCTCTGTGGGATGAAATGGGAGGAAGGCGATGGCGGGGGGCGGGGGGGTACCGGCGGAGGGACCGGCGGAGGGAGCTGTAGACTCCTCAGAGCTCTGCTAGGGCCTCAGCCGCCCTGGGCCATTATGTGACAATTAGCTCCTCTTGAGCACATTCTGAAGTGGAGGGGACAGTAATTAATACCTTTAACCCTCATTAAGGGAGCATTCTGCGGGATGGAGTCTGATTAAAGTGCAATTTGACCTCTCAGGTGGCTCTGCATGTAGGAATAAGTAGGTCCCAGGCCCAAAACCAATGTCAGGGCATTGCTGAAAAGATGCTCCTGAGACGGAGACCGTCGGGGCTTCACCAAACACCTGCGTTCAGAGACAGCAAATTGAAAGGCCCTGATGCTGAAGAATCTGTTTGAGACCCTTTTCAAACGCATATCCACATTTAATATGAAGACCGTAATTGTGGTAGGTGGTCACAGGGCTGTTTCACAGGACTGACGTGATTTTTAGCCACTAATGATACTGTGGGACCCAAGCCACCGGCATAAGTGGCTTGTCCTGTCCTTGAAAGTCTTAAGACTTTAATTGAAGAGAAGCACGCGATGATGCGAAACGAAGCCAAGCAGACCAAGACTGTGGGCTGTAAACCAAGCTGGCAGCCGCCCCAGCAACAGGACGTGGGAAACCAAAAGGACCTTGGTCCAAAATATATGTGTGAAAGCACCTGAAACCTCCACCACTAGAATCATTCATTCGTCAGTGCAGGGTCCCCTAACAATTCTGCTGCACTCAAATTCACAGTTGCAGCATAGCAGTGGTTTTTTGGCTCATGCTACAAATCTTTCACCGAGCACTCTCTGTGTGCCGTGCACAGTGCTAGGGGCTGAGAATGCAGTAGTGAGCTGCTTTGCAGTCTGAGGGGGAAGGACACATTAAGAAAATGGTCATACAAATGAATGTGCAAGGCCAGATCCATGCGATGAACATGAGGAAGAGGAAACCCTACCTAGGCTGAGGGATCAGGCTGAGCACTGCCTGGCTTCATCCCTGCAAGAACCCTTTTCTGATGGAGAATCTGAGAGTTCGTGATGAAGTGGCAGGTCTCTCTGATTCTTTAGCTTTTCTTAACAGCTGCACCTAGCGCCTATATAATCACCCAAGATAGTGTATTTAAGGTCCCTGGCACAGAGGGTACAATCAGCAAGTGTTTATTGCTTTATAGATATTCAGTAAGTGAGTTTCTCACGTTGAGCTTTGGGGAGTCGATTGGGAACCCAGGAGTGCAGGGTAGGTTCTGGCCTCTCCACTGCATACTGGTTTTGTTGTCAGGTGACTGTCACAGTTCCCAAGGCCACTAACCCAGTTCCTCAACGTGGCAAACAAACACAGTACGTTTTTTTGATCAAGAGATTAAGCATCCTAGAAATGTAGTCTCTTCAGTCAACTCTAGTGGTTTACAGCAAGGTTCTGACTGACCCTAACTCAGGCTTCATCCCAGCTGCAGCCTGGGCAGAGCCTGGATAAGTCCCAGCTCAGCACACAGCGTTCTCCCTGGACGTGCATTTCATCTTTGCCTCCCTGCGCTATCGTGAGGAGTAAACTGAGCCGTGTACACGGCACAATGCCTGGCACGAGGGCACATTCTCAGTGAACGCCACCTGCTGTTCAATTACTGCTGAGTGCCCAAAGCAGACCCTGCCCAGCAGAACAAGTGCCATGGGGCAGGCTGTACCTTCCTGGAATGGAAGTGCAGGCTGCGATGAAGAAGGAGGAGGGGCATGGCAGAAGGGTCCTGTGAGAAGCCCCTGGGGCCCCAAAAAAGCTGGGGCCCTTCTCCAGATCCTCCCACTACCCTTCTTCTCATTTCACTCTGCTCTGTTTCTCCTGCTGGGGCCGCTTTGGGGGTGCCCTGCACGTCTGTCCACCACCTCTTGAATAACCCTGGCTCCACCTCTGGAGCCCTTGGCCAGCCTGGTGCCCACCATTCCTCAGGCCTCACTCCCAACCTGTCTGGAAAGGAAGATGAGCCGGGTGCTGTCAAGAGGGTTGTGGCTTTATGGAAAGCTCGCTGGGCTGGGCTAATTTCAGAAACCTTCTGAGTGACCTTGGGTCAATCTGGCGGCACACATACATACACATGTACAGCATATACACATGCATGCACACACACAGGGCATTCATATATACCACACACTATGCACGTGTACACATGTGATCTGTACACACTACACAAACACATGCACACATACAAACACAAACGATATATGCACACCACATGCTGTACATACATACACATGTGTACATGTACACACAAACACACACATGGACCACTCCCTACACACACTCATATACATATATACATATACAGGCCCAAAAACACACATACACAGATACACATGCATACATACATCCCACACATGCAAACACATCAACACCCCACACATGCATGTGTTCACACACAGGCATGCACACGTAGGCATGCGTGCAGTCCCACAGCTGCCATTATTTCCTCGGTGGGCTCATGGCAGATGCTGGTGGCCTGCACACCCCTGGGCCTCAGGCCTCTTCCCAGGGCTGCGGCAGGGACAGCAGCAGCGGAACAGGGAGGTCTGGCAGGTGCTGGGATGTGTTTACTGTTTACATCGAGTGCAGCGGGAAAGCAGCTTCCTGCTCCCCGTGGGAGTCAGAGGAGCCCCCAGCTGCAGGAAAGGCTGACGCAGACACCCAGCTCCCAGCTGCACCTTGGGCCCAAGGAGGGCGGGCGGGGTGGGGCGGGACTGCTGCACCCAAGGAGAGTGGCGTGGACTGGCAACAGGCCAGAAGCGCTGCACCACTTTACAAGCTAATGAACTTTCCAGGACACAGTGTGGCTCCCCTACACCGCACCGTGAGACCGGTGTCTGCCTGGGAGGAGCAGGATGGAGACTGAATGAGGGGTGATCTGGGACCCTCCCACGGGACCCCAGGAAGCCATATTTATTTCTTCATCAATAAAAGACCTGGAGTGATCCCCATAAAGAGGCTTCTAGCTCTGAGTTCCTCTTGTTCTTCAGATAGAGGCACTCCACATGCCAGGGGCCATGAGTTTTGGAGGAGACAAATACTTTAACCATAGCACTCATTGTGCCTGAAAACGCCATTGCAGACTCCTTATATTGAAATAAATCTTTCTAGTCATCCTTTAGAAAAATGTAAATATCCATGAGGGGTGTAAACATGTATGCTTTTGTTGAATTATGACACAAGCACAGAAAAGGGCTCAACTAGCAAAATGTAAAGTGGAGATGCTCCCAGCTCCTGAGAAGCCCTTCTCCTAATCACTGCCCTCTCCATTTGCAAAGGCAACTATTGTCCTGATTTCCAGCATCCTAGGTTACTTTTAGCTGGGTTTGAACTTTATGTACATGGAAGTAAAGAGTGTGTATTCATTTCCGTCGGGCTTCTTCTAGCCAACATTAGCTTGTGAGACTCCTGCAGCCTTGCAGGCAGTCGCAGTTCGTCCACTTCCATCACTGCGTAGTATCTCCTTGTAGATGCCATACTTAGGCTTCCTATTTTACTGTTAATGAGAGCCTATCTTTTTTTTTTTTTCCCCCGATATGGAATCTCACTCTGTCGCCAGGCAGGAGTGCAGTGGCGCGATCTCAGCTCACTGTAATCTCTGTCTCCCAGGTTCAAGTGATTCCCCTGCCTCAGCCTCCTGAGTAGCCGGGACTACAAGTGTGCACCACCATGCCCGGCTAATTTTTTGTATTTTAGTAGAGACGGAGTTTCACCATGTTGGCCAGGATGGTCTCGATCTCCTGACCTCAGGTGATCCTCCCACCTCGGCCTCCCAAAGTGCTGGGATTACAGGCGTGAGCCACCTCGCCCGGCTGAGCGCCTATGATTTTTTCTTCAGTTTGCGGCTATTATGAATGATGCTGCTGTGGACATCTGTGTCTGTCTCTCTGCACACATGTGCACACACTGCTGTTTGTATATGCCTGGGAAGACAGCTGCTCGCCCCAGAGCATCATCACATGTGGTCGCAGTGCCACCAAGTTTACTGCGTTGGCTGCTCCAATTTCCCTGCCACCAGCGATGCATGCAAACTCCCACTACTCCACATCCTTCCAACTTGGTGTGGTCAGGCGTTTTCATTGTCCCCACTCTGGAGTGTGTCGTATCTCACAATGGTTTTAATTTCCTCTTTCCTAATGACTACTGGGGTTGCACATCTTTTCATATGCATAGTGATCACTTGAATATTACCGTACTTTTTAATAAAACCCGCTGAGTTGGTTGTCTATTTTTCCATTGGGTTGTCTATTTCTTTCTTATTAATTTTATACTTTTAGTGAGAAGCTGTTTGCAGGTGCATGGTTGTGAATATTGTCTCCCACTCTTTAGCTTCCATCTCACTGTCATAATGGTGTCTTTTAATGAAAGTTCTTGCGGTGGCTCATGCCTGTAATCCCAGCACTTTGGGAGGCCAAGGCAGGTGGATCACCTGAGGTCAGGAATTTGAGGGCAGCCTGACCAACATGGTGAAACCCTATCTCTACTAAAAATACAAAAATTATCTGGGCGTGGTGGTGGGTGCCTGTAATCCCAGCTACTCTGGAGGCTGAGGCAGGAGAATCACTTGAACCCAGGAGGCAGAGGTTGCAGTGAGCCAAGATCGCACAATTGCACTCCATCCTGGGCAACAGAGTGAGACTCCATCTCAAAAAGAGAGAGAGAGAGAGAGAGAGAGAGAGAGAAGAAAATAAGTTCTTAATGTTAAGGAAACTTGGCTTATCAACTTTGTCTTTGTGGTTACAGTTTTTTTGTGTCCTATGTTAAGAGTTCTTTGCCTACCTCAAGATTATGACACTATTGTTGCTAATAGCTTTCAGAAGCTTTTATTTTAAGTTCCAGGTACATGTGCAGGATGTGCAGGTTTGTTACATAGGTAAATGTGTGCCATGGTGGTTTGCTGCATCTATCAACCCATTACTTAGGTATTAAGCCCAGCATGCATTCCCTCTTTTCCCTAATGCTCTCCCAAACCCGCCGCCCTCCGACAGGCCCCAGTGTGTGTTGTTCCCCTCTTGTGTCCACGTTCTCATTGTTCAGCTGCCACTTGTGAGAATATGCGGTGTTTGGTTTTCTGTTCCTGCGTTAGTTTGCTGAGGATAATGGCTTCCAGCTTCATCCATGTCCCTGCAAAGGACATGATCTCATTCCTTTTTATGGCTACATGGTATTCCATTGTGCATATGTACCACATTTTCTTTATCCAATCTATTATTGATGGGCATTTGGGTTGAGTCCATGTCTTTGCTATTGTGAATAGTGCTGCAATGAACATACACATGCATGTATCTTTATAATAGAATGATTTATATTCCTCTGGGTATATACCTAGTAACGGGATTGCTGGGTCAAATGGTATTTCCAGTTCTTAATCTTTGAGGAATTGCCACAGTGTCTTCCACAATGGTTGAACTGATTCACATTCCCACCAACGGTGTAAAAACGTTCCTATTTCTCCCCTTTTCAGAAGCTTTATTGTTTCACTTATCACATTTATATCTGCGAGTTTACCTGGAATTGATTTTTGTTCATGGTTCAAGTCTTATTTCAGAGCCATATGAATATGTGATTGACCCAAAGCTCCAGCACCATTTCTTGAAAAGACTGTTCTTTTCCCAGTGCTTTTCAGTGCCCTCTATCATTGAAAACAAGTATTTAAAAACAACAACAACAATGAAAACAAGTGTTTATGTAGACAGTGATTTGCTTACAAATCCTCTATTCTGATCTACTGCATCTGTCTATCATTCTGCCAATATCACATTGACTTGAGCACTGTAGCTTTACAATAATGGTTTGCATCCATAGAGTAAGTCATCCCACCTTGTTTTTCTCCAAAGTGTCTTAGATATGCTTGACATTTTGCACTTCTAAAGGAATTTATAATCAGCTTATGCATTTCCACCAAAAAACTAATATTTTAATGTAAATTATATTGAATCTATAGATCAATTTGAGAAGAACAGACATCTTTACATTATTGAGTTTTCCAGTCCATGAAAGTGATATTTCCCAGCACTTGTTTTAGCCATTAAATTTTCTTAATGATGTTTTGTAATTTTCTGTGTAGATATCTTACACATCTTTCCTTAGATTCACTTCTAGATATTTGATAATTTTCCGTTATAAATTTCATTTTTAAGTTTTACTTTATACCTGTTTGTTGCTGGTATATAGAAATAAAATTTACTTTTTGAATTGGTTGTATATCCAGCAACAAGTGAAACTTATTATCTAATTTTAATTATTTGTTTTTAGATTCTGTGGTGTTTTTAAACGTCCATAGGCATATTGCCTTTGGAAAATTACAGTTTTATTTATTTGTTTGCAATTCTCATAGCTTTTTGTTTCTCTTGCTTTATTGCACTGGCTTGGCCATTTAGTTATGATGTTGACTAGAAGTGATCATAGAAGACATCCTTGTTTCAGACTTCAGCAGGAAAATGTTCAACATTTTATCATTAGGTACAAAGTTTTGAAACTATACTTTATCACATTTCGTGTGCTAAGAATGTTTATCATGTATGGTTGTGGACTTGTAGCAAATACTCTTTCTGCCTCAATGGAGATGATCACATAACTTTCTCCTTTTGTTACCATGTTGATTTTATTGAAGGATTTTTAATTGAATTTTTAGTGAGATATCAGAGAGATCCTGCATAGGTGCTGCCCAATCTCCCCCAATGGTAACATTTTGCACAATTATAGTATAATATCACTGATACAACATACCAATTTTATTCTGATTTCCACCATTTTCCTTGTACTCATTTGTGTGTGTATATGCATATGTATTAAGTTTTATCATCTTTTCAGGTTTGTGTATCCATGAGCACAGCCAAGATACAAAAGAACAATTCCAACCCCACGAGGATCTCTCATGCTGCCCAGTTCTAACCACATCTACTTCCCTCCTACTCCTCTTCCTTTAAGCCTTGGCAACCAAGAATCCATCCTCCATTTCTAAAATTGCATCATATTAAAAATGTTCTATAAATGGAATAAACGTTCAATACCCCTTAGGATTGGCTTTTTTCACTCAGCATAATTCCATGGGAATAAGTCCCATGTTGTTGCATGTATTAAAGGTTCACGGCTTTTTATTGTTTGATAGTATTTTATGGTATGGATTCATCACAGTTTGTTTAACCATTCACTTGTTAAAGGACATCTGGGCTCATTCCAATTTTTAGCTGTTACAAATAAAGTTGCTATGAGGATTTCTATACAGGTTTTTGTGTGAATATGTTTTTCAGTGAAAAACTGGGATAAGGGCCCAAGAGTGCAATTGCTAGTTCTATGTATGTTTAGCTTTATAAGAAACTGTCAAGACTGTCAAACCATCTTCCGTAATGGTAGTACCATTTTACATTCCCAACTGCAATGTATGAATGATCCAGTTTCTCCACATCCTCATCAGCATTTGGTATTGTCACAATTTTTTGCCTGATATATATGTAATAATTGATTGATTGATAATGGTTAAACCAGTGTTGCATTTTCAAGTACAAAGTTATGTTTATAGTGTATTTTTTTGGTATATCATTTTATTTTCTTTAGTAGTATTTGGCTTAGAATATTTGCATCTATGTTCTTAAATGAGACTTGTTTTATAACTTTCTTCTCTTGTAATATCTTTGTTAGGTCTTTATATCAAGACCTCATAAAATCAGTAGCAAAATATTCTTTCTTTTTCTGTTCTTTGTAAGAATTTCTGTAAGACTAGTATTATATTCTCTTAAAGGTTTAGTAGCATTCATGAGTAAATCCATCTGTATAGAAAGGATTTTAATTTCTTAATGCATTTAAGACTATTCAGATTTTCTATTTCTTCTAGTGTCAGTTTTGGTAAGTTGTGTTTTTCAAGGAATTTGTCTATTTCATCTAGATTTTCAAATTTATCAGCATAAAGTTTTTCACTATATCTTCTTATTAGCTTTAATATTTGTAAGACCTGAAATAGTGTCCTATTTTTAATTCTTTGATGTTAGTTTTTTGTGCCTTTTCTCTTTTTTCCCTCAATCAGTTTCATCAGGGCTTTATCTTTCCTTTAAAAATAAAAATTCAGAGAGCCAGTTTTTTTATTTGATGGCTGTCTTTATTGTAATTTTTTACTTTATTAATTTCTACTCTTATCTCTATCATTTCTTTCCTTCTATTTCTTGGGATTTAACTTGCTGTTATTTTTCTTCTTGAAGATAGTTAACTCATTAATTTTTACTTTTTTCTTTTCACTATATAGATTTAGACCTATACAATTTTTTCTGAAAATCTATCTCCTGTTGGGTACTAAGATTTTCTTTAATCTCCAAGTATGAAATATAGTTATCATTATGCATTTTAGGCTATACTTATGTGCATATAGAATTAGGGGGGCATATATCAGAATCAGTTATAGGAATGCTTATTTTCTTTGTCACTTTTCAGGCTTTTCCTATGTAATACACACTACATTTGCAATTAGAATACAATATTTTTTTTTAAGAACTATGATGTACACATGTAAATTAAAAGAAATTAGATCACAATTCTAAAATGGAGGCTTGGGCCACTATAATGCTCTGTGTGAAGGCATGGTAGACTGAAATGGCTTTGAAAGTTCTGTAAATTGAGTAACTGTGGAAAAGCAGATTCAGTGGTGTCTCAGTCCTGATGTTAGTTTTAATTTTTGTACTAAATCCTTATCTCTATATGTCCTTAGGGAGCACATCTGGAATCTTAGGATAGGTTTTTGAAAAGTGGGTAACCTGTTGAACAATGGGAAATGTGAGTTTTAAGGAATCAATTAATGATTTAAAATATTATAGAAAACAACACAAAAGCTTGTATCTACTTAGCTAAACAATGGCCTGGAAAGTGAAGGGACACATCACCTTAACATATCTATAGAATGAAAACACTAGAGGAGAAGAAATAGGAGGAAAAGGGGCTGCACAGTTTCATCCTCTGCAAACCCCACCTGCATCCCCAACTAGCAGCCACTGCTCTCTCCAGCCTGGCTTAGCATCCTGTCACACTCCAAGGCCTAGGATTGCATGTCCAGGCATGAGCTTGTCTCAAAGAGGAGGCCCAGTGAGACAAAAGTGAGCCCCAACACACACACACACACACACACACACACACACACACACACGCACCCCATCCAGCTGGCCAAGCCCACAGTGCTGCCTGTCCTGGCTGTTTCCCTTTGTGCTCTGCACTATCTCTGCTCTGAACCTAGTATCCCGATAACTGCTTCACTGGGACCACCCTCTGCTACCACAGTAACCAGCAGACCTCCAGGATCCTAAGAAAACAGGAATACTGGATGCAGAGCAAGGTCAGTTCTGGCCACGTCTGGAGAAATGTGACCAGAATGAGATAGGGAAGGTGAAGGACAAGGCTCACTCTTGATAAGACACAGGAGCAAGGCCCCACTTTGAGCCTCTTCCCTGGGATCGGGAGAAACTGGTAGACACAAGACTGCCAGCAGATTCCTGAGCTCACAGGGAGCTTGAGCTCTGCCTGCTGCCTCCAACCCTGTGGAGTGAGCACCACCACCTGCTACCTCCAACACAACCCACCCAGGTGTGGCGCTTGCCCTGCTGGCCAGGCTCGAGTGTATATGGGGCTCAGAAGGGTGGGGAGATCTCATTGAGAGGCAGTGAGGCCTTGGCGGAAGCTGATACCAGCTAGAAACCGATGCCTCCCCACGGCACACACCTGGGGGCTGTGCAGAGACCTGCACTTGGCCAAGGGACCCCCAAGGCTCCCTGAGCACAGTGTGTCGTCCCCAGAGGTGAGATTGGTTGGCGCTTGACTCAAACAGCCAGAGCAGGCATGATAGCTCCCTCTTGAAAGATAGATTTTACTCCAAGTGGAAACTAATTGATTCTCCCTCAGCAACTTTCCCAATTGGCTAGAATTCTACAACTGACAGATCGGTGAATGGGGAGGTTACTTTTATATAAAACAGTGAGCCACAGACTTCAAAGCATTCTCTAAGGGAAGCTTAATTACATCCTCCCCAACAAGACATCCAAAATACCCTCGCCTAGCTTTTGTGTGTGTATTTATATGAGGCACAATGCCCACGTCCTGTGACATTAGTATTTCTCTTCACATCACTGGAAATCTGAGTACTTTGGAACTGGTTGGAGCAAATTATAATGCACCCAGCCAGGGCCTTTTGTTACGCAGCCCTTCGACAGTGGTGCCTGTCTGGCCCTCTGAAAGCCCAGGGACCACTGGAGTTCATTTGAGAACACTCAACCCCAAGTTGGTCGTGCAAATTATTTCTGCTCTATGCAGAGAGTCTTTATTTTCCTCATGACATCAAGTGACTTTGAATCTTGCATGATACATACTCACACATACACAGGGGAAAGGATTATGGCACTACCAGGATTAAATAATGCTGATAATAATGAGTTGATGAAACTGGAACCATCAAGGCTCCCTGTATGTCCCTGGGGCACAGTAGTGCCGTGTCCAGTTGGGGAGGAACTTCTGGACTGCCAGGGCTGAGTTTCTTCTGCAGATGTTTCTGTGCCATCCTCCAAATGCTTAGCATCTGGATTTGGGATACCTTGGGCCTTGGTGAAGCCAGCTCCTGCCTTTTCTCCTGGGCCCAGGAAAGGGAGGAGTGTAGATCTTTCCCAGGTCAACCAAGGCAAAGGTGGCAACCAGACAGCAAAGGATCCCCACTGCTGCTTCATGGGCCTGTCCTCCTAGGCTTAGCAGTGACCTTGCTGGTGGCCAGGCTGCCCTACACCCTTTTCTTTGTGAGGAAGGTGGACCCAGCCTCTCCCACACCCATCACTGATCAAACTGCGGGCAGGCACGGGTGCACAGGCAGCACCAGAGAGCTTGCCACCCCAGGAGGGATTGGCACCAGCTCTTCTCACCAAGATTGCTCCTCCGGTGGCCAAGGGTGCCCAAGCAGAGATGCCAGTCACTCAGCTCAAGGCCTCCCTCCTTGGTGAGGCTGGAAACATCCCTCCGTCCTCCAGGAGCACGGTGAGAGCTGGATGAGGAGGTGGACCGTCGGGCACCTGCCCGGGGTCCAGTTGAAAGGGACACCAACACAACACTGGGGTCACAGTGCCCTCAAGTGGAGACTTGCAAGCACTGCTCTCCATCAATTCCAGGTTAAGAACATGCTCTAGGATGACCCATGCGTGTCAGAAATCTCTTATTCTAAATATAAAGATGGAGACGTGTCATTTTGTGGATGAGTATATTTATTTGCTAACAGGAAATAAGCTATTCGCCATTTCCAGTAAGTAAATGTTGGACAAATATTTAAAGAATGTCCGTTTTGAGCCTGCCTGGGGGGCCTCCACACCTCCTCCTGCCCCTGCCTTCCCACCCACTCTGCAAATGCTCACAGGCAATGACCACCTGTGAGTAAACAGGATGTCTCTGTGAGTAAACGGGATGTCTCTTCCTTGGGACCCTGGAACCTCTCGGGATGGGCTAGACTTGGTAGAAAGGGAAGGAAGGGTAATTAGGACTGAAAGAAACACTCATTTAATGAACATTTTCACTGGGCCGATTTTGTGCAAGGCTCCAGTAGCTATCGACCTTGTGATGCACGGTGTGGTTCTGAAGTGTGGACTGACAGGGCCAGGGCACAGCACAACCTCGGGGAGTGCCTGGAGCAGGGAGCCGCCGCGAGGGAGTTCTCGGCCACTGTGCGGCTGCTTATGTCCTATAGGAAACGCACAGCGCAGGTAACACGTGTATTCTGATGCCTCTCTTGTGGGTCTCACCTGGTCATCAGCCATTAACCTTTTCTCTTGGCTTCTCATCACCTGCCAGGTGCTGCCCGGAAAGGAAGAGAAAGACTTTGGCTTAAAGGTGGACCCCAGAGCTCCCAACAGCTGGAGGCTCCCACTCACAGCTCCCCTGCAGCAGAAGCACGTGTTCCTTTTTTCTTGTTGTTGTTTCATTGCTTTAAGTTTTATTTTAACTGTTGGATAATAATTGTGCATATTTATGGGGCACAGTGTGGTGGTCCAATACCTGCCCTCCTGTGTTCACTGCAGCACTATTCACAATAGTCAAGATATGGTATCAACCCTAGCGTCCATCTATGGAGGGATGGATTAAAAGAATGTGGTATATACACAGATGGAATACTATTCCACCATAAAACTCAATGAATTCCTTTTCAACAACATGGATGAGCCTAGAGGATACCATGTTAAGTGGAATTAGCCAAGCACAGAAGGACAAATGCTGCACATTCCTTCTGGATGGAAGGCAGAGCCCCCACACTGGCCACAGAGGGCTCACTATCACACAGCAGCGCTAGCGTGAGCTGCCACAGCTGCCCATCTGGGCCACTCACAACTGTACCACGAGTATCCCCACACAGAGATCTCTGTGCATTGCTGCATCTGTGTCTACTGGGTATGTTCCCGAAAGTGGCACAGCTGCATGGAGGCTCACACACACAGAAGGTGATGTGAAGAATAAAAATCACAGACCAGGGGACACGGCCTCCTGCCAGCCCTCCAAGGGGGGTCTCCTGGATGATGGACACCCCCAGCAGAGGATGCCTGTCAATCATTCCTGCCATCAGAGGAACTGCCCAAAGGCAGGTGTGTTCCACACTGAGAGAAGCAAGGCCTGGTTGGAGACATTTTCTGAATTGTCAGTGTCTGCAAATGCCTTCAGAGGAACCCAGACACTGACTGGTTCCACCCTCTCCCAGGTCACTTTTCAGTTGGCAAAGCAAGCACAGCACGATGTCTGTATCATTGCAAGCGCATGAGGACGCCTGCGTCACTGCAAGCACACGAGGACGCCTGCGTCACTGCAAGCACACGAGGACGCCTGCGTCACTGCAAGCACACGAGGACGCTTGTGTCACTGCAAGCACACGAGGACGCTTGTGTCACTGCAAGCACACCACGATGCTTGTGCCCCCGCAAGCATATGAGGACACCTGTGTCACTGTGCATTTAAAAGGCCCCAGGACCTCCCAGCCACACCCAGACACAAAAGGGAAGAAGAAAGCAGCAGGGAAGCTATTGTCAGGGAAAAGCTGAAATGAATTCCAAATACATTGAGAGTAGAGAAAATGCTTCCATCAGATTTTAATTCCACACCCTCAACACCGGTGGGATGAACATTTCTGAAAGGCAGCTCCATAGAATGTTGCTGCAAGAGTCTGGCATCCTCACACCCCCTGCCTTAGATGATCCTAGAGGACACCCCCGCCATCACCCTTTGGGCCACTGTTAGGACGCTGAGCTGGGCTGCAGGAAAACACCAGAATTAAATCAAAAATGGGCAATGGAGAGAGGGCCTTCTAACTGCAAGGGGGCCAGGAAGTTGCTGTCTTGACAAGTCACTGTGAGGCTTAAAAATAAGCTTTACAAATAGCATGTTAAAGGGAGTGGCTCAAACAGCCCTGGCTCAGGGACAGGGGTCTGCAGGCACTGGCCTCTGCCATCTCCCTCCTCACAGCCTCCCCTCTCCTTTGAATGGTGCTTTTTGCAGGCTCCCCTTCCCGCGGGCCTCTAAGCCTGGGGCGCTGTCGTAGGAGCCAGGGGGTCTGCTTGAGATGTGCGCTCTGTATGGGTTCTTCTCATGCCGGATGTTGAAGAGGCAAGTCCTGAGCATTGACGATCCAGGAATTGATGAATCCACCTGAAAATGTCCTCCCTGAATCTCAAAATCCCTAAGGACAGGACTGCTTAGAGTGGGCAGTACTGTGTGCACGGTATAGAAGGACTCACATGAGGAGGAAGGACCTGACTCTGAGGACAAACATCTCTGATGGTCAAGTGAAGACTCCATCCCACAATCACCCCGCCCCATCCCTCCTAATGTTTCCCTCACTTTATTATAGGACGGGGCTGCAATGGTGTAAGAAGGGGGTGTAGAACGGGAGAGGATTATACAGTGGGACGGACATAACCTCTTTTAGCCTCTGTGATAATTTACACACAGGATAATATTAGCAAGTTAAGGCTGCAAGAGCCGATGTTTGAAGAGGTGTGATATTAACCAGACAGGCTTCATATTTGAGTGAATGTGGAAGAAATGCTTAGGAATAGAAAATTTGACATGGGCCCCTTCTCCTTCTTTCCTTATTAGAATGAGGGATCTGACATGCCTTCCCCAAAGCTAAATAAATGTGTTTGTCCATGAATTTCTCTTTGTCTTGGCCAATTGTATTAGAATATGACAGTTATGTTGACCTTACCAAACCACCATCCCCACCATATCCAGGGCACGCACACACACTTCAGTTGACATATCTAATTTGGTTTCATTGTGGGGTGGGGTGACATGTATAATTGGAAATGTGACATCCTAATGACTTCTACTGACTGTGGGAAGAGGTACAAGTGCCCCTTGAACAAGAAGGAGTTTCCAAGCCCTCCTCCTGTTGCCTGGGTGAATTCCTATGGAATGGAGATTGCCGGGGTGATAAGAGGAGCTGGATCAGGAGAGTGGGGCTGATATGAGTATATTGGGGCCAATAAAATCTTCTTGAAAGCTGGTTTCTTGGATACAAGTTGAGGACATTACACCACTGTCTTCCACAGTGTCCTGCTGGCATTATTAGGCCACTAAACCTCCTAAGATTCTCTCTCCCTGCACTTTACCCCAGGAGCCCAGCACCCGACAGCCGTGAGGAGGAGGAGCGCTGGCAGGGGCAGCATGATGTGGCCTTATGTTGCGACCTCCCAGAGAGCCCTTGGACAGCTGCAGGTCAATAAAACATCCTCAGACCCTGCCCACTGGACCCCATCTCTGTCCAGGGCCCCTAGGATTGCAGGGCAGAGCAGGTAAGTGGGGACAGGAAGGCTCACTGCACAAAAGGAAGGCTCACTGCACAAAAGTGATGCCTGTTAACTAGAAAGAGTTCACAGGGGGCCCCTGCAGATGTCATCAGGAGACACCACGAAGAGACAGCAGTGGATCACAAATATCGCCTGGAAGCAAAAAGGATGGAAGATCCGGATTGGGCTTAAAGAAACTGACTGGGGCCCCAGTGCATGTGAGGGCACCTGGCAGAACGCGACGCACTGGTTGCCTGAGAGATGTTCGCCTGCAGCTCCGGGATTCCATATGTGCCACGCTGCACCCTCCCCACGAGCAGTGCCTCTTGGTGTTAGATGTGCTTTTGACTTTCCTGGGGCTCATGTTAATATGCAGATTCTTTATCAGTGGGTCAAGGTAGGAGCCCAAGATACTGCATTTCTAACAAGTCTTTGGGTGATACTGATGCTGCAGGTCCCCATAAACACTCTTGGAAATACAGGATCACATCCTCCACCCCAGACCTACTGTATCAGAATCTGCTGTTTCTGACATCCCCAGGTGACTCAAATGCACATTAAGATTTCAGAAGTTCTGTTTAGACACCCAGTCTTATGCACTGAAAATCAGAAAGAGGAGAAACTGAAGAAGATTGTGGGCATTCTTGCCACCAGACAAATGGCCAGAGGCCCCTTATGAATGGACCATGCCTGGGAGCAGCTAGGACATAATATATAAGCTGCCAACCGAATTGCCTGTCCATGGCTTGATAGCTGCTATGGTTTGAACGTGTCCCCACTAAAATTCAGGTGTTGCCAAGGTGATAGTATTAAGAGGTGGGCCCTTTAAGAGGTGATTAGGCCATGCGACTCCTCCCACATGAACAGGATTAGGTGCCCCTATAAAAGGGCGTGGCAAAGGGGGTTTGTCTCACTTGCCCTTCCATTTTCCACCATGAGAGGACACAGCCAGAAGGCCCTCACCAGACACCAGATGTCAGAGCCTTGATCTTGGACTTCCTGGCCTCCAGAACTGTGAGAAATAAATTTCTATTCTTTATAAATTACCCAGTCTCAGGTATTCTGTTGTAGCAGCACAGAACAGACTAAGACGATCACCATTCATCTGGTGGAGTCTACACTACAATGGATTTGTACCCTGACAGCTGAAATACCAAGGTGATGGCTCCATAGGCTCCCTGAGTTTGCTCATTTCAAGTGTACTGAGTCACAGGTGCTCAGGCATTTGCTAAAGTGAGGACGGTAACTGGAACCCAATGGAGATGGATCAGATATGGTGGCTGAGAGGCAGTTGGGTTCTACAAAGCTCAGTAGCACTTGCCATTTAAAATCCATTTCTGGCCGGGCGCAGTGGCTCATGCTTGTAATCCCAGCACTTTGGGAAGCCAAGGCAGGCGGATCACCTGAGGTCAGGAGTTCGAGACCAGCCTGACCAATGTGGAGAAACCTCATCTCTACTAAAAATACAAAATTAGCTGGGCGTGGTGGCGCATGCCTGTAATCCCAGCTACTTGAGAGGCTGAGGCAGGAGAATTGCTTGAACCCAGGAGGTGGAGGTTGTGGTGAGCTAAGATCACGCCATTGCACTCCAGCCTGGGCAACAAGAGTGAAACTCCATCTCAAAATAAAATAAGGTAAGATAAAATCCATTTCCCAGTCAGCAGGACCTGGAGGAAGCTGGTATTCTGCTCAGGAAAACTGTCTTGCGAAGACAACACTCAGAATGCCAGGGTCTTCCCGGCAGTCAACACCCTGGCTCTCACCTTGCCTACAGCATTACATGCCCACTTTAGTGCTCATGATCCAAGCACTTTTTAAAAAACTTCTATAAAATGCGATATAATAAACCAATTTCCTTAAAGCAGGAGCCTGTGGGATTTTTATCTTTAGACTAGCCTCCTCCTTACTGCTTCCTCAGCAAATTTCAGACCTGGAGAGATATTGATGTAGCAATAATTTAATTTGTTTTAACTTGCTTCTTGTTTACTTTCACAGAGATTGAACATTTTTTTCTATATTCTGGAATATTCTGTAAATATCCTTGTCTTATTAGCTTAGAGCACCTCTTCATATGTTGAAAGTATTACTCTCTCTGGTTGTTTTATAAAATCTAAATGTTCTCTCCTAGTCTGTCTTTTGTCTTTTGATTCCACATACAAATATCTGCATACAAATATCTGTCATTTTTACCTAATCAAATTTGTTCATTTTCCCACTCTAAAGTTTTTTTTAAATTATCCTTTATTTTACTTTATTACTTCTATAGTTTTATTTAAAATCTAGTTAATACGTCTGGAATATATTTCTATGTGTGCTGTTAGTTAAGAATCTAACTGTACTTATTTTCCAATGAACCAAGTCATTCATCCCAATACTGTTTACCAAATTATCTATTCTATTTTTGATTTTAAATTCCATGATATATTCAATGAAAAGGAATGTTACAAAACACGTTAAGTATGATGCTATCTTTGAAAACGTCATAAAGGAAAAATATTAATGTGGCTATTACAGGAATATAGGATTATTTGTAGCTCTATAATTTTCTATTTCTGTGTATTTTCTGATTCCCTATCATGAAGGTAAGATACATTTAGATTTGTATTTGTGTTTGAGGTTTAATGCTTCCAAGGTGTGATAGCATGGGTGTGTGTGCATGTGTATGCACGTGTACATGTGTGCCTTTGTCCACATGTCCAAACCCCTAGGCTTGCCTAGGTGTACACATTCCAATGGCCTCTGCCAGGTACTTCCGAGGGAAGCCCTGAGGTTAGGATTCAGTTTTCACTGACCTATCCATATGCTTTCTCATGATTGTCCTTATATCTGAGTAGATGCTCAGGCAGGATAACTGATTGAGCTGAGTGTCGTTTATATTTTTAAAATTAAGTGAAGACACTGGCCTAAGTGGCAACTGGCCATATAGCTGCAGATAAACACTGGTGGCCTTTCAGGATTGTCATGGCTCCAGTTCCAGTGGTCCATGGTGCCATATGCAATCGTTGTCCCTACTTGCAGTCATTGGGTCCACCTTGTGGAATAGGGATAACCTACTTCTCCTATCGATCCCAACATCACAGTTCTGTTTCCATCGGTACAAACCTGTGTCTGTCCAAGTTTTTTATCCCGCTGCTCTGAACATTCAGGGTTAAACATTGGCACCATGCTTGGGTCACTTGGTAAGTATAGAGACAACAATGTGTTCCATACCAGAGAGTGGTCGCTCACCCATCGCTCACCTCTATGGACAAAGTTCAGACACCAAATGCCGGGAGCTGACAGAGTGATCTATTAGGCCAGGTGTACAGTTCTAGCCCAGAGAATTGGCCATGCTCTTTCATGACCCAACTGTCCTGTAATTTGACACACCATTTCTCCGAAGTAACTGAAGCTAGAGTCAGAAATGGACATTAGACACACCTTCCCTATTCCTGGCCATATGAGAAAATTATTTTAAAAACAGGGATGCATGACGGCAAAAAGGCAAGGAACCCAAATGGTCTTTTGTTAAAATATAGATGCACCAGAACATGGAATTTCTTTGACAAGTCAAGTTCATCTGTGTTTATGTGAAGATTCAAAGACACATACATATACACACACACACACACACACACACTAAAATACTTCCAGATGCTTTGATTTTATGTCTTGCAGGAAACAAGTCATTGCTTGCATAATTGGGGAAAGGGAAATAGATGTAGAAATAGACACAGAAAAAAAAAACACTTTTTAGGCCAGATGGGGTGGCTCATGCGATATTCCCAGACGTTGGGAGGCTTACTTGAGGCCAGGAGTTCGAGGCTGCAATGAGTTATGGTCACATGACTACACTCCAGCCTGAGACAGAGCAAGACTCTGTCTTAAAGAAAAAAAGAAAGAAAATCATTTTTAAAATCTTCCTACTGACCAGTTTGAGTAAAACCCTACAGGTTATCAGCCAGAGATAATTCCTTAAACTAAGAATAAATAAAAGGGACCATACATTTTATCCAAAGCAACAAAAACAAGAAGCAGGAAAGAAGGGGGATAAAAAACACAGAACAGTGAAGCCCAGTCCTGCCACCAACAGGCACGGACAGACCTCAGGCAAGACTCAGTCTCCCCAAACCTCAGTTGCTTAGTCTCTAAAACCAGTCATCTGACTAGTCCAAGATGCATCCCAGGTGTAAGAATCTGAATTTTCAAAATGTACAACTTTACCGATTTTTATTTTGCTGCTTTTCTGTTGCTTTAAGTAGATATAAACAAACACACCTAATAACATTTAAAAAAAAAAGGAAAGTGGAAAAACAACCCTCAGAATAGAAGAAAATATTTGTAAATCATGTTATCTGATAAGGGACTTAGAATATATAAAGAATATTTAAAACTCAATAATTAATGAAAAGGTAAGTAATCCAGTTAAAAAACAGACAAAGATTAAATGGACATTTCCCAGCCTCCCGTGTAGCTGGAACTACAGGCGTGCTCCACAACACCTGGCTAAATGTTTAATTTTTGTACAGATAGCGTCAGTCTGTGTTGCCCAGGCTGGTCTTGAATTCCTAGTCTCAAGCAATCCTCCCACCTCAGCTTCCCAAAATGCTGGGATAACAAGCATCAGCCACCATGCCTGGCTCTGTTTCTCTAATTTACTTTACTTTTTTCCTGCTCCTATCACCTGTCTTTGCTTAGGTAACCAGGAATATTGAATGCTGTAATTTTGATTGAGAATATGATTGCATTGCTTTTCTTTCCAAATTAATATAGTTTCAGCCAGGCACCGTGGCTCATGCCTGTATTCCCAGCACTTTGGGAGGCCGAGGTGGGTGGATCACCTGAGGTCAGGAGTTTGAGACCAGCCTGGCCAACACAGGGAAACCCCATCTCCACTAAAGATACAAATTAGCCAGGCACAATGGTGGGTGCCTATAATGCCAGCTACTTGGGAGGCTGAAGCAGGAGAATCACTTGAACCCGGGAGGTGGAGCTTGCAATAAGCCGAGATTGTACCACTGCACTCCAGCCTGGCAACAGAGCAAGACTCCGTCTAAAAAAAAATTAAACAAAAAGACCAGTCTCACTTGATCTAAGTAGAAAGTAACTATACTGGCCGGGCGCGGTGGCTCCCTCCTGTAATCCCAGCACTTTGGGAGGCTGAGGTGGGTGGATCACCTGAGGTCAAGAGTTCGAAACCAGCCTAGCCAACATGGTGAAACCTGGTCTCTACTAAAAATACAAAAATTAGCCAGGATGGCGGCATGTGCCTGTAATCCCAGCTATTTGGGAGGCTGAGGCAGGAGAATTGCTTGAACCCGGGAGGCAGAAGTTGCAGTGAACAGAGATCATGTCATTACCCTGCAGCTTGGATGAGAGAGAGAGAAAGAGGAAGGAAGGAAGGAAGGAAGGAAGGAAGGAAGGAAGGAAGGAAGGACGGACGGACGGAAGGAAGGAAGGAACTATACTAACAAAATGAAAACAAAAAAATACAAAATTCTAGCAAGATATGATGGTCTGCAAAGGCTCTCACTCCAAAGGAGTCCTCATCTCTTATTGTTAAAAACAGTGGAAAATGGGCAACTGATTTCCTCACCAGGGGAGCCGATGTGTTTGAAGGCTGAGTCTGTGCATCTTTCAGAAGCCACTCACCTCCCACCAGTGACATCTGTCATATGAACATGTTCTTGCATTGCTATAAAGAAATACCCGAGACTGGGTAATTTATAAGAAAAGAGGTTTACTTGGCTCACGGTTCTGCAGGCCGTACAGGAAGCATGGCACTGGCATCTGCTTCTGGGGAGGCCTCAGGGAGCTTCCAATGATGGCGGAGGCGAAAGGGGAACAGGTGCCTCACATGGCAGGAGAAGAGCAAAGAGAAGAAGTAGGAGAGATGTATAAACAACATTTAAACAACCAGATCTCACAAGAACTCACTCACAGTCTCGAGGACAGTACCAAGGAGCTGGTACTAAACCATTCATGAGAAACTCACCCCCATGATGCAGCCACCTCCCACCAGGCCCCACCTCCAATACCAGAGATTACAATTCAATGTGAGATTTGGGCAGGGACAAATATCCAGCCTATATCACCTCTCCTATGCTGATAAAAACTGGAGCTAAAGAATCCCACCCATCCACTCAACGGTGGGCTCCGAAGGGAAGTGCGCGAACCTCAGGGGTGCACGCGGTGCTTCCTTGGGATATGGAGAGGAGATACTAAAACTCTTATTTATATTCAATTGTCTATCAAAAAAGGGAAGAAGTGAAGTTTTTTGTTTTTGTTTTTTGATTTTTGAAACAGAGTCTTGCTCTGTGGCCAGGCTGGAGTGCAGTGGCACGATCTCAGCTCACTGCAACCTCCACCTCCCAGGTTCAAGCGATTCTCCTGCCTCAGCCTCCCAAGTAGCTAGGACTACAGGCGTGCGCCACCACACCCAGCTAATTTTTGTATTTTTAGCTTAGATGGGGTTTCACCATGTTGGCCAGAATGGTCTCGATCTGTTGACCTCATGATCCACCCACCTGGGCCTCCCAAAGTGCTGGGATTACTACAGGTGTGAGCCACCGTGCCTGGCCAGAAGTGAAGTTTTTAAACACCAACTACATGCATCAACCACAGTCCATCTATACCCCGCATAAACAAGTGAACAAGTGTGCATATGGTGCCGTGCACACACACATTGTTTTCACTGATAGGAGGGCAAGGTCATATGCCATTTAGGCAGCCCTGCATTCAGCCAGAACTTTTCCCACAGCGCTGGCCTTTGTCTCCACAGCTGGGCCCTCGTCTGTCCAGCCTCCTGCCTATCTGCAGCAGTTCTTTTCCAAGGAGAGAAGGGTCTACTCTTTCGGGGCCCCGCTCTGTCAAGGTGAGTCCTGCTCAGGTTCCAGGTGCCAGGCCTTGACCCCCGACTCTCAGGCTCAGCCCCTCCCTGAGGGGGGCCCACACGAAAGCCAGTGGGTCCCAAACTCCACTTAGAGCCTGGCATTGAGCCTGGGCCTCCGGTTCAGGCTGCCCCTTCCAGGCCGGGAAGCCAGCTGGAGGAAAATGGAGGTTTCCCGGGGCTGCTGGCAGAAAGCACCACAAACTGAATGGCTTCCAACAACAGAACTCTATTCTCTCCCAGTTCTTCAGCCCAGAAGTCTGAAATCAAGGCATGGGTGGGGGCAACTTCTCTGGGAGGCTGTGATGGAGGATCTGGCCCATGCTTCTCTCCAGCTGAGCAGCTTCCAGCAATGCTGGGTGCTCCCTGGCTAGTGTCTTGGCTCACTCCAGCCTCTGCCTCTGTGACCACATGACCTTCCTATGTCGCTCCCCTTCTCTTCCAAGGACACTTGTCACTGGATTTAGGATCCACCCAGATAAACCAAGATGGTCTCATCTCAAGATCCTCCCCATAACAGCATCTGTAAAGACCATCATTCCAAATGAGATCACATTCGTGTTTCCAGGGGGCATATCTTCTGGGGGCCATCATTCAGCCCACTACAAGAGGCTTCTGTCATTTCCCATCAGCAGGTGTCAGCACCCCCTCAATCCATCAGAAAATCTCTGATAAAATCCACCTGTGTGTTCCAGGCTCTCTGATCTAGAGACGGAGTTCCCTTTGCCCCCTGACCTCGTATGTACATAACTGAGAGGGGCTTCTCAAGACCAAAAATCTCTGCTCCAGATTGCTTTGCTATCTCCAACTAAATAAGGGTAGGGAGCATGACCCTGGCAGTTTTTAAATGGCAGCCCTTGGTGAAAAAACGAAAAAAATTGAATGCCAGAATGCCCCATCTAATTTGGCCCATGTCACTTGTAAATGGAGACCTGAAAGGGAGGGGTAGTTAAGAGGATGGTAGCAAGTATCATGCCCAGATTACACAGCGGGCACCATCTAAGCCCTTTCCGAGTGTTACATCATTCGCCCCTCACAGCAGCCTGTGAGGTAGGTAATATTGCTATCCCCTTCACAGATGGGGAGTGGAGGTAAAGTGACTCGTCTACATTCACACAGCAATAAGTGGCAGAGCTGGACTCTAAACCAAGACATCCAGCTCTTAGGCCCCAACACCATACATAAAGAACCCCGTGCCTTAAGCTGGGGTTCACCAGGCACTACAGTTATGTATTTTTTTTTAGAGAGACAGAATTTTGCTCTGTCACCCAAGCTAGAGCGCAGTGGCATGATCATAGCTCACTGCAGCCTCAACCTCCTGGGCTCAAGCAATCCTCCTGATTCTTTAGCGATTTCATGGACGCCTTGAGAATCAGGATGGGTGGGTGCTGCCCTCTGGCCAAACAAACTTCATCTCAAATGGAGTAACAGGAGTCTAATGGCTTAGCTCCTTCCCTTGTTTTTCAATTAAACCTTTCGTTTTTAGATAACCGTAGATTCACATGCAGTTGTAATAAATAATACAAGAGAGATGAGAGATCCCATGTCCCCTTCACCCAGTTTCCCCCAATGGTAACATCTTGCAAAATTTATAATCCAACATCACAAGAACATTAACAAAAAATACAAAGCACTGATCTTATTCGAATTATCTTCATTTCATGTATTCATTGGTGTGTGCACACGTGCGCTTAGTTCTATGCAATTTTATCAGGTGTAGGATCCTGTATCCACCACCATGGTCAGGACACAGAACATTTCCGCCAGAAGAATCTTTCTTGTTGCCTTCCTACCAGAACACCCACCCCCCTGTCCTCCTCCATCCCTTAGCCCTGGAAACCACTATCTGTTCCCCAACTCTGTAATTTTGCTATTTCGAGAATGTCATGTAAATGGAATGAGACAGTGTGTTACCTTTAGGGATTGACTTTTCTCTTCTAGCATAATGCCAATGAGATTCATCCAAGTTACTGCATATGTCTGTGTGCCTCTTCCATTGCTGAGCAGTACCCCACAGTATGTCGGCACCACAGTTTGTTTAGCCATTCACCCATTAAAGGACACGTGGGTTATTTTTGGTTTGGGATAATTACAAATAAAGTTGCTATGAATATTCATGTATAGGTTTTCAGGTGGACATAAGTTTTCATTTCTCTGGGATAAATGCCCAGGAGTGAAATTGCTGGGTCTATGGAAATTACATATATAGTTTACCAAGATGCCACCAAACTGTTTTTCCAGAGTGACTGCACCATGTTACACACTCGCCAGCCAGGGATGAGTGAGCCAGTTTCTCTGCATCCTCGCCAGCATTTGATGTTGTCGCAATTTTTTATTTTAGCCATTCTGATCGATGTGCAGGATAACTCATTGTCACCTCAAGTTGCATTTCCCTGATGGCTAATGATGGTGAACATCTTTCTGTGTGTATATTTGCCATCTGTACTTCCCCTTCAGTGAAATGTCTGTTCATGTCTTTTGCCCCTTTCCCTTCTTTTAACTAAATTTAATTAACTAAAAAATGTGGTGCTACTTTTAGAGGAACAGGAAGCACAAATCCCTGGCAGAAAAAAAAAATCAGAAGGTATGCCTCCTCAAACTTCCATGGAATGACCTGCAGAAATGGCCAGAAGAATTAGCTGAATTTATTGAACAACTGTTGTCAAGAAGAACATTTAAATAACCTAAGCTGAAGCCTCGGTTGTTTCTGCCAGGTTCTTTGAAGGCTCCAGAAGAATATTCCTGTGCAATGCTCTTCCACAGGTCACCGTCTATGCCTGTTTGAAGGGGGGTGGGTGTGTTGAGAATAGGGCTAATGTGTCCTAGAGGGTCCATTAGGACGCAGTCCCAATCCTAATACACTGTGTGATGTGCATCACATTAAGATGCTATTTTGGTAGAAATGGACATTAAGGGGCATCTGGCTTACAGTTTTCCCGGCCACAATCATCCCTTCTCTGCTCTGTGCTGTAGCATTTTGAAAGACACTCGGGTATTTGAGAAAATAAGCAAACTGGAGCTGCTGTATTTGAGAGAAGTCCCAACTCTAGGGAGAGGAATTTCAGCCCCTCCAAGCAGGGGCAAGGGACATATGATGAAACAAGGCACAAGAAGTGCTCTTTCCACCTGGACACCATGTTCACAGCAGCGTTACTCACACTCGCCAAAAGTGGAAGCGACCCCCATGGCCACTGTCAATGAGTGGGTAATCAAAATGTGATTTTCTACATGCAATGAAATACGACTCAGCCTTCAAAGGAAGGAAATCCTCACACAGGTATGAACCTGGAGGACATTATGTTCAGTGAAATAAACAGGTCACAAAATGACAAACACTGTTTGATTCCTCTTATATGTGGTACGTAAAGTAGTCAAATTCATAGAGACAGACAGCAGAATGGTGATTGCCAGGGGCTGGGGGCAGGTGGGGATGCGAGTTGTTCAACAGGTTCAGAGTTTCAGTTTGAGAAGAAGAAAAAAGAGTTCTGGAGATGGATGGCGTGATGGTTTCATAATAGTGTGAATGCACTTAAAGCCATTGAACTTAAAAATGGCTAAAATGAGGCCAAGCACTGTGGCTCACGCTTGTAATCCCAGCACTTTGGGAGGCCGAGTTGGGCGGATCACTTGAGCTCAGGAGTTCAAGACCACCCTGGGCAACGTGACAAAATCCCGTCTCTAACAAAAATATGAAAAATTAGCCGAGTGTGGTGGTGCACATCTATAGTCTCAGCTACTTGGGCGGCTAAGGTGGGAAGATCACTTGAGCCCAGGAGGTGGAGGTTGCAGCAAGCCGAGATCATGCCACTGCACTCCAGCTTGGGCAACAGAGAGACTCTGTCTCAAAGAAAAAAAAGAAAAAGAAAGAAAAAAAAAAAAAAGAATGCCGGCAGCAGTGGCTCACACCTGTAATCCCAGCACTTTGGGAGGCCAAGGCAGGCTGATCACTTGAGGTCAGAAGTTTGAGACAAGCCTGGTCAACATGGTGAAACCCCATTTCTACTAAAAATACAAAAATTAGCCGGGCATGGTACATGCCTGTAATCCCAGCTACTCCGGAGGCTGAGGCAAGAGAATCGCTTGAACCTGGGAGATGGAGGTTGCAGCGAAGTGACAGAGCAAGACTCCGTGTCAAAAAAAAAAAAAAAAAGAGAGAGAAAAACAAGAAAGGAAGAAAGATGGACTGTCCACTTTGGACACACGTGGATCTGTGGCCTTCCCAGTAACTGGCCGGGTCTGCTCCAAAGTGCCTTGTTTTCGTTCCCCACACCTCCAGGAAGGAGCGAAGTTTAACGACCTGGCAACGAATTCTCATTACCTTCTGAAACAAAGAATACTTTCCAATTTGCCAGCAGTTGAGTCCAGCCTGATGAGGCTCACCTGGCAATGCTCCTCTGCCCTTCGGAGCTGCGGGGGAAAAAAAACTGGCTTTGGAGCAGGAATTTAAGGGAAATTGAGGTCTTGTTGGTATTACACAGATACTTGTTCACATTTTTATCTCTACCAAACCCAGTGGACGCTGCCTTGGGAGAGTGTAAGCACTAACTCTTAAGAGATCAAGGGCTTCGGAGCTAGAATGGACCCCAGAGATAATTTCATCCAAGCTCATCATAGTCCATATGGAGAAACGGAGACCACTTATCAGGGCAGGAAGGGATAGACCCAGGACGCTGTCCATGGCCCTACACCAACCTTGGGCGTTCAGTGCTCCATTTATCACACATCTAGGCCCCGATGAGGTTGCTCTTGTAGTCACATGCCTCTGGGAGAAACACACCTCAACTTGCTACCCGTGGCCACACGGAGATGATTTTTTTTTTTTTTTTTTTGACATGGCGTCTCATTCTATCACCCAGGCTGGAGTGCAGTGGGGTGATCTCAGCTCACTGCAGCCTCAACCTCCCAGGCTCAAGCAATCCTCCCACCTTAGCCTCTCAAGTAACTGGGATTGTAACTATGTACCACCACGCCCGGCTAATTTTTGTATTTTTGGTAGAGACAAGGTTTTCACCAGGTTGCCCAGGCTGGTCTCGAACTCCTGGGCTCAAGTGAACCACCCACCTGTCTTGGCCTCCCAAAATGCTGGGATTACAGGCATGAGCCACCGTGCCTAGCCCAACCACGGATGATTTTTACCATCATGTACATGAGGCTGTCAGCTAAATAGATCCATTTTCCTCCCCCAGGAAGAAGAAACTCCTGTCCTCACAAAGGTTACACCCACGGCCACAGAGTCCTGGCTGAACTGCTGTACACACCAATGTGTACAGTGTCACATTCACGCCTCACTAAACAACATTCATATAAAGAGAGCATTGACCGAGTCCTTGCCATGAGCCAGCACCGTTCATGTGTTAACGCACGTGAGAGTGTTACGTTCCCCTCATTTGATGGAGGAGACTACTGAGGCACAGGGATGTCAGGTAACACCCCATGGCACGTGGCTGGTGAGGGATGTTAACCCAGGCAAGTTCCAAAGACTCCAGTGGCAAGGGGGTTTTGCCCAACTTCAAGCTGATTGATTTAAATCCCAGATCTTTGTGAATCCAACTCTTACAGCTAACCCCACTCCCCCTCTACAGCATCCTGATGGGTGTGCCCTGTCACCACCTGCAAGGCCTCTTCTCCCAAGGCCTTAGCTCTGCGGGTTCTGAGCAGGTGTGAGCAGAGGCTGGGAGGTAAGCGGTTGGCCCCAGGAGAGACACCTGGGGGCTGCTGCCCCAGACTCACCTGGCCTGGGCTCATCAGCCACATTCCAGGGCCTACCACGGAGAGAGAGCCCCTGGGGACAGGCTTCTGGTCACTTCTGTGAGTGGCCAGTGGTGGGAGGACATCTCTCCCATCAAAATAGTTCCTCTCTCCCCTGCTGCTCTGAGTCTGGCAAGGCACAAGCAGAAGAGCTGTGAGTGGATCTCTCGGCCTCCTGAAGAGAGCCTCACCCAGCTTTCTCGTGTGGCCTGTGCCAGTTTGGAAGCCCTAGATGTGATCTGTCCTTCATCCCAGGAAAGAGTTCCATGTCGTGTCTCCTAGTGGTCAGGGAGGTTCCATGTCGTGTCTCCTAGTGGTTAGGGAGTTGAGCCCTGTCAAAATGGAGCCCAGGACCGGAGCAGCCAGTAATCTGTGGCCGAGCTCAAACCAAGATTCCATTAACTGTATTGGTCTGAAAGATACTTAGTCCAATGGGGATAAACATGTCCTTTCATAAAAACTGTCTCTCAACGTTACATTCAGGGAGGTTTCCTGAACCAGACTCCTACTCGGGAAGTAAGTTAATCCATTTAAGATTTAGATGATAAAATAAGTCCTTTATTTCTGCACTATTTAGATTCAGAATTTTTGCGAATGCTGACTGCTACACTCAGTCTTCGGCAGCCGGCTGGCCTCAGGTTCTATGATGTTTACACTGCACCAAGCAAGATGCCAACACATTGCACAAAAATAGACCACAGCAGTGGGTCAGAGTGGGGGAAGAATATTTTTTAATTCCTACTTGGGTTTTTGAGGTAATGAAAACATCCTATATATCAATTGTGACGGTGGGTACATGACAACATGCATTTGTCAAAACTCTAACCTTACACTTAAATGAGGGAATTTTATTGCATGTCAATTATAGCTCAATAAAGTTGTGGGTTTTTTATTTTTTATTTTTTTGAGATGGAGTCTCACTCTGTTGCCCAGGTTGGAGTGCAGTGGCGCTATCTAGGCTCACTGCAACCTCTGCCCCCTGGGTACAAGCGACTCTCCTGCCTCAGCCTCCCAAGTATCTGGGATTACAGGTGCCCCCACCACACCCAGCTAATTTAAGCCGCCCAAAGTGCTGGGATTACAGGCATGAGCCACCGTGCCTGGCCATAAAGTTTAAAAAAAAAAAAAATACTTTGCAATGTTTCCTTTTGTGCAAGGTGACCCATGTACTTTCTCTGGTTTTGTGCAAATCATCCTATGGAAACCCGAGTTTGCTCACTGCATTTTTGTGATCCCTTCCAGTGGTGATTTGGCAACTAGTGTAGACCAGTGTGTTCAGTAGGATAGCTTCCAGGCAAGGAAGTGCTGCAAAGACCCTAATGCAACCAGATCAAGGGATAATGCCCCACTGTGGCTCATGGCTCTCCGTCAGCCCACACCTCCTCTTTCCCGGCACTCCCCAAGGCTGTGTCCATGGCAGCCAACCTGCCTCCCTATTTCTTTCTCACTAGTCACCCCTTGTCTTCTTGTCCCAGGTGCCTCATCCTTGGCTTTGTCTCTTCTCTATCCACAGTCACCCTCTGTATAGCATCATCTCACCAAAAGGTCTCAAATGCCATCTAAATGCTGATGGCTCCCAAATTTCTGTCTTCCAGCTGGACCTTTTCCTCAAACTAAAAATAGTGGAGTGTTTCCAACTGCCTACTCAACCCCTGCCTTGGATATATAATGATGAACTCCAACTTTAAAAGTCCAAATTTGATGCCCTGGGTTTACCCACTGATGCCTGTTTCCCCCCAAGCCTTCCCCACCCCAGTCATGGACACTCCAAGCTCTGGTGGCTCAGCCCAAAAGCCTAGAGTCACCCTGGGCTCCTCCTCCTCTCACATCCACATCTGATCCATCAGGAAATCCTGACTCCTCTATCTTTAAAATATTTTCAGTTTCCAAATTCCTCTTATGCCATCCACTGCTACTGCCCTGGTCCAAGCCACCAACTCTCACCTGAACTGTTGCAGTAGCTCCCTAAGTGTCTCCCTGGTCCCACCCCTGCCCCCTGTAGTCCACCCTCAGATCCTTTCAGCAACCAAGGCAGGTGAGTGTCCTCTGCTCCAGACCTCCAGTAGCCTCCCACCTCCCCCAGCAGAAAAGCCAACCTCCTCATAATGACCTTTAAGCCCCTCCGTGACTTAGCCACCCTTCATCTCACTGCCCTCCAGCCCAGTGAAACTCCTGGCTGTTCCTCAAACACAGCTAGCACTTTCCTTGCCCAGGGGTCTTTGCACCTGCTGTCCCCTTGTCCTGGAACACTCTTCCACCCACCCCTCAGTATCTGCATGGCTCCTTCCTCTCTTCCCTTGGTGTTTGCTCAGATGTCGCCTTATCCAAGGAGGCGTCCAGATCACGCCACATCAAAAAGCAGCCACCCTTCACCCCTAGTGCTCCTCATCTTTATTTTCCTTCAAGGCACTTTGTGGCCTCCAAGGTGTTTATTTGTTCACTGTCGCCCATTGGAGCATGGGGACCTTTTCTCTTGTTCACTCCTGTGACCCTGGTGCCTGGAACAGGGGATTACTAACTGAGTTCCTGAATTAACCAGTGTGTGCTCAGCCCCCTCTTCACCCTTCCCCTGCTTCTGCCGGGCTTTTGCCTCCCTAGGAAGCCCCCCGTCTGCCTCATACACCACTCTCGAGCAGGTTCAATGTCACCCCTTCCACGAAGTCCTCAGAATACATTCCAAACTCACAATCATCTTTTTTTTCTTATGAACTCCTCCATCACTTACATATCATGTCTACCATCCTTGCCTTTGACATCATGCATTAAAATGTTCTCTAGACTTAGGACTGGCTGTCAGTCATATTATAAAGCCTCAGCAAGAGGGATTATGTGGTTTTAATGTTTCTATCCTGTGCCCTCTTACAGAGTCTGGAACTGAAAAGACATTAAGCACACACTTGATAACTCTCTATTTTGCCCCAACGTCCACACTTGAGGGGTCCCAAACTCAGGAGTAGTGGGCCACTCAGGGAGCGCTACCCTCAGCAGTGGGTGACCCAACTCCCTACAACCCCAGGCAGTCTGGAAGGTACCAGGAGAGTGAGCCCCTCTTCCTCCTGAGCACATATTTCCCCCACCCCAATAGTGGCTTTGTCCCACTGGTGGAACAGGTGAGGGAAGGGGATTACCACTGCAGGACAAATGAGGCTCGCAGCTCATCTGCCAGAGGGAGAGCAGCAGCTCTGCAGAAGCACAGGTTCCCAAACATGCAGGCTGGTCCTGCAGATCCGAGTGAAACCAGCATCCCCTCCCCTCCTACCTGGGTTCCCTCCCTCCATCCTACCCAGCTTTCCCCTCAAGCCATCTGCGCCACTGACAGGGGATTGGAATGGGCTGCATTTCCCTGCCCAGCTGGGCTCGGACATCCCCTTCCTCGGCTGTCACAGAGGGAATGTCTGGCATCCTGTGTAAATTTGTTTGGTGCCTGGAAGCTCTTCTTGGTGATAACTGGGCTTCTAATTGATTCTAGACATGGGGGCAACTGGACTCTCCCATGCTCTACTCCAGCCGTCCTTCACAGGGCAGGGACTTGGGCGGGCTACATGAAGAATCAGTCACAGCCAAAGGACACAACCCACCTCCAGCAATGGCCACCTCTCAAAGAAGGCACAGCCAGGTCAGGATGGCAAGCGGCCAGCTTGCTATTTTCTTTACCATTTAGAAGGCAAGAAACCTAGGAACGGCTGCATGGCCTTCGGAACTCTTCAGTAGAAACGACAGATGATTCTGATTGTTGACTTGTGGTTACTTCCCCTCCACCCTCCTCCTTCTCACCACCAACAGAGAGGGAGCTTCGAACCAGAATACATTTGAATGGCAAAATAATTTATGCTTAATTAGGGTGCTGGATTTAAAATTAGAAGTGTAAATGCATAATCACATGGATTGTTTAATCTCATTGTTTTGCCACTCATTAGCCACTCTTTAAGAGATCTGTGACACAGGAGCCTTCTCTCTACCCCCAGGTTATCCTTTCCTCTCCTTCCTAGAAATTATGCCAGATTCACCTTCCTAAAACAGCACCTGGTCATTTCACAAGCTTTCTCCAAGAAATTATATAGTTGCTCATGAACAGTTGATCCCTGGTGTTCAGGACCCTCCCTGCTGCCCCAGCCCCTTCCATCTCACCCATCTCACCCATGCCCTCCTCTCCTGCTGGCCTGGTCTACACACCTGTTGGTGCTTCCATATCATATCCCTTTGCTCACCCACCTCCCTCCAACCAGGAAAACATTCTACCTTCCAAAATTATGCCCATCCCTTGGATTCCAGTGCAAAAGCCACCCGCCCATGAGTTCCCTGGTTACTGTAGCAAGAAGTTGCCTCCCCACCACCACCACTTATTGCCCAGGCTGATCAAGTTCCTTATTTTATGTTCTTGTCTCCCCACTTCTTTTGGCTAGATGCCCCTAGAGACCATGAACCTTGTTCTGCAAGCCTAGCACAGAGACTTACTAGAATAATTCTTCAGGATTGAGGACAACTGAAAGATAGACCATGTCTCTCCTTAACCCTTCGTGATAGATCAGAGAATAAGACATGTGACAGGCTCATAGCAGGAAGCATCCCTTACTGCAGGTGCCACTAACACTCATGGTCTCTCCATGCTACCCACCCATTTTCCCTTTGCTCCTAATCAGCTACCTCTCTGATATGGTTTGGCTGTGTCCCCACCCAAATCTCATTTTGAATTGTAGTTCCCATAACCCCCATGTGTTGTGGGAGGGACCCAGTGGGAGGTAATTTAATCAGGGAGGGGCTGTTACCCTCATGCTGTCCTCATGATAGTGAGTGAGTTCTCACGAGATCTGATGGTTTTATAAGGGGCTTTTCCCTCTTTGCTCAGCACTTCCCCTTTCTGCCATCATGTGAACAGGGATGTGCTTGCTTCCCTTTCCACTATGATTGTAAGTTTCCTGAGGCCTCCCCAGCCCTGCAGAGTTGTGAATCAATTACACCTCTTTCCTTTATAAATTACCCAGGCTTGGGTATGTCTTTATTAGCAGTGTGAGAACAGACTAATATACTCTCCCACTAACCACAACAGCCATTTCTAACATTTACTGCTGCGCAAGCTCTGTGTCCAACCATCTCTGCCTCTCTCTCAGCAAATGATTCTGACTCTTATTTTATTAAAAGAAAAGATACCACTAAACTTCCTCTCTCACTAATCTGGACTCCCAAGACAAACTGACATCTGTCTGTCCATCCTTCTTCCCTCCTGAACCAGTGGGTGTGTTCCTGCTTCAGCTGGAGGTGGGGCCCCTAACTCTCTGTGATCATCAGCCTTTCGGCTCTATCATTTTCTTCCTCTGGCTGCAGTACCTTCCATATAATGAAGTTTCTCTCTGTACACTTTTACTTTTTGGGATACAAGCATTCTCAAAGCTCTGCAGTCCCACACAATGACAGGTCCATCCTTTTCCCTTCAAACCCTGTCTCCTTGTGACAGTGGACACTCAGTCTTCTCTTCCCTCTGGTCCAATTCTCAGCAAGGCGCAGCCTGCCTTCTGCCCCTGGGGTTTGACCAAAATGGTTTCACCTCATCGTCTGTCCTTCTGCACTGCTCTGTGCCACTCAACACCGCTGATGACTCCCTGGCCTCAGCATCCCGCTCTGCCCTGGGTTCCGTGCTGATCCCCACTTCTCTGGTCATCCCCTCACACTTCTGTGCGTGCTCTCCTTCTCCTCCATGCCCCTGGGTGTTGGAGTGCTGGGGTTCTGTCCTTAGCTGCTTTTCTCTCTCATTCTCTGGGTTTCCTGGGTGACCTCCTTCAAGAATATCATCTGTTGATGACCCTGTATTTGTTCTCCTGGTCCAGAATCCTCCCAGACATGAACATCTTACCACACCCAAGAAATCTCCATCTATATGTCCTGCAGGTCTACAAGTGCGACAAGTTCAAAGTTGTTCCATCATTTCCCCTCTCAGAACAGTTCTCCTCTTCTGGGTGTTTCCGCCTGCCCTTAACCCCACAGGCACACAGCCCTGTGGCTCTTAATGCCTCTCCCTCACCGTCGTTTCAGACTCTCCAGTCATTGCTCATCTCCCTACAGGGAAGCATGACTCAGCTGGCCTCCTGTCCCAGATAATGTCCCATTAATCCATTCTCCACAGCCCAAGGGAAGCCCACACCACCAGCAGTTAGCCATGTGCACAGAGCCAGAACCAGAGAGCCAGCGACATGAAGCAGATGTCACATGACTCCTGGTCAAGGTGGCCTCAAGCTGCTGCCTCACAGGACAGAGGATTTAGCCTGTGGCTCTTTACTCTTTGGAGGCCAGGGGGCTCTCCCATGGACAGGATTTAGGAGGCCCACAATAGCATTTGCCCCTCTTGCCTTTTGCTGACAAACCCCCTTCTGACTCACCCTTCCTGGGTGCATTGATTCATTGCGTCATCTCAGAGTCAAGACTTACGGACCTGAAAACCATTCCCTCTCTTTTTACATTTTTATGTAAACTATATATAAATTACATCTGTAGTGTACTGTCTTATAAAATAAATAGATGCTCATTATAGAAAAAATATAATACAGATAAGTCAACAGAAAAAAATGAAAGGCATCCTTCAACTCTTTTCTGTAAATAAATACATATTTTTTACAAATATGGATCATAATATGCATTTGGTTTTGAAACCAAACGTGCACTTAACAATAAACTGTAAACAAATTTCCATGCCATTAAATATTCTACCAACACAGCATTTGTATGGCCACATAGAACTCCAATGAATCAATGTACCATCATTTACTTAGCCAATTCCCCATCGTTGGATATTTGGGTTGTTTCCAATTTAAAGGGGTTTAGTAAGCGGCCCCTCCCAGGGAAACATTCCCCCTATGGGAATCGCTTGCAATCTTCCAAATGACAGTTTTTCAGCTCCAACAGTCTTGAGATCTAATATCCACCGAGGACTCTTTCTAGTCCATCTCTTCTAGTCCATTAGTCTGTTAATTCCCACACTCATACCACACTTCTAATCACTGTCACTTTGTACCTTCTAGGACGTCCCCAATCTTTTACTCACTCCTCAAAGTTTTCTAAAGTAGCCTCATAATTGTATTCTTTAATTTTTAAAAAAATAGCTTTCAGTATGGTTACAAAAATAAGACCATTTTGTTGTAAAAAACTGAGAACACACAAATAAAAATTGTAAACACTCATTTAGAAATAACCATGGTTAATATTTGGAATCTTCCATCTTTCTCTAAGCAAATTTTAAACATACTTTACCAAAAATGAAATCATGTCATGCCATACATTCCGTCCTGCAGAAACTTTACGTCCGCCAGAAATGTACAGAAACGCCCCTTTCCTACAGGCTTCCCAGCATATACACACACATTTTCAAAGTTTTATCAATTTAATATTTTAGTTGGCATTTCTTTGAATATCAGTGAGATTAAACATCACTTTCAGGAATTTACTGGCATTTTGACTTCTTTCTTGTGAATTGGCTGTAACTGTCATTGGTCCCTTTTGCCATCAGAGATGTGGAAGTGTCCTTATTGAATATTAAGAAGCCCTTGACATGCGAAGTTTTGACCCTCTGTCACATTTCTCACAGGTGCCCTTTCCACTTAATTTTTAAGGCTTTTTGGTATTTGGAAGTTTAAAATTGCTTGTGTGGGCAAATCTATCTTCAATATTCTACCTTTGTCTTGAAGTTTAGGAAGCCCTTCTTCACCCCAAGGAAATAAAAATGTGTATCTACATTCTCCTTTAGTGGTGGTATGATTTCATTTTCATTGTTTAAATTTTTAAATCATCTGGGATTTCTTTTGGTGCATGGGATGACAGATTTAACTTGTATTTTTTCAGTTATGCCAACTGCATTTGTTGACAATCCTTCCTAGAATCATGACTTTAAATGTCACTCTTTTTGTTCGGGCTGCTACAAAACAACACCTGCAACTGGGTAGTTAAAAAACAACATAATTTTGTTTCTCACAGTTCTGGAGGCTGAGAGTCCAGGATCGAGAGGCTGGCAGATTCATTGTTGAGGGTCTGGTCTCCATGTTCAAGATGGCGTCTTGATGCTGCATCCTCTGTTGGGGAGAAACGCTGTGTCCTCACATAGCAGAAGGTGGAAGGACAAAAAGGGCTAAATACTGCATGAAGCCTCTTTTATAAGGGCCTTAAATCCCATTCATGAGGAAGGAGCCCTCGCGGCCTAATCACTCTTACAGGCCCCACCTCTTAAAGCCATCACATTGCGAACACTTGAATTTTGGAGGGGACACATTCAAACCATCACAGCCACTATTTCATATTCTAAACCTATTTATTAGTTCTGTTTCTGAATTTAGTATTCTTCTCTTCATCTTGCAAACATTCTTTTGCCACTACCACACTTTAAGAATTATTGCAGCTTCATAACATATTTTGTCGTTTGGCAAGGCAGATTTTCTTCCAAAATTCTTTTATTGTATTTATTGGACATTGTTATGAATTTATTTTCCCAGGATCCCTCCTTCCACAACTTGCCCAATTTTCTAACTTCGCTGGTATATAGAAAAGCCATTAATTCTATCATTTAAGGAAAGCAATAGGCTAGCTTACCAAACACTTTTATAAGCTCTAATTAATGTTTCTCAATTGATTTGCTTGGATTTTCTAAATAGATAGCTATAACATTTGCAGATAATGATCAATCATTCTGATTTTCCTTTAAGATATTTATCATTCCTGTTTCTTTTTCCTGTCCTATCACAATGGCTAAAACTTCTCAAAGAGTGTAGAATACTGTTAGGGGTCCCCTTGACTACATGCTTCCACATGGTAAAGGTTGCATTTCTGTGATGCTCCTGACCTTCCTCTAATTCTCATATTTTTCTTCTTGGGAGCATTTGTTTGGGAGAAAGAATTTGCCTGCATGGCTTAGCCTTTTCTAGATTCTCTTTGAATCTGCCATCTGAGAAGGCAGCGTTGTCTGGTTTTCTCTGCTTCCTGAAAGAGCCAGTCCTAGCTGGGTGTGGGTGGAGAGAGTCAGAGCTGCCAGTGACTGTGGTATATTGTCTAATTCAGGGACTGCTGGCAAGCTCCTCTGGCTTCAGATCTAAAGCCACATGCTGCAGTTGGCTTTATCAGTAATGAAGCTGACATTTTGACCCATGTGTCTGATGACTCCTCTCAATTGATTTCACACTGAGACAGGGAAGAAGTGGTGATAGTGAGCTTGCTTGTTTTGCTCTTGACCATAGTAAAAATCAGCATTAAATATGATGTTGGTTGTTACCTTTGGACAGATAATCTCTACCATGTAAGAAAGTATCCTTTAATTCTAGCTTACTAGTTTTAATAAGAAATGGATATTTAATGGTATTCAATGTTATTGTATCATCTATTGAGACACAATCGTATTTTATCATATTTTTTTATTTTTTCTCATACTATGCCAAAGGATGGTAAAATATGTTAATAGTATTTTTAAAGCTAAACAAATTTTGCAATCCTACAATAAACTATTTGATCACATGTATTATTCTTTGAGCACTTTCCTGGATTTGATTTGTTGCTATTCTACATACAATTTTTTATCTCTTTTTATGTCAACAGTTTTTGGGGTACAGGTGTAATCAAAGTTTTTGATTACATGGATAAGCTCTTTAGTGGTGAATTCTGAGATTTTAGTGCACCCATCACCTGAAGTGTACACTGTACCCAATATACAGGCTTTTATACCTCACCTCCCCAATATTCCCCCCCGAGTACCCAAAGTCCATTATATCACTTTTATGCCTTTCCATCCGCATAACTTAGCTCCCACTTACAACTAAGAACATACAATATTTGGGTTTTCATTCGTGAGTTACTTCACTTAGAATAATGGCTTCCAGGCCAGGTGCAGTGGCCCACGCCTGTGATCCCAGCACTTTGGGAGGCCAAGGCAGGTGGGTCACTTGAGGTCAGGAGTTCGAGACCAGCCTGGCCAACATGGTGAAACCCCTGTCTCTACTAAAAATACAAAAATTAGCTGGGTGTGGTGGCACATGTAATCCCAGCTACTTCGGAGGCTGAGGCACGAGAATCCCTTGAACCTGGGAGGTGAAGGTTGCAGTGATCCGAGATCACAACACTGCACTCCAGCCTGGGCAATAGAGTGAAACTCTGCCTCAAAAATATAATAATAGTAATAATAATGGCTTCCAGCTCCATCCAAGTTGCTACAAAAGACATTATTCATTATTTCATTGCTTTTTATGGCTTAGTAGTATTCCATGGTGTATATATACTACATTTTCTTTATATACTTGTGGATCAATGGGCACTCAGGTTAGTTCCATATCTTTGCAGCTGTGAATTGTGCTGCTATAAAACATTCAGTGCATGTTTCTTTTTCATATAATGACTTCTTTTTCTTTGAGTAGATATCCAGGAGTGGGACTGCTGGATCAAATGGCAGTTCTACTTCTAGTTTTTTAAGGAAACTCCATGCTATTTTCCATCATGGTTGTACTAATGTACATCCCCACCAACAGTGTAAAAGTGTTTCCTTTTCACCACATTCATGCCAACATCTATCGTTTTTTGACTTTTTAATTATGGCCATTCTTGCTGGAGTAAGGTTGAATCTCATTATAGTTTTATTTTGCATTTCCCTGATGATTAGTGATGTTAAGCATTTTGTCATGTTTGTTGGTCATTTGTATATCTTCTTTTGAGAAATGTCTATTCATGAACTTTGCCCACTTTTTGATAGGATTATTTGCTTTTTTATTGCTAATTTGATTTCCTTGTAGATTCTGGATACTAGCCCTTTGTCAGATGCATAGTTTGTGACTACTTTTTCCCACTCTGTGAGTTGTCTGTTTACTCTGCTGATTATTTCTTTTGCTATGCAGACATTTTTTAGTTAAATTAGGTCCCATTTATTTATTTTTAGTTTTGTGGCATTTGCTTTTGGGGTCTTAGTCATGAATTCTTTGCCTAAGCCAATATCCAGAAGAGTTTTCCCGATGTTATCCTCTAGAATTTTTATGGTTTTAGGTCTTAGATTTAAGTCTTTGATCCATCTTGAGTTGACTTTTGTATAAGGTAAGAGATGGAGGTCCAGTTTCATTCTTCTGCACATGATTTGCCAGTTTTCCCAGCACTATTTATTGAATAGTGTGTCCTTTCCCCAATTTATGTTTTGCATGTTTTGTTGAAGATCAGTTAGCTGTTAAGTATTTGGCTTTATTTCAAGGTTCTCTATTCTGTTCCATTGGTCTACATTCCTATTTTTATACCAGTGCCATGTTGTTTTGGTAACTATAGCTTTGTAGTATAAGTTGGGTAATGTGATGCCACCAGATTTTTCCTTTTTGCTTAGTATTGCTTTGGCTATGCAGGCTCTTTTTTTGGTTCCATGTGAATTTTAGGATTGTTTTTTCTAGTTCTGTGAAAAATGATGATGGCATTTTTGTGGGAATTGCACTGAATTTGTAAATTGCTTTGGGAAGTATGGTCATTTCTCCATTCATGAGCCTGGGATATGTTTCTATTTATTTGTGTCATCTATTTCTTTCAGCAGTGTTTTGTAGTTTTTCTTGCAGAGATCTTTTACCTTCTTGGTTAAGTATACTCCTAGATTTTTTTTTTTGCAGTTATTGTAAAAAAGATTGGGCTCTTGATTTGATTCTCAGCTTGGCTGTTATTCGTGTATAGCAGTACTACTGATTTGGGTACATTGATTTTGTAACCTGCGACTTTACTGAATTTGTTTATCAGATCTAGGAACTTTTAGGATGAGTCTTTAGGGTTTTCTAGGTATATGATCATATCATCAGTAAACAGTGACAGTTTCACTTCCTCTTTCCCAATTGTGATACCCTTTATTTCTTTCTCTTGTCTGATTGCTCTGGCTGGTACTCCCAGTACTCTGTTGAATAGAAGTGGTGAAAGTGGGCATCCGTGTCTTGTTCCAATTCTCATGGGGAATGCTTTCAACTTTTCCCTGTTCAGTATGATGTTGGCTGTCAGTTTGTCATGAATGGCTTTTATTACTTTGAGGTAAATCCCTTCTATGTCTATTTTTTTAGGGTTTTTATCATAAAGTGATGCTGGATTTTGTCAAATGCTTTTTCTGCATCTATTGAAATAATCATATGTTTTTTTATTCTATTTATGTGATATATCACATTTATTGACTTGTGTATGTTAAACCATCCCTACATCCCCAGTATAAAACCCACTCAATCATGATGTATTGTCTTTTTGACGTGCTACTGTATTTGGTTAGCCAGTATTTTGTTGAGGAGTTTCACATCTATGTTCATTGAGGATATTGGTCTGTAGTTTTCTTTTTTTGTTATGTGCTTTACTGGTTTTGGTATTAGGGTGATACTGGCTTCACAGAATGATTTAGGGAGGATTCCCTCTCTCTATCTTTTGGAATAGTTTCAGAAGGATTTCAATGGATTCAGGAGAATACCAATTTTTCTTTGATTGTCTCTAGAATTCAGCTGTGAATCCATCTGGTCCTGGATTGTTTTGTTGTTGGCAAGTTTTTTTGATTACTGATTCAATCTTGCTGCTTGTTATTGGTCTGTTCAGGTTTTCTGTTTCTTCCTGATTTAATCTAGGAGAGTTGTATGCTTCCAGGAATTTATCCATTTTCTCTAGATGTTCTAGTTTTTTTATATACAATTTTTGCAATTATATTTGTAATTGATGTTACTCTGGCTTTGTTTGCTGTTGTTCCTGATGGCTATTATGTTTGTTGTGTTTTATTTTGTCTTTTTCTAAATATTTATTTGACAATATTTTTAATTTCCTCAACAAAATTGATAGACTTTGGCTTTCTACCTTTTCACTATTTCTTTTTTTTTTTTCTTTTTTTTTTTTTTTTTTTTTTTGAGATGGAGTCTCGCTCTGTTGCCCAGGCTGGAGTGCAATGGCACGATCTCGGTTCACTGCAAGCTCAGCCTCCCGGGTTCACACCATTCTCCTGCCTCAGCCTCCCCCATTATTTCATTTTTGTTTCTTTTTATTTTCCTGAAAAATTATCCATTTCATTAACACTTTCAAGTGAATTAAAATATATTTTTTTAAATATTAAAAATTTTACTATCTAGTTTTAGCTTCCTTTCCCAAACGCTATGTATCTGTGCTCATTCTCTTTTTTTTTTTTAATTGACCTTGGTAGAGGTTTTTTTTTACATTTTCTTTTTTAAAAGATATTTAGTTTTTCAATCATTTGAACTATTTTTCTATTTATTTCCTTCATTTCTAAATTTGTTAGTTCTATATTCTTGCCTTTTTAGTTTTATTTTTATATTATTTTCTCTGTTGTAAAAGTGCTTAGTTCTTTTATTTCCCTTCTTTCCTTGTTTCATAATAAAGACATTTAAGGCTACAAATTTTCTTCTGAAGACAACTTTGGCTACCTTCCACAAATTTTTTGATGTACTCTCACTGACATTCATTTGAAGCTAAATATCTTATTACTGATTTGATTTCTTCTGTAACCTGTAAGTTATTCATTTAAAATTTTTGTTTGTTTGTTTGTTTGTTTTGAGGTGATGTCTTGTTCTGTCACCCAGGCTGGAGTTCAGTGGTGAGATCTCAGCTCACTGCAACCTCCACCTCTTGGGTTCAAGCAATTCTCCTACCTCAGCCTCCCAAGTAGTTGGGATTACAGGAGCCTGCCACCATACCTGGGTAATTTTTTGTATTTGTAGTAGAGATGGGGTTTCACCATGTCAGCCAGGCTGGTCTTGAACTCCTGACCTCACATGATCTGCCCACCTCAGCCTCCCAAAGTGCTGGGATTACAGGCGTGAGCCACCGTGCCTGGCCTGTTTTTGTTTTTTTTTTTAATATCCAAGTGTTTTGGTGATTTTTGATTTTTCTAAGAGTGCTGATATGTTTTCATTTTATTCACTTGTGGCCAGAGAATAAATACATTTGTTTGAAAATTATTAATATTTTCTGTATGGCCTAGGATATGAACATATGTCCATGCAAAAACAAACCTGTAGATATTTGAAAAGACTGTGTGTTGTTGATTTACAAACTACAAAGTGCAATATGTACATTAAATCTATTTATTTATTATATAATAGTAGGCAATGCCTCTGCCACTACCCAACACATTGGGTAATTTCCTCCTGATTTAAAATAGTTGTTTCTTTGTTGTTTCTCTTTACACTACCATTCCACTACAAGTTCTTGCCCATTTTTCTACTGGACTGCCTACCTTGTACTAATTCATTGTAGGATCTCTCTTTTCAGTGGAATTTTTGCGTACCTAGACCACTAAGGGTCAATAAGGGGAAGAGGGGAAGAAGTGGGAAGTCTTGGGAACACCAAATATCATCCAAACCAGATGCTCAGTGCTGACAGATTGGCCTTTGACATGTAAGGCTCAGAAGGTGAGCTAAGGGACAATTCAGCCCAGAGCCAGTCCCCATGGAGCTTGCTGGTACTCACAACAGAAATTCCTGTTCTTCCTAATCCATCTGAGGATATCTTCACCCACATCTCCACTCCTTACAGCCCCATCTTTTTTGGTTTCAAATTATGGAGAAACTCTCATTACAAACTCCTCTGATTATTTCTACCTGGCATCTGTTTCCATTGCTTTTTTTCTTTGAGACAGTCCATTTTTATTTATTTATTTTTTGTATTATGAAGTGTAAGATGCAAATAGAAAAGTACACACACCAGGAAAAATGCTGGTGAATTATCACGAATTATCCTGTAATTAACACCCAATTCAAGAAATAAAACACTCCCAGAAATTCCTCTTATGTCCCTTCCCAATTATTACCTCCTCTTGCTCTTTCAAGGCAATCATGATCTTTTTTTGATCTTTTTTATTTTTCTGAGACAGGGTTTCACACTGTCTCAGGGTCACACTGCAACCCAGGTAGGAGTGCAATGGTGTAATCACAGCTCACTGCAGCCTCCACCTACCAGGCTCAAGCAATCCTCCCACCTCAGCCTCCCAAGTAGCTGTGACTACGGGCATGCACCACCACATCCAGCTATTTTTTTTTTAGTATAGATGAGATCTCCCTATGTTGCCCAGGCTGGCCTCAAACTCTTGAGCTCAAGTGATCCTCCCACCTCAATCTCCCAAAGTGCTGGGATTACAGGTTTAAGCCACCATGCCCTGCCAGCAATCACGATCTTGACTGTAATCACTATAGTTTGGTTTTGCCTGTTTCATAATCTTTACATAAGTTGTGTAATACAGGATTTATTCTTAAGTTTTTGACAACTTCCATTATTCAATATTATATTGTAAGAGTCATCCAGTAACTTGTTACTTGTTACCAGTAACTATAGTATATTCATCTTCATTACTGTATGTTTTCCATGGTAGGAATATACCCACAATTAATTTATCCATTCTGCTGTTGATGGACATTGGGATTGTTTCCAGTTTGGGGCTATTAGGAACAATGCTACTATGAATATTCTAGTAGGTGTCCTAGACATGGGTACACATTTCTGTTGGGCATTTCTGTACACAATTCACCTGCGAGTGAAAATTTTGGGTAACTTCAACTTGAGTAGATAATCTCAGTTTTCTAAAGTAGTTGTACCAATTTACACCCTAGCAGTGTATGGAAGTCCATATTGCTCCAAATCCTCAAAAACACTGGTCTTTGCAAATTGTACCCATTCTCGTGGCTGTGTAGTGGTATTTCAGTGTAGCTTTAATTTGTGTTTCTCTGCTGACTAATAAGATTAAGCCCCTTTCATCTATTTATTGTTACTTGGATATTCTCTTCTGGAGTATCCATTCCAGTCTCTTTTTTCTACTGAGTTGCCTCTCTTTTTCTTATTGATTTTTAGAAGTTCAGTTCCTTATATGATCCAAATATGTGCACTGTCAGTTTTATATGCTGGAAATATCTTTCTTAACTCTATGGCTTGCTTGCTTTTTTCCTCTCTTAATAGTATCTTTTGATGACTAGTTATTAATTTAAAGAGTA